>NC_000004.12:151042593-151345623 GCF_000001405.40 Homo sapiens | reverse complement strand
AGCACAGGGCTTCTACTATGCAGCTTTTTGCTTTCTCACCCTTGAATACGAGCAGACAACCAGGATTACCAAACATCTTAAGAAATCCTCTAACATGAAAGGTAACAGAAAGACCTAAATTGCCAGATTGAAAGGGCCCACTAAGTACTCAGCTCAGTGAAGGGAAGCAGACCCATACAAAGCATATTATCATGAAGCTTTAGAATGCCAGGCACAAAGACAAAATACCCAAAACTTCCAAAGAGAAAAAGCACATCCAAAGAAGTAGAAATCCAGATGGCATCGGACTTCTCAACAACAACCCTGAAGCTAGAGACGGTGGGGCAATGCCTCCAAATTTCTAAAGGAAAATTATTTTCTGGGTAGAATTCTATACCCAGCCAAATTGTTCATCAAGAATAAAGGTAGAATCCAGGCATGGTGGCATGCACCAGCTGTCCTAGCCACTTAGGAGACTGAGGTGGGAGGGTCACTTGAGTCCAGGAATTCAAGGCTGCAGTGAGCTATGATTGCACAACTGTGCTCCAACCTGGGCAATAGAGCAAGAGTCTGTCTCCAAAAAAAGTTTTTTAAAAAGGAATAAAGGTGAAATATACATAAATTCTCAAGAATCTTTTCCTTTCTTAAGAAGCTAAGCTAAGATGTGCTAAATTAAAAAGATGGAGAAAATCAAGAAGGAAGAAGGTATGGATTATAGGAAAACAGAAGATCCCGCTAAGGAAATAGAAGGGAGTCCTGAGGATGATGGTCTACTAGCTGTATATCAGATGTAGAGGGCAACAACTCCAAATTAGAACAATGCAATGCCAGAAAGAAGATGCATCGGCAGAGGCTATCACTAAGATGTCAACTACCATTTTAGTACTTTTTAAAACCTGCAAATCAAATGCCTGTATGAGCCTATTCCAGGTTGCTGTTTGTATTTGATTTGCCTTATTCATGTTTTGATGGCGTTTCTCTTCTCCTACCCATCTGTTGCCCACTATGACCTACTGCCTGGATAAGCTGAGGACACTCATTAAATCCCACAGAAGTTTTCTTCTTTGATCTACTCCAGAACTGGAGATGGGCTTTGGTGAACTTAGAAGCAGAAAATACAGAGCAACCCTCTCCCTGACCATAGTCTTGCCAGATGTCCTGCACCCAGGCCACCTTCCAGTTGCTCCAACCTTAGTTAAGTTCTGTTTCCCAGATCTCACCCATAACCTTGCCCACTGATTTCCCCAGAAGTGGCTCCTATACACTTTCATGGAAGCTGAAGCCAGTTTATGGCCCAGAAATTCTACTCAGCTTATCTTCTACAAGATCTCGTTTAATAGTACCTTCATGTTTTTTTCATATGCATCTGGCTTTGTGCTTGCTCTTCAGTTTCTATATTAACCACATACAGTGATCAATAAAAGATTTGAGAAGAAAAGAACAATTTATGGCGATATTCCTTACACATTTCAATTATGTCCTCTTTTGGAACTATGGAGATGGCATCCTCAGGGTTGAGCTGATGAGTAGTGGATTGAAATGGAAAGAGTCTGTGTTGTAGAAAAGCAGCCTCGATGGGCCATGAGCAGCCAGATAAAGCATCCGTGTTCTCTGCCTCTATTTCATGCCCAACTCCATCTCCATTTGGCTGCTAAAATCTCCAATCCAAATTTTCCTTGACTGCCAGCTCCCAGACCTTTTCCAAGGAAACAAATGACCTAAGTGATAGCAGCAATGCTGCCCAGAAATGGAGGGTTTGATAAAAACAGAAAGATGAATTCAAAATACTGGCCCTGGCCAGGCGCAGTGGCTCACGCCTGTAATCCCAGCACTTTGGGAGGCCGAGGCGGGCGGGTCACTTGAGGCCAGGAGTTCAGAACCACAGCCTGGCCAACCACGGTGAAACCCCATCTCTACTAAAAAATACAAAAATTAGCTGGGTGTGATGGCGTGTGCCTGTAGTCCCAGCTACTCTGGAGGCTGAGGCACGAGAATTGCTTGAACCTGGGAGGTGGAGGCTGCAGTGAGCTGAGATTGCACCACTGCACTCCAGCATGGGTGACAGTGTGAGACTCTGTCTCAAGAAAAAAACAAAACAAAACAAACAAACAAAAAATACTAGCCCTTCTCATTGCTCTTCCTGGCCACCTGTTTACTCTGCTGCTTAAAACCCTTCTGTGGAAGGCCGGGCATGGTGGCTCACACCTGTAGTCCCAGCACTTTGGGAGGCTGAGGCGGGCGGATCACAAGGTCACAAGTTTGAGACCAGCCTGACCAACATGGTGAAACCCAGTCTCTACTAAAAATACAAAAATTAGCCAGGCGTGGTGGCACATGCCTATAATCTCAGCTACTCAGGAGGCTGAGGCAGGAGAATAACTTGAATCCAGGAGGCGGAGGTTGCAGCGAGCCCAGATTGCACCACTGCATTCCAGCCTAGGCAACGGAGCGAGACTCCATCTCAAAAAAACAAAAAACAAAAAAACCTTTCCATGGATCTTTATGCCCCATCAATGGGTCTCTTGGTGTGGTACACACACAGACTATTTATAATTTTACCTCTGCTTATCTCACCAGCTTCACCTGTTGCCCTTACAATCCTTTTCTCTTGGCCACAGCAATATTTCACTATTTGTAAGTCACTGAATACTGTGTTCATAACTCTCTATTTTGATCATGCCTGGAAATCTCTTCTTAGACCCTCCTCTCTTTTTTGCCTGGTTAATGCCCGCTTGTTTTTAAGACTCAGTTCAGGCAGAACCTCCTCCAGCAAGAATTCCCTGCCCTAGCCACAGCTCCTTCTCAGCCTGGATTAGATGTGCTTCCTCTGTGCATACCTGAGCCTGTCACAGTGTATTGGAAATTATCTCTTTATCTCTCTGTTTCGCATGGGACTGAAATCCCCTGAAGAGACAAGGTCTTCCATTTACATGACTCCACTACCTAGCACCAAGCCTAGCACAGAATAGACAGTAAATAAATATTTGCTGGATGTAATTATTATAGAGCCTGTCTTCTACTTTAAAGCTATTATGTTCATATTATTCTAATTTTTTATTTAAAAATAATTTATAGGCTTTATTATTTATTTATTTATTTATTTATGTCTATTTTTGAGACAGGGTCTTGCTCTGTTGCTCAAGCGGAAGTGCAGTGGCACCAACATGGCTCACTGCAGCTTTGACCTCCTGGGCTCAAGTGATCCTCCTGACTCAGCCTCCCAAGTAGCTGGGATCACAGGCATGCAATGCTGTGCCCAGCTAATTTTTAAATTTTTTTATTTTGAGCTGGGCGCAGTGGCTCACACCTGTAATCCCAGCATTTTGGGAGGCCGAGGCAGGCGGATCACCAGGTCAGGAGTTTGAGACCAGCCTGGCCAACATGGTGAAACCGTGTCTCTACTAAAAATACAAAAAATAGCTGGTCATTGTGGTGGGCGCCTGTAATCCCAGCTACTCAGGAGGCTGAGGCAGGAGAATCGTTTGAACCCAGGAGGCGGAGGTTGCAGTGAGCCGAGATCACACCATTGCACTCCAGCCTGGGCAAAAGAGCGAAACTCTGTCTCAAAAAAAAAATTTTCTTTTATTATATAGAGACAGGGTCTCGCCATGTTGCCCAGGCTGGTCTCAAACTCCTGGACTCAAGCAATCCTCCTGCCTTGGCCTCCCAAAGTGCTGGGATTACAGGAGTAAGCCACCACTTTAAGTCAGGAATTCGAGACCAGCCTGGCCAACATGGTGAAACCCCGTCTCTACTAAAAGTACAAAAATTAGTTGGGCATGGTGGTGCATGCCTATAGTCCCAGCTGCTTGTGGGGCTGAGGCAGGAGAATGGCTTGAACCCGGGAAGTGGAGGTTGCAGTGAGCCAAGATCGCACCATTGCACTCCAGCCTGGGCAACAGAGCGAGACTCTGTTTCAAAAAAAAAAAAAAAGAATTCTGAATATTGGGCATTTGGCACAATCATCGAACATAAGTGCCCGTTAAATGCTAACCGTTATTACTTCACTTAGTCCTTACAACAGCTCTGAATGCTAGATGTTGCGATTTCTTTCTTTTTTCTTTTTTTTCTTTTTTTTTTTTTGAGACTGAGTTTCTCTCTTTTTGCCCAGGCTGTAGTGCAATGGCGCAATCTTGGCACACTGCAACCTCCACCTCCCGGGTTCAAGCAATTCTCCTGCCTCAGCCTCCCGAATAGCTGGGATTACAGGCACATGCCACCACGCCAGGCTAATTTTTTGTATTTTTAGTAGAAACAGGGTTTCACCATGTTAGCCAGGTTAGTCTCAAATTCCTGACGTCAGGTGATCTGCCCACCTCGGCCTCCTAAAGTGCTGGGATTACAGGTGTGAGCCACCGCACCTGGCCTAGTTATTGCTATCTCTTACTTTACTGATCAATAAACAGTTCAGAGCAGTTAAAATCACAGGATGAGGAAGTGAACCTGAGTTTGTCCAAAGTCCATCTTTTCTCTTCATTCCTGCTATCTTAGCCCAGGTGGAGACATTAAAGAGAAGGCTGTGTTGAGGACAGTGACAAGCAGAGGGTGGGGAGGGGACCAGTGGGCAGTGGATGCTGGTCATGGCCAGGCTATGAAAGGGCCTCCAAGTACTAACGCTCGTAAAATATGTCAGTCCCACTACTTTGCTCATGATATTTAGCTCTAAGAATTGCTGAAGCTGAACATTCCCTTTGGAATGCACAGAATAAGACAAGCTCTGTGTAAGACATTTTTGGTCTTGCTAAGGTCAATGTGGTGGGTTTGTTGCTGAGGAAGAGTTCTGACAATTACTATGGAGACACTACATAAGCAAAGGTAAGCAAAAATGTTTGTCTTTCAGAAGCAAAATTAGAGGGAAGCACAGTAATCAAGATTCCATACATAACAAGTTTTGTGAATAAACACCAATTCAAACAGAAGGTTCAGAAAATTATGTTGAAATTGAACAAGTCCTTAAAGAAGACTCACTCACACTCTTTTCCCCAGATTGTTGGATTGCTTGCAAATGAGGACATTTACTTTCATCATCCTATGGCCTCTTTATTTTGAGAAATATAAATAAATAGAAAATTTACCTTTGATCTCTATTACACCGTTGAAAACATCATATGATTTAAAGTGAAGGAGCAGGGTGCTATTTGTACTCTACTGGGGGAAGAAGAATATTATTTCCACCTAGCTTTTTAAATAATACATTTGGTATTGATTTTAATATAACAGAAAATGCATTAGCATTGAGTTTCCATTAAGAACAATTCAAGAACATTATCAATACCTATTTAATCTGATATATTTTAAAGTATAACTTAGATGAAAGCAAACCAAAAGAGGTGTTTTTTTTTGTTTTGTTTTTTTCATGCAGAGTCTTGCTCTGTCACCCAGGCTGGATTGCAGTGACAGGATCTCAGCTCACTGCACCCTCTGACTCCTGGGTTCAAGCCATTCTCCTGCCAAAGGCTCCCAAGTAGCTGGGATTATAGGCGTGCACCACCACACCCGGCTAATTTTTGCATTTTTAGTAGAGACAGAGTTTCACCATGTTGGCAAGGCTCGTCTCGAACTCCTGACCTCAAGTGATCCACCTGCCTCGGCCTCTCAAAGTGCTGGGATTACAGGCATGAGCCACCATGCCCAGCCAAAAGAGGTCATTTTAATAGCGTATCTTCTTGTTCCCATAATAAAAACGTACACGTTTTCTGCCAATGTTATTTACTTATTTAATCAGTTTTTACTGAGGATTTACTCTGTACCTAGCTTGGTGTCAGGCACTAAGAATGCAGTCATGATAAAGGCAAACACAGTCCCTGCACTGGTGGAGTTTACAGTCTGATAATACCAGAAAATTATACCAAAGTGTTCAAGTTAGACATTTTAATCATTACATTGCAATAGGTTTGCACTGGTGAGTGCATAGAGCAGTGCTTCTCAAAGTTTACTGTGCATGTGAATCACCTGGGGATCTTATTAAAATGTAGAGTCTGATGCAATGGGTCTGGGGTGGAGCTGATATTCTGTATTTAAATAAGCTGTCAGGTAATGCTGACGCTGCTGGTCCATGGATCACACTTCGTAGCAAGGGCATACAATATTAATATGAAAGATGGTAAGATGTAATACTAAGATGTAAGGCATAGAGTAAGATTAGTAATTTTTCTTTTCTGGAGGTATGGAGCACTTGGTAATATTTCGGTGAATGACATGCATCTACGGACAATTGTACCAGACAAGTGTGAAATGTTCACAAGGGGAGGTAGAAAGTGGCATAGGGGCTAAAGAGAGGAGAAACAGGATTTAGGTTGGGGAGAAGAGGGGGTTCAGGAGATGCTTCCTAAGGAAGGCAGAGTCTCTAATTGAGCCAGGAAGATGTGGAGGATGGTGCTCCAGGCTGAGGGCTGAGCACTGGTGTTGGTGTTTTTTGTTTTTGTTTGTTTTTGTTTTGGGGTTTTTTGTTTTTTTTTTTTTTTTTTTGAGATGGAGTCTCGCTCTGTCGCCAGGCTGGAGTGCAGTGGCAAGATCTCGGCTCACTGCAACCTCTGCCTCCCGAGTTCAAGCGATTCTCCTGCCTCAGCCTTCTGAGTAGCTGGGAATACAGGCGTGCGCCACCACGCCCAGTTAATTTTTGTATTTTTAATAGAGATGGGGTTTCACTATGTTGGCCAGGACGGTCTCGATCTCCTGACCTTGTGATCTGCCTGCCTTGGCCTCCCAAAGTGCTAGGATTACAGGCGTGAGCCACCGGTCCTGGCTGTTGTTGGAGTTTTTGTAGGTCAGCACAGAGAATGGCTAGTGGTCCTGTTTGGCAGCTCTTCCATTCAGGGAAGCAGGAAAGATAAGGCCATAAAGTAGAGAACCCCCAGCAAGGCCAACCTCAGCATTCCGAACCATGAACCCAAAACCTGTCATTTTCTCTGAATACATAACGGGCAATACCTTGCTTTATTGCTCAGTGCTCTGTGTGGTGTCCAGTTCAGGCATCTCTGTGTTTCAGCTCCTCTGGCTACTGTCTGATACCTGCGTACCCCTATTATTTCCCAGTACAGCGCTTTTCTCCTTTTTTCTATCATGGCACTTTTTGGGGCAGGATATCTGCTAATAGACTTATTTGCATTGGCCCCAAGAACCTTTTTGTGACCTGTTGCTTTGGGTACTCTGTTGAGTTCTGCTGTCATCACCAGAATTCTTGTCAAGACTGGTCCCAGGCCAGGTGTGGTGGTTCACACCTGTAATCCCAATACCTTGGGAGGCAGAGGTGGGAGGATCACTTAAGCCCAGGAGCTCAAGGCTGCAGTGAGCTATGATCATGCCACTGCCCTCCAACCTGAGCAACAAAGCAAGACCCTGTCTCTAAAAAGAAAAAAAAAAAGAAAGAAAGAAAATTGAAAAGAAAAACCTGGTTCCACATTCCTGCAGCAACTGACTTGCTGCTGCCCTTCTCAAATGGGCGTCAGCTCTCCCGTTCACCTGATCTTCCCATTTCCTCATTGTCTTGCTCAGTTATATTATCTTGGTCCTTGAAGGCATTTGAGGTTGCAGTCTGATTGAAATGGGGGACAAAGCAAACAAGGAGTCAAAGATAGAGTAGTAAGGAGGAGCCATTAGGAGCTATGTCTGCTTTATTCACTTCTGTATCCCCTGTGCCTCAGACAGTACCTAATCCATAACAGGAGTTCAACAAATCTCAGCTGGCTTTTAAATGCAGACTTTGTATAATTGTATTTCACTGATTTTTAAGACATTATTAATTCAGAAAAGCACTCTGTTTAGGAAATTTCTTAGGTTGAAGAACTTTCTCAACTGACAAATTTTGAAGGTAGGTGAGACAATGTTTGTGGTAGATGGACTTCTAAAATGATCCCCAACAATCCTCATCCTTCTGACTGTGGGTGGAACCTGAGAATATAATGAGATATCACCACTACCATTATGCTATGTTGTGTGAAGATTATTTTGGATGGGCCTAACATACACATATGAAACCTTTAAAAGCAGAGAATTTTCTCTAGATGGTTGCAGACGACAAAGCCGGTATTCAAAGCACAAGAGGGATTCAGTGTACCGTTACTGACTTGAAGATGGAGGGGCCACGTGGAAAGAACCCAAGAGTGGCTGCTGGGAGCTGAGAGCCAGCAAGAAAATGGTAACTTCAGTCCCACAACCACGAGGAAGTGAATTCTGCCAGCAACTTGAGTGAGCATGGGAACAGATTATTCTCCAGAACGTCCAGATAAGAGCCTGCCTTAGGCCACACCTTGATTTTGGCTTTGTGAGACCCTAACCAGAAACCTATTTGACCTAGCCTAGGCAGAACTGTCAGCTAATAAGTGGATGCTGTTATCAAGCTGCTAAATTTGTAGTAATTTCATATGAGGCAATAGAAAACTAATATAATGTTTTATACCTCAGGGAAGTTTACAGTGTGTATGTACACATGTATACATATGTATTTATCATGTGTTCACATGATATGTGCATTTAACTTGTCTGTATTCTACTATATGTACTAGAGGAAAAGAAAGGAGAGAACAATAATTTAAATAGCATGAACAATAACCTTACCTTGATTATCCCATTCAATAAGCTATCAGCAATATCTGACAGAATGCACTCTCTTCTTGTAACACATTCTTCACGTTGCCTAATGAAAAGCCTCCTTTTTTGGTTCTCCCACCTCACTGGACACTTCTTTTCACGCCTTTGCAGATTTCTCTTTATGTTTCCTAATTCTAAACATTCCTACATACACTACACATACACATTACCTGACATGGTGGCATAAACAAAATATATATACAGTTCTTTACAGGCAATTAAAAGCTATTCAAAGGGCCAGGTGCAGTGGCTCATGCCTGTAAATCTCAGCACCTTGGGAGGCTGAGGCGGGCAGACCACTTGAGGTCAAGAATTTGAGACCACAGACTGGCCAACATGATGAAACCCCATCTCTACTAAAAATACAAAAATTAGCAGGCATGGTTGCACACACCTGTAATCCCAGCTACTCAGGAGGCTGAGGCAGGAGAATCCCTTGAACCCAGGAGGTAGAGGTTGCAGTGAGCCAAGATAGCACCAGTGCACTCCAGCCTGGGCAACAGAGCAAGACTCCATCTCAAAAAATAAATAAATAAAAAGCTATTCAAAGGTAATTTTTTGACTATTCCTTGCTTAAGAAGAAACTTTAGTTTATTAGTTTTTCTCATCTAAAATTGGGAGGCACCCAGCTATTTCAGTATGAGGTCAAGAGGAGTAGTGAATTAACCTTGCCTTCAAATTGGATTTCTGCACTAGCTCTGAACCTGTGCTGTCCAATATGGTAGCCATCAGTCACATGTAGGGATTTAAATTTAAATTTTAATTAATTAAAAATAAATGAAATTTAAAATTTAGCACTTCAGCTGCACTAGCCACATTTCAAGTGTCCAATAGTAAATGTGCTCCTTGCTACCACATTAGACAACACAGATATAGAGCATTGCCATCATCACAGGAAGTTCTATTGGACAATGAAAAGACCTATACCTTTAATTGCCATTTGGTCTGCTCCACTTAAATATCCCAAACTCTTTGCTGTCCCCCAGAGGAGATTTTGCAAAGAAGTGATGTGAAAAGTGCCTTCTTTGGGATCAAATTGTCTGAGTTTGAATCCAGCTCTATTGTTTGCAGGCTCTGTGTCCTTAGGAGGGTTACTTGACTTCTCTGTGCCTCAGTTTCCTTTTCTGCAAAGTGGGAATAATCACAGGAACTATCCCTTAAAGTTGCTGTGAAGATTAAATGATATAATTTATGTAATGTACTTAAAATAGTACCTAACTCTTAAGTATTGAATAAATTTAGCTATTGTGTTTTGTATTAGCATTATTTTAGAGACCAAATTGAGATTCATCGCACTTCATTTATCTGAAGATTCATGACATTTATTAATTCTGGACCATTTTCAGTCATTATGTTTTCAAATGTTGCCTTTCCTCAGTTCTTTTCTCTTTTCCGTTCTAGAATTCTGGTTGGACATTCATTGTATCTTATCATTATATCTCTATAACTCTTATGTCAGTTTTCTTTTCTGTAAGATGATGATACAAACAGTATCTACCTCATGGAGTTTTTGTTAGGATTAAGTGAGTTGAGCTATGTAAAACACTTAGAATGGCATCATATGTGTGCCAGCTATTATTGACACTCTGGTTTAGCTCCTTATTTATTTTTGGCCCTTGGAGATTTCCCTCAATTCATTAGAGATATTTTGTAATAATTTAGTCCACTCTATAAGACCGAAAGTTATTCTAGACTCTTTTTTTTTTTTTTTAAAGACAGAGTCTTGCTCTGTCTCCAGGCTGAAGTGCAGTGGCGTGATCTCAGCTCCCTGCAACCTCCGCCTCCCAGGTTCAGGCGATTCCCCTGCCTCAGTCTCCCGCGTAGCTGGGACTACAGACGTGCGCCACCACTCCTGGCTAATTTTTTGTATTTTAGTAGAGATGGGGTTTCACCCCATCTGCTAGGTTGGCCAGGATGATCTTGATCTCCTGACCTTGTGATCTGCCCGCATTGGCCTCCCAAAGTGCTGGGATTACAGGCGTGAGCCACTGTGCCCGGCCCAGATTCTCTTTTTGTTGCAAGCGTGACATACACGGTTTCTATTGTTTGGTACACTTTCTTTCCCTCTTAGCTCCCTTCATGTCTGTTTAAAACAGAATTTAATGTCTGTATTACTTTGAATTATATTAAGTATGTAACAGAAAACACAAAATAACCATATCTTTAAAAAGTAGAAGTTTCTTTTTTTCCCCCATAAATGAAGTCTAGAAGTATGAGGTCCATAGCAGATATGCCTTCTCCATAATCATCAAGAGTCCAGTCTTTTTTCAGTTTCTCAACATTTGGCCTTCTTCTTGTGATCCAAGATGACTGCTCTGGTTCCAGCCATTACATCCAAATTCTAGTCAACAGAGGAAAGAGCTAAAGAAGGAATGCCTCTTCCCTTCAATACATTCTTGTAAAGTCATATGTACCATTTCCTACTGGCCAGAACATAATCCCATGGCCGTGCATAATGCCATGGGACACTGGAGAATGTCGTCTCTATTCTTGACCGCCAAATGCCAAGGAGAAAACAGATATTGGGGGAAACTAGCAGTTTTTGCCACAATGCCTCTTCTGTGTTCCCTCTAAGAGTATATCCTCCCTATCTTGTTCACCTCTGGGGTGAATGACTTGGCCTGGTTTACCTGGGGCTTTTATGGAGTTAGCACTGAAAGTCTTGTGTCTCAAAACCTCCCAAACACACATCAGTCTTGGACAAACTGGGATGGTTGGTCACCCTGCATCTACCATGGATCTTATCCATGGTAGATCTTAAGGACAGATCTGTGTCTATTCACTGTTATATCTTTAGTATCTCACACAGGGCTGCACGTACAGGATGTATTCAATAAATAGCAAATACTTACGTGGTGCTTTTATATGCCAGGAGCTGTTCTAAGGGATTTATGTATATATCATGAGTTGAATTTTGTTCCCCCAATATTCCTATGTTAATGTCCCAGTACTTCAGAAGGTGACCCTATTTGGTATAGGGTTGCTGCCAATGTGATTATTTAGGATAAAGTCATACTGAAATAGGGTGGGGCCCTAGTCCCATATGACTGGTGTCTATATAAACAGGTGAAATTTGGATGCAGAGACAAGCATGCAGGGAGAACGTCATGTGAAGATTTGAGTTATGCTGCCAAAAGACAAGGACCTACCAGAAGCTGGAAGAGAAGCCTGGAACAGATCCTTCCCCAGAGACTTCAGAGGGAACAGGACCCTCCCAGCACATTGATCTTGGACGTGTAGTCTCCAGAACTATGAGACAATAAATATCAGTTGTTTAAGCCACTCAGTTAGTGGTACTTTTTTTATGGCAGCCTCAGCAAACCAATACAGTATATTAACTCATTTTAATCTTTACAATTTTCTTGTGAGATAGCTATTATTATTATTATCATCCTCATTTTACAGATGAAGAAATTGAGGCACACAGCAGTTAAGAAAACCAAAGAGTGCCAAGGAGGCATAAAGAGAAAGTGGTAAAGGCAAACTGAAAGGAAGGGAAGAAGAAAGGGGAAAATCTTGAAGTTAAAAGATGGACAGGAATAAAGAGAAAGAAAGAAAAATAGTGAAAGAAAAGGATTAAAACTTGACCTGACATGACTTTCTAAGAACGTTAGAAGCTCTAGGTCACTATATAAACCATTAACATTTTTTTTTTCAGATGTGTCATTAACATTTTCTTTTTTAGATGAGTCTGAATAACTCTTCAAAATGAAGGAATAAGGAAATGCTCCCTCGTTTTTGACATTTGCAGGTGTTTTATTATATTTAGAACCTGAAGCTACAGCTCTTAAGAGTCCTCGTCTTGATTTTGCAATATACTGTTCATTTTTATTTGAGGGGAAGGACTAATAATAACTGGTTTTATGAATGTAACTTTAAGAAGTTTAGAATTTATGTTCACATGCTTTATAGATTTGCTTTTGATGGGTGAAATAACACTTACTTTAAAAAGTTTTGGCTGGGTGTGGTGGCTCATGCCTGTAATCCCAGCACTTTGGGAAGCTGAGGCAGGCAGATCATGAGGTCAAGGAGTTTGAGACCAGCCTGGCCAACATGGTGAAACTCTGTCTCTACTAAAAATACAAAAATCAGCAGGGCGTGGTGGCGTGCGCCTGTAGTCCCAGCTACTCAGGAGGTTGAGGCAGGAGAATTGCTTGAACCTGGGAAGTGGAGGTTGCAGTGAGCCAAGACCGTGCCACTGCACTCCAGCCTGGGCAACAGAGTGAGATTCCATCTCAAAAAAAAAATGTTTTATATGTTGTACTTCTTACCTCTAGTTTATATATGTGTATTCCTGCTGAAGACATAAATGAAATGCAAAGTCAGAGGCAATACCCTGAGAATATGGAGCTTAATCTTCCAGAATGCAGTATACACATTGTATCAGAGACCTTTACATGGTGCTGTATCTCCAATCAGAATCTGTAAATCTGGAATCAGAGGGGTGGACCCAGGATTGGCTGCAGTTACAATCACTCCCAATGGCCTACTGGGGACGTCTTGCTTCCGGGGCTCCATAAGGTTAGAGGTCCTGTTGCCAGCAGGGGCACATGCTCACCAGAGGATGCAGCTAAGGTCCAATTGATTACAAATTATGGATGCCCTCTGGGCACTGAGTTTCTTGTGGCTAGGGGCCAGCAGGTAAGAAGACTTACCATCTTGGCAGAAATAATAACTCTGATCAACAGTGGAAGACTGATCTTACACAACGGGAACAGGAGACATGTGTGTGGAACTCAAGATGACCCATTTGGGTGCTTCTTGGTTGTTGGTTCTCCCTTGATAGATCATAACTGTGAACAGACAAGTGAAGCAACTCCCACCTGAGAAGGATATGATCACTAGGGGCTAAGAAAACTCAATAATGAATGTTTGAGTCATACCACTAGATAAGCCACCAAGACCAGCAGAGGTGGTGGCTGGGGGGCAAGAGGAATTTAGATGGAGTGTGGAGAAGGGAGACTATACTGGAGGCCCTGAGACCAACTGTGGTGATGGAGGGTAACCTGAGCTATTTCCTGAACATGTATGGAAAAGTAGATTTTCATGATACAAGGAACAGATCTGCACGACAGCTGAGGCAGACACTGAAGCTAGGGACTGTCAGCATACTGACATAGCATACCATATCCAGCATACCTGGGCAGCAAGGCTTTGTTGGAGGGAGATTTGAGTGGCACATCTCTTTGTGTCTCCCACAGTGTCTGCCTCAGCTTTCATGCAGTCTAAGTCAATGACTCAGCAAGGTGGTGATTCAAGGGCCCACCCATTTACATTAAAAGTGGAATTCTGATCTTTATTCTAGAGCTTCCTGTTGGACTAGCAGAGGCTTTGTCAGGTCTGCATAGTGGTATGACAGTTCCCCTTGACCAATCTTTCTGTCTCCCTTGCTCCTTTCACAGGTGTTAACCCTCTAAACTTTTGTACTAGAACTCTCTTTCAGCCCACTGATTCCTGGAGAATCCCAAACCAGCACATGCTGCATAGCAAACAATCACATAACCTCACTGATATAAAACAGTAAGCACTTCTTACCACATACAAGTTTACAGGCCAGGTGGCAGTGGTTTTAGTCTTAGTTGGGTCATGTGTCTGTGGTCATTTGTTGGTTAGATAAGCATTTCTGTTGATCTTAACTGGGTTCTTTCACATGTTTGGGGGTTGGTTGGCTGCATGCTGGTCTAAATGGCCTCAGCTGGGACAACTGGCCTTTCCTTCATGTAGTGTTGCATTCTTTAGTTGGCTCATGTTGGCTTGATCACATGGTGGTAGAAGGTATCTGATATGGTTTGGCTCTGTGTCCCACCCAAATCTCGTGTTAAATTGTAATCCCCAATGTTGGGGGAAGGACCTGGTGGGAGGTGATTGGATCATGGGGGCAGATTTCCCCCTTGCTGTTCTCATGATAGTGAGTTCTCATGAGATTTGGTTGTTTGAAAGTGTGTAGCACTTCCCTCTTCATCCATCTCTCTCTCTCTCTGTCTCTCTCTCTTTCTCTCTCTCTATCTCCCTCTCCTGCTGGCCATGTGAAGATATACTTGCTTCCCCTTCACCTTCTGCCATGATTTTAAGTTTCCTGGGGTCTTCCCAGCCATGCTTCCTGCACAGCCTGCAGAACTGTGAGTCAATTAAACCTCTTTTCTTATAAATTATGCAGTCTCAGTAGTTCCTTATAGCAATGTAAGAGAACAGACTAATACATCATCCAAGAGAACAAACTGAAGCAAACAAGGCCTCTTGAGGTCTAGACTTGGAATTCACACACTGTCTTTTCTGCCATATTCTAGTCGGCCAAAGCAAATGCCAGGGCTAGCTTGGCTTCATGGATACAGGGAACCCTGTTTTTTTGTGTTTACTTTTTAGAGTCAGGGTCTCACTCAGCTACCTAGGCTAGAGTGCAGTGGTAAAATCATAGCTCACTGCAGCCTCAAACTCCTGGGCTCAAGTGATCCTCCTGCCTCAGCCTCCTGAGTAGCTGGAATTTGGAACCACTTCTTGATGAAGAAGATGCAAATGTACATTAGAAATGTATAAATAGAGGGAGGCATAAAGATTTTGGAACAGTTTTGCAATAATCTGCCACAGGGAGAATTTCCTAAAGTGGACAGACAGAACTATAGTGGACAAGCAGAAACTATGGACAAACAGCACTGGACAAACAGAAACTATAGCTATCTCAATCTATTATACTGTACTTTTAGCTTTTCCTTTATTTTTATTTTTATTTTTAATATAGGTTCTCAGTCTGTCACCCAGGCTGGAGTGCAGTGGCATAATTAGCTCATTGCAGCCTCCAACTCCTGGGCTCAAGCAGTCAGTCTCCCAACTCAGCCTCCTGAGTAGTTGGGACTACAAGCACATGTCATCAGGCCCAACTAATTTTTTCTTTTTTAAATAGAGATGGGATCTCTCTATGATGCCCAGTCTGGCCTTGAACTCCTGCCCTTAAGCATGAGCCATGGAACCCAGCCTGCTTTTATTTTTTTTGAAATGAAAAATTAAAAGCAAATAGAAAATATGGAGAATAACATAATAACCACTCATGGACTCACTCTTCTACTTTAATATATCTTAAAATTCTGTTACGTGAAGAGCTAAAACTTTGGAGATGCTGTAGTTTTAAAATCCATTGTATATCCCTGTTCTTCCTTCTTATTTCTCCATTGAAGTCTTCAACTGAAAACTTTTAACTCCAGATAGTTACTTTTTAAGTGTAAAGCCTTGCGACTCATGCCTTCTGGTGATTCAGCAAGAGAAAATTGGAATTATATTCATTCAGTCATTAAACAAATATTTATTGTGCTTCTATTTGCTAAACACTGCATCACGTATATATTTATATAGTATATTCTTATTTTTTGTAGTGTTCTATTTGCAGACCATTTTGCTTCATGTAAGATTATATATCTAAAGTGAGAAACCAAGAACATTGTCTTTTAAAATGGGGGCCCTTTTTCAATATCTCTTAAAAAAAATTTTTATACCTTCAAGTTTTGAGGGTGAATCTTGTTTTACTCTTAGGATGTAAATTTTCATTCCAAGTTTCTTATCACTTTCCTTCTATGGGTTTGGCTCTTGTTGTGTCACTTGGGTGGGTAGGATGTTTGAGCATGTTTATTTAGTTACTAGTTGGCCGCACCTTTGGTTTGCTTTCATATAATTACATTGTTCTGGCTTGTAACTTCTATCTGGTTTGTCTTCCTCAATATGATGACTTCAGAGTGCAGTCCTCTCCCTGGTTTGTTTTCTGTGCTTTTGTAGTGAGCTAGTTATATTTTTTTAAAAAACAGCTTTATTGAGATATAATTCATGTACCAAAAATGTATCCCTTATATTTACAAAATTGTGCAACCACCACCACTTCTGATTTTAGGATATTCTGATCACCTCAAAAAGAAACCTTATACCCATTGGCCATCACTCCCCATTCTCCCCTCCCCTGGCAACCACTAACCTACATTTTGTTTCCATAGATTAGCCTATTCTAGACATTTCATATAAACAAGATCATAGGAATCTTTTGTCTCTGGCTTCTTTAACTTGACATAATGTTTTCAAAGTTCATCTTTTTTTTTTTTTTTTTTTTTTTTTTGAGACAGAGTTTCACTCTTGTTGCCCAGGCTGGAGTGCAATGGCGGGATCTCAGCTCACTGCAACCTCCACCTCCCGGGTTCAAGTGATTCTCCTACCTCAGCCTCCTGAGTAGCTGGGATTACAGGCATGCGTCACCGTGCCTGGCTAATTTTTTGTATTTTTAGTAGAGATGGGGTTTCACCATGTTGGCCATGGTTGGCCAGGCAGGTCTGGAACTCCTGACCTCCTGAACTCCTGGCCAGGCAGGTCTGGAACTCCTGATCCACCCGCCACAGCCTCCCAAAGTGCTAGGATTACAGACGTGAGCCACTGTACCCGGCCTAATTGGGTTTTTAAACAACTATTGTTGTTTTTTATATGTTCTGAATATAAGGTCCTTATTAGATATATGATTTGAAAGTATGTTCTCCCCTTCTGTCTTTTCACTTTAATAATCGTGTCCTTTGAAACACGAAAGTTTTAAATTTTGCTAAGTCCAATTTATTTTTTCTTCTGATATTTATGTATTTTGGTATCACATCCAAAAAATTATTTTTTCAACCATGGTCACAGAGATCTAATCCTATGTTTTCTTCGAAGAGTTTTATAGTTCTAGTTCTTACATTTAGGTCTATGATCCATTTTGAGTTAATTTTTGCATATGGAATGAAATAGGGGCTCAAATTCATTCATGTGCATGTGGATATCCAGTTGTAAAGACAATTCCTTCCCTGTTGAATTATGTTGGCACCCTGTCCAAAGTTATATCTTTATTGAAGAACTTACCAAGTTTTGTCTCGTTTTGTGTAAACTGTATAGACCTTCCTCTCTCATTGGAGGACAGGGAACATGTTTTGTTCTTTTGCAATGAGAAGACATATGTGAAAAGCACCTACCATAGGATGTGATCATGGATATTTCTTTCCTTCTTTTGAGTCTCCCCACAGCACCTAGAGTGGTACTTGGCACACAACAGTTACCATAAATGTTTGCTAATTGTAGAGTGGGCTTGGGCATGCACCACCCACCCACCACAAAAATGTGGATTCCCGAAGCTCTAATTGGCTGGGAAACCCAGAACAACTTTCACGCCTTTCCAAATTAAGATTCAATGGCTGGGCTCAGTGGCTCACGCCTGTAATCCAGCGCTTTGGGAGGCTGAGGTGGGTGGATCACGAGGTCAGGAGTTTGAGACCAGCTTGGCCAACATGGTAAAACCCCGTCTCTACTAAAAATACAAAAATTAGCCGGGCGTGGTGGTGCATGCCTGTAATCCCAGCTACTCGGGAGGCTGAGGTAGGAGAATCCCTTGAACCCGGCAGGCGTAGGTTGCAGTGAGCCGATATCGTGCCACTGCACTCCAGCCTCGGCAATAGAGTGACTCTAGTCTCAAAAAAAAAAAAAAAAAAAAAAAATTAAGACTCAATGACAGTAGAAACTGACTCCAATGGCTTAATGAAATGGTACTGTTGGTCAAGGTAGGGATTTTTAAATTATTCATCCTTGAAGGGAAGTGACAAATAAGGTTTCACTTACCAAACATTTAAAACAACCCTAAAGGTCCAGAACCTTTGTTTTATTGTTGTTGGCTTAATTTCCAGTTCTCTAAGTGTCTACTTATTTAATCGCTTATGCAGTAATAAAGTTTTAACTTGTGGATTTGACCTCAATTCCACAGAATCGATTGTGGTTCTTATCTGCTTAAAAGCGGAAAGATTTTCTCAGGCGGCAACAGCCACTATTGAAAAGGCAAAGAAACAGCACTCAGGTGTGGCAGGCAATTCTATTTTCAGTGACCCTTTTCTCCCTTTCTTTTTCTCTCCTACTTGCTGAACATTAGGAGCTCTTGGTAATCTCTCAGAAATAGAGCAAGACGCCAAAGATAAAGGCCTGTTCATCGCACTCAGGAATTTCCTAAGGTTTCATGTCCAGGTAATATTTCTGCCTGCTACTTGGGTATCTTTTGGTGAAATTCCAGAATCTTTTCCTCTCTGTGTGAAAGTAAGTACGTGCACCTACTGAACCTAAGATGTGTATTGTGCAGGTACACACAACTTTGGTTACACGGTTCTTTCCAGCTTTGAAAAACTTTCTTAGGGGTAGCTCACACAGCTAAGTGCTTCAAATTACAGTTTCTGACTCCAGAGCCAGTGGTCTCTCCACTTCCCCTAGTTGCCTCTCTACAAATAATCACGTATGGGTCTCTTTAACACATTTCTTCCTGTTCTTCTAGGAATTGTAGCCATATCCTAGCCCTAAATGAACTGGAATACAGTGAGGCTTGATTTATTATTAAACATTTTTATTAGACTTTTTTTTTTTTTCGAGAAGGACTCTCGCTCTGTTGCCCAGGCTGGAGTGCAGTGGTGCGATCTCCGTTCACTGCAAGCTCTGCCTCCTGGGTTCAGGCCAGTCTCTTGCCTCAGCCTCCCGAGTAGCTGGGACTACAGGCGCCCGCCACCACGCCTGGCTATTTTTTTTTTTTTTTGTATTTTTAGTAAAGACGGGGTTTCACCGTGTTAGCCAGGATGGTCTCGATATCCTGACCTCGTGATCTGCCCGCCTCGACCTCCCAAAGGGCTGGGATTACAGGCATGAGCCACCGCTTCCAGTCTTACTAGACTATTTTTAAGAACAGTTTTAGGTTCACAGCAAAATTGAGCTAAAGGTACAGAGATTTCCCATGTACCCCCTGCTCCCACACATGCATAGCCTCCCCCATTATCAACATCCCCCACCAGAGTGCCACAGTTGCTACAATTGATGAACCCACATTGACACCTCATAATCACCCAAAGTCTATAGTTTACATTGCGGTTCACTCTTGGTTTTGTACATTCTTTGGGCTTGGACAAAGGCATCCGCTATTACAGAATCATACGCATAGTAGTTTCACTGCCCTAAAAATCCTCTGTGCTCCCGCAAGTCTAGGTTTTTAAGGGCGAAAAGAGAGGGAAAGAAAAAAGTGTGCATTGCAGAGGCTCGACCCAACTCCAAGCCAAGTTTGTTCCAAAGTTCAGCAGCTCCCAGCTGTCCCATCTCTCCCAGTTCGGCCCCGGTCGGGTTCCTCCTCTTTTTGTTTAAGTGTCAAACAAATGGGTTTCCTGTTGACACTGGAATATCGTGAAAAGGCAGGAAGAGGCCAGGCCACCTCCTCTTTCCCCTCTTCCTATCCCGTTTATTTATTTTGCACACGTTTGTTTGGGTCGAGCTGGTGTTTCCAGCGTGTGTGGCTGTGGGGCGGCCTTAGGGGCCGATAACCCCTCCCTGAGGAGGCGAGGCCAGCCCCGAACCCGCCCGATCCGCGGTGGAGCTCTACGGGGCGGGGAAGGCAAAGAGGAAGGGGGAAGAGAGCGGGAGTGGGAGTGGGAAAGGCCAGGGATTAAGAGGCCGCCGGGACGCCGCAAGGAGGCGGGGAATCGGCTCGGCCCGCGCCCTGCCGCTGCCCGGCCGGCTGCAGGTGGAGTTCGCGGAGGTGGCCATTTCCACAGCCGCCGCCGACGCCTCCTCTCCGGGAGCCGCCTTCCCCCCGGCCCGAGGGCGGTGGCGTGGGGCGCCGGGTGCAGGCGTTCTGGGGCGCCGGGGCCGCAGCTCGCTGGCCATCCCGCGGCTGCGCCCCGCGCCTCGCCCATGGCTGAGGGCCGGCGGCGGGAGGACGAGGAGGAAGAGCTACGCGAGCGCCGCGAACTTGGTGGCCAGCGCCGCGCCCGGGGCCGTGCGCTCTCGGGCCACTCGGCCGCAGGTGAGAGGCGCGGGGGACGGGGCGGCGGGGACCCAGAGCTGCGCGCTCTGGGGCCGCTCGGGTCCTGCCCCACACAGCGGCAGCTCCTTCACGCGCCGGGATGGGACCGGCTTCTTTAACTCTCAGAGGCCAGACTCGGGGAGGGTGGCATTTCCATCGCCATCCTCACTTTCCGGCCGAGCCCGAGGAAATTCAGACCCGTCTTTAACTGCTAGTGGTCGTACAGCTGAAACTCAAATTTTCCGTGCACACTAAATCCAGGAGCTGCTGGCTTGGGACTTGTGGCCTGGTTGATGACTTATCTCTGGATGAGTCAGAGGTCAATGGCCGTCTCGGTGGACAACGACACCTTCCGAGGGGTTTGCCTGCGCCGCCGCAGCCAGGTCAGAGCACGTGCTCATAACTGAGGCAAGTCCTGTTTCGGCGTCCCTTGCACTTCGGACCTGTGACCCCCCTCCCTCCCTCCCCCAGCCGCCGAGCTCACCAGTTTTCTGTAGGACTTGTTTTCGTTAGTTGTGAGACCCTCCCCCACGCAAAGAGAAGTCCAGAATATAGCATTCCAAAAGGCCATTCATTTGGGCTGAGAATCATTTTCGGGCCTGTAATTACTTTTATGATACTGTGTTTTGGGTACACAAAAGCGGCACGGATCAAATAGTTTGGCACATTAGTGAAAGAGTGAATAAGTGTAGATCCACACCCCTTCCCTCTTCCGGGCGGCTTTTCAATCAAACATAATAGAGAGGACATTCTTTGGCCTTTGGTTCCAACTGGGTAATCCGAGTTATCTGAAAACAAGAGGGAAGAACAAACCTAGGGGGACTGGCAACAAAAGGGAGATAGGGAAGTGAGAGAGTCGGAGGAGAACGATTCACTGAGAGCCTCATTATAAAGTGGAATATAGCGAATATTCCATGAAGTGGAGAAGCTTTTCTGTGTGACTCCCTTAACCACTAAGAGAAAGTTGGAAAAATAGAGAAGATATTGTATCTGTGCGGAACAAATGGAGGGTAGAAAGTAGGATGAAAGGAAAACTTGAGAAGAACATCTTGAAGAAATAGTCAATTTAATGCCTTTGGTAGAATCTTGGAACATAAAAATAATTCTCCATGCTCATTATTACAACTTTTCATCAAAATAAGGCATTTGGCTGTCTATATGAACACCAGTTTTGAACATAATTGGTAATTTTGTTCAGTGTAAACCCAAACCTTGTGAAATAATGAATAGTTGCTGGATATAAGTGAATATTTCTTGCAAGAGTACAATGAAAAAACTTTACAAAGATATACCGCCATGCCTGACCTATGGATTTAAACAGGGTAGGCCACCTTAGATTCCTGTTACCTTCAGCAGAAAGCTTCATTCTCACAAGAGACTGTACAGTGAAGACCTGTTTTGGAGTTCAGACTAGATGTGATCCAGATGTGTGTTTATCATTTAGTTGCAATATGTGTATTTATTCCAAAGCTGGTGGAAATGACATTTTGTAATTAGTTTTCACCAGTTCCCTAATTTCTCAAGGTTGACAAAGGCTTTTCTAGGTTCTTTGATAATATTTTGCTGAGACATGACATTGTGTACTTTTTGCATTCAGTAATTGGTGTTTGTAGTTTTCTAACCATTTATATGCCCTTTTTCCATTAAAGGGTGTGAGGACGATGTAATGGAATGAGTAAGAGGGTTAAACTTGCGATTTTTGGATTTATTTCTTTTAGAAGAAATTATTTAATAGTTTACATTTCTTTACAAGCTGAGCTCCACTTTCCCCTTATTAGTTAACATGTTTTTCAGACACTAACACATTCCTTACCAAGCTTGGGCATTTGTTAGTTATGTCTGTGCTAGATGTTGCTCTCCTCCAAGTGAGAGGGTATGAACTGACGCAGAAGCTTCATGTTTTTTCTGCATCACCTTTTCAGTTTTTCACTTTTCCTGTTCTCAGTGCTCCCTCCTTCCCTTATCATTTTACAATCTAAAGAGTTTCCTTTTCTCTGATTTCACCTAGCTTGATAACCATAAACCTGGGGTTTATGGACTTAAGGTAGTCTGTGAACTCTTCCTTCTCTCCCTGATAAATTTTGGAGTGGTTGTGTAAGTGCATTTATTTATTTTTGTAACTTACATACAGAAGAACATATGAAATTTGTAAATTATAAAGTAAAAACTCTTGTAACTCATGCTCAAGTCAAGAAATAGGATATAGTCAGTTCCTTAGAAATGGATTCCCATCCCTCCTAGACTTAGCCTCCTCTCTCCCCTAGATGTAACCATTTTTTTAACCTTTGTGGTTATTATTTCCTTTTCATTCTGTACAGTTTTACCATACACATATGCATCTCTATAAAATATTGTTTAGTTTTACCTTTTTAAGATCATTTAAGTGGAATTGTCCTGTATTTTATCAACCCAGCAGAAAGCAAGTAATGACTTGAGATTATGAAATGTCTGGAATGAGTTCTTTTCATTCAAAGGCCAAGAGCCCCAGGCAGGTTCTGAGCACAGGACAGTCCTTGTAGGGCATCCTTAGGAAATAAATGTGTGTGTGTTTTTAAAATGATGTTAAGAAAATTGGGTTTGATTAATCACAGTTTTATTTTACAACAAAGGATGATAGTTGATCTGGTGCCCAACTTCTTTATAAAATGTATTTATGTTTCCCAGCTTTTAAAGTAATAAAATATCTTCAGCATGATTCTAAAATAAATAAAAAGCTCAGTTGAATTTTTTTTTTTTTTTTGGCAGAATTATAGGCAATCAAGTACTGAGGTCAATTCAGGAAAGGTTTTTTTTTTTTTTTTTTTTTTTTAGGCAGAGTCTTGCTCTGTCGCCCAGGCTGGAGTCTAGTGGCGTGGTCATGGCTCACTGCAACCTTCACCTCCCAGGTTCAAGTGATTCTCATGCCTCAGCCTACAGAGTGGCTGGGATTACAAGTGTGCACCACCATGCCTGGCTAATTTTTCTATTTTTAGTGGAGACGGGGTTTCACCATGTTGGCCAGGGTGATCTCGAACTCCTCCCACCTCAGCCTCCCAAAGTGCTGGAATTACAGGTGTGAGCCACTGCACCTGGCCAGTGAGGGTTAATTCTGTAGTAGCTCATGATGCATGAGATTAATAAGCAGTTATAGGAAAGTAAATGGGGAGCAGAGAGTATTCCATTGTTTGGGTTTCATGTGCTGAGGCTAAGGTGTCGTAAATCTGGCACTATGTGAAATATTTACTGTTGATGGTGGTATCCAAGATCCTTAATTGCCTGACCTGACAGAGAGTGGTAATATGAAAGCTAGACACAACACCTGAATTCTTGGGGGTGTCTCACTAATCCACCAAATGCCCATTACAAACAAGGAAGAGAGGATGTGGGTACACTAATCCAGTGGTTCTCAAACTTTTGCCACATGTATCTGAATTGCCTGAAGGCCTTGTACACGCTCAGTATCTGATCACTTGGTCTGGGATAGGGCCTGATAATTTTCATTTTTGACACATTCCCAGATAACATTTATGTTGCTGGTTCAAAAGGATGATGCACTTTGCAAACTCCATGTAATTAAGAGAGAAATCACACCCCAACACAGATTGTTAAATTCTAAGAAATAGTTCCTTTGGCTAATTTGTCCTTTTTAGTAGATCAGATGAAAACCCATGAGATAAACATGGAGATTTCCACAGGCTAACTTATAGGACTTAGTTTCCATTGTGGGTTTTCTCGGTAGCTTAAAGGATTTCATGGTTGATTTATACAGCCTGGCATTTATGATCAACTTCATTTTTGTTTCTTGGTTTTTTTCTTTCTGTTATTGATTGCATATTCTTCATCTCTATCTGCACAACTGAGATTGGTGTGTTAGTGCCACTGTGTTAGTGTTAGTTAGTGCTAGCCAAGGGCAAGAAGTGGAGGGTGGGGGGAATAGGCGGACGAGATTGGGTGACCAACTCTTCCCAGTTTCCCAGGACTTTTCCAGCTTTTAAAACTGAAAGTCCCCCATTCATGGAAACTCCTCAGTCCCAGGCAAATCAAGGATAGTCACCCTAGAGGAAGGATAGCTTGGGTGGGGGAAGAAGGGAGGATAAAGGCTACTGATAATGTTATTTATACTAACATCCCTGCTTTAGTCCAGGTGCTTTTTTCACTCAACATTAAGTTTGTAAGATTTATTTGTATTGTTACATGTAGCTGTGGGTTTTTGTTTGTTTTGAGACAGAGTCTTGCTCTGTTGCCCAGGCTGGAGTGCTGTGGTGTAATCTCAGCACACTGCAACCTCTGCCTCCCAGATTCAAGTGATTTCTCCTGCCTCAGCCTCCCAAGTAGATGGGACTACAGGTGCATGCCACCATGCCCAGCTAATTTTTGTATTTTTAGTAGAGGCGGGGTTTTGCCATGTTGCCCAGGCTGGTCTTGAACTCCTGACCTCAGGTGACCCGCCTGCCTTGGCCTCCCAAAGTGCTGGAATTACAGGCGTGAGCCACTGTGCCCGGTTCTGTTTTTTTTGTTTGTTTGTTTTCATTGTATAAATATATACCACAGCATTTTGCCTATTATTTTTTATTGATTTATTGGAGTTCTTTGTTTACCCAGGAATCTCAACTTTTGTTGGTTATGTGTGTTACAAATATCTTCTTCCACCTCCACTCTGGCTTACTTTTTCATTTTCTCTATGGTTTCTTTCGATGTGGAAATTCTTCATTTCAGTATAGATGAATTTATGAATCTTTTCCTTTATAATTTGTGTCTCTTCCCCCCTCACCCCCTTTAAGAACATGATTTCTATCCAAGGTCATGAAAATATTCTCCTATATTTCCTTTATTGTCCCCTAAAAGCTTTGTAGCTTTCCTTGGGGAGAAATGCCATAGCTTTCATCAGATTCTCAAACAGATTTGAGAATCTCTGCCTGACATACAACATTTTAATATTATTTCTCCAAAGGGAGGATATACAAGATTCTGGATCCTCCTCCCAACATCTGGAAGAGTAGTAGGCACATAATAGGGCTTACTAAATGCTAACTAAATTTACTCTTTCTATATTTTGATGTGTTTATGGTAAACCCTGGAAGGACTGATATAACTGTTGTCTGTTGTGCTTTGAGTAAAATAACTTTAATATCATCAGTATGAGGGCACAGAAGAACATTCACTGTGTTCACGGTGTACCAGGTGCTTCTTTATGTTATCACCTGTGAGGTAGGTATTATTTTCTTCATTTTATCATTGAAAAGACTGAGGCTCACAAACATTTAAGCAACTTATCCACAGTCCCTCAGCTAGTAAATACTGGAATGGTGATTTGAATGCAGGTTTTTTTTGAAGTGGAAGTCCATGTTTTTCCAGGTGATCACACTGACTGCTCATATAAGTCAGTTACTATTGATGCTCCACGCATTTATACCTGTATGCTGCTTGCTGTATTCTAGAAGTACTTTACATTTATGTGGTGCTTTTCTATTTATGAAGGGCTTTCACAACTGCATTCATTTGGATTCTTACAACAAACTGAGAGGGAAGAGGGTAAGTTTTTTGTTCCCATTTTAAAGATGAGTAAACTGAGACTCAGAAATGTTAGAAGGTTTTATCTAAAATTACACAACTAGGTATAGCTGAACCTCAGTCACCTCTATTGTGTGTTGCAAGTTGTAGAGGTTTTTTTAGTTGATTCATATAAGATGTCAGGTCATATCCTCTCAGAGTCTGTGGCTTTGTCTACTAAGTTAGATAGTTTTGAAAACTGCATTAGTTCTCTGGACCACCAGCTTACTGTTTTTTGTTATTAGAATTCCAAAGTTGTCTAATTTATTTTGAGAAAGTTATTTTAAGTTCCATGGAAACTATGAGTAGATTTACATGTTGTTTAAAAATCCTGTACTCATCACATTGTTTAAGAAGACCTGGGCCAGGTACAGTGGCTTACGCCTGTAATCCCAGCACTTTGGGAGGCCAATGCGGGTGGACTACCTGAGGTCAGGAGTTCGAGACCAGCCTGGCCAACATGATGATACCCCATATCTACCAAAAATACAAAAAATTAGCCAGATGTGGTGGTGGGCACCTGTAATCCCAGCTACTCGGGAGCCTGAGGCAGGAGAATCGCTTGCTAGGGAGGTGGATGTTGCAGTGAACTGAGATCACACCACTGCACTCCAGCCTGGACAACAAGAGTGAAACTCTGTCTCAAAAAGAAATAAAAGACCTGTCTAGTTATCCCCATCAATATAATGTATGCAAAATGGTGCCTAAAATACTGGCAATACAAAGAGATATATAAAATAGGCTCCCTGCTTTTAAAGACTATGCCATAGAATTAGGGAAGGTAAGACTGTTACACTTTAAAGAAGATAATTAAGAATATAAAGAATATAAAGTAGTCCATGGTGGGTATCAGTTTGACATGAGAGAATCAGACTGTCTTGGTTCATTTTTTGGCTGACCACTGGCTGTGTGACCTTGGACAAGTTACGTAACCTCTCTGCTTCTATTCTTTATTTATATTTCTAAATTTGAATAATAGTAAATCCTATTGCATTGGGTTTGAAGACTAAATGAGTTAATGTATATAATGTCCTTAGAACATGGCCAAGCCCATAGTAAATACCTATAAAATTATTAGCACTTATTTTATGTCTCCTTTTTCTTATTATTGATAAAATATTTCACAGTTGAGTCTGCATTTTCTTCACTTGGGAATAGTTATGAATTCATGTTGTCAGAGGAAAAAGAAGGTAAATCTGCAGTGTCATCATTTAATAATCAAATGTAGTTGCTTTTCTTTGGCATTCATGTATCTCTTGGAAATATCTTAATTCTAGAGGACTCCCAAAGACTGAGGCTAGTTCTTCCTTTGGTATTTCTTAAGCCATATGAATTACTTTAACATGGCCTGGTAATAATGCTCAGCTTTTCTTTTCTTTTTCTTTCTTTCTTTTTTTTTTTTTTTTTTTTTGAGTCAGAGTCTCACTCTGTCGCCTAGGCTGGAGTGCAGTGGCGCGATCTTGGCTCACTGCAACCTCTGCCTCCCAGGTTCAAGCAATTCTCCTGCCTCGGCCTCCCAAGGAGCTAGGACTACAGGCACGTGCCACCATGCCCGGCTAATTTTTTTTTTGTATTTTTATTAGAGACAGGGTTTCACCATATTGGCCAGGTTGGTCTTGAACTCCTGACCTCGTGACCTGCCCACCTCAGCCTCCCAAAGTGCTGGGATTACAGGCATGAGCCACTGCACCCGGCCTATCTTTTATTTTCTTTTTTTTTTTAAGAAACAGCCTCGCTCTGTTGCCCAGGCTGGAGTGCAGTGGCACAATCTCAGCTCACTACAACCTCCACCTCCCAGGTTCAAGCGATTCTCCTGCGTCAGCCTCCCAAGTAGTCTCATCCTCCCAAGTAGCTGGGATTACAGGTGCCTGCGACCACGTTGGCTGATTTTTGTATTGTTAGTAGAGACAGGGTTTTGCAGAGTTGGCCTGGCTGGTCTCGAACTCCTGACCTCAGGTGATGTGCCTGCCTCGGCTTCCCATAGTGCTGGGATTATAGGTGTGAGCCACTGTGCCCAGCCAACGTTCAGCTTTTCTTTATTGTCCACTGAAAGCTCATTATTGTGACATAAGCAATTATGTTCAAAGTGATCTCAGCAAATCAGAGGTGAGTTGATCAGCCTATGACCTATTTTTAACCAGAGTGCATCCCTTCGTTCTGTTTTCTTTCCCTCTCTCACACTAGTCATCCAGCAGTTCTATAACTTCACTGGCATATTATATTCTGAGGACAGCATATTCACTGTTTTCCCTTAGGTCATTTCAGCTTTTCATCCAATGGTGCTTAGAGACTAATCCTTTGAACACTTGGTTCTAATCCCATCTGTCAATTAGCTTTGTAGCATCCAGCAATTTATAGCATCTTTCTGGGCCTTAGCTTTTGGTGTATTAATTGAAAGGATGAGGCTTCCAACTTTACATTTTATGATATTAGGAGATGAGCAGAAAAATAACTTCCGACATAGTTTACAGCAGTTTGCCCATGTACTAAGTTAGATCTTGGAGAGTTTCTCCCAGGCTCCTTGTGAACTGCTCCACTGGTGTGGGAGAAGCCAAAGGGGCAAAGCTCAAGACGGTGTCTCCCTGGTGAGGGCAGTTACATTGGCATAAGTTGTCTAGCATAACTTGTCATGCCGACCCCTTTTCAAGATAGCAGCTTCATTCACTGATAATGTGGCAGTGTTCCCCTTCATCAGTGGAAGACATGGGATGTGTTCTAGGGGAATTTATAGTACTTGACATGTATGAGGGAAATTCTACTATCAATTAAGTACAAGAGGAAAATACGTGTCAGGTAGTTTCAGGGCATAGGGCAGGGTAAAGGTTGAGGAGGAAGCTTGGATAGCTTGACACAGGGCAGGAAGGAGAAGGCTCTGGCAGAGGCCTGGCCCCCTTGTTTAGAAGCAGCTGGAACGAGTCCTTGCTCCTCAGCAGCTGTTGGCCTCACCTTCAGGAACTGTAAGCTTGTCCTTGTGGTGGGGATGGGCTCATGGGGGTGAGGGTAGGAGCTGTGGACCATTATTTTCCTTTTTTTTCTTTTTAAAAATAAAATTTGTTCCAAGTTATACCAAGGGAAAAAAAATTTGTTCCAAGTTATACCAAGGGAAAAAAAATGAATTAAGAAAAAAATAAAAAAATTAAATGTTTTTTAGAATATTTTTTGAGTAACAGAAAAATTGTGAAGATAGTACAAAGAGCTCCCATATACCCCACACCCTGATTATTAGCATCTTAGTATGGTAGATTCATCACAATTAATGAACTAATATTGATGTATGATTAAACTCCATGCTTGATTCAGATTTCCTTAGTTTTTGCTTAGTGTCCTTTTTTGTGTTGCAGTATTCCGTATAGGAGACTGTATTACATTTAGTTGTCATATCTCCTGAGGCTCCCCTTGGCTATGACAGTTTCTTAGATTTTCCTTGTTTTTGATGACCCTGACGGTTTTGAAGAGTACTGGTCACATTTTTGTATGTTGTTCCCCTGTTGAGATTTGTCTGATGTTTTTCTCATGATCAAACTGGCTTACGGGTGTTTGAGAGGAAGATCACAGAGGTAAAGTGCCATTTTTATCACAATTCAAGGGTATATATTATTATCATGACTTTTCTACTGACCTTGATTACCTGGCAGAGGTAGTGCTTGTGAAGTTTCTCTGCTTGAAAGTTACTCTTTTTGGCATTGGCGTCCACTCTCCCTCCCCAACTGCAAGACCCCATTGCAGTAGTCCTTCAAAAGAAATTTTTTTAAAAAGTTAAGCCTTTTTCCTCTCTTTCCATACTGTAGAAAGTGAAGGAAGTCACTATGAAGTAAGAGTTATGCTACACTTAAGGAGTAAAGAATTATGCTATACCTCTTTAAGGGTAAAGTATCTACATACTTTTTTAGAAATTATTTTGCATGAAAGAGACCTTTTTTTTTGTAGAAATGGGGTCTTGCTGTGTTGTTCAGGCTGTACTCAGACTCCTGGGCTCGAGGGATCTTCTTGCCTCTGCCTCCCAAGTAGATGGGATTGCAGCCACACACCACTGCACCAGCCTAAATTCTTTAATACTCCCTTAGTTTGTTTGGTCTCTCCAAAGATCTGATTAGGATTGTCTCTAGGCCCCACCTGTTGGAGAATGTAAGCTCAATTTCTCCATCCTAATTCTGTCCAAAATATCTGATCTGTATGGATGTCTGGGAGATAATTTCATTGTATAATTAGAAAGGAAAGGCATGAAATACATTTGTCTGATTGAGGTGACCTATGACTAAGACTCATTTACACTAGAGTCCTCTGTCAGCAGGTACAAATGACTAATATAAATTCCTTTCCAATTTTGGAAATGGAGGGGAAGTTAGAGTAGGAAAGGAATTTGGAAAGCACTGGGCTAAGATAATCAAATAACAAGTTAATATTTATTGTGCACTGGGTGCCGAGACAATTCCAGTTGTTTTCAGTGTGTTTTTCTCATTTAGTCCTGGTACCAATCCTATGCAGTAGGTGTGATTGTTTCCTTCATTTAACAGATGAGGAACCTGAGGCCTAGAAAGGGTGAATAATCTCCTCAAGGTCACACAGCAAGGGAGTGACAGAATAGGATTCTGTAGCATGGACTCCTGGTTGCCTCCTTTTTTCCTCATTTCCTCCTTTTTTGGTGAATGGAATCCCTGTATTTCTGGATGTGGCAATGTACCCACCTATGAAGCTACTTCTTCCAGCCTGTTAATGAGATACAAGTAAAAGTTGTTGAATGGGGTTGCCAGGAAAGTTCTTTAAAGGGGGTTCACTCAACTGCACAGAATACCCTTTTCCCCTTACCATCTTCCTCCCACCTCCTGCCAGGAACAAGGCTGTGTAGCTCACAGTAGCCACCCTGGGCCATGAGGTTACTTTGAGGTTGGAACCGAAGCACTGAGAATAGTGGAGCAGAAAAATAGATGGCCCTGCAGTCCCTGCTGATTAGATAGAGTCACCACATGGGTTTTGATTGCCTGCCTCCTCCTTTACTTAGAAGGAAGGAATAAGAAACTCTACCTTGTTTAAGCCACTGTTATCATAGGCCTCAGCTGGCAGCTGAAGGCAGTTCCTAACTGATAGATTCTAACTTGATCTTATTGTTTCCTTCCTCTTACCACCAAGCTGTAATACATTTTGTTATAAGATACCTAGATTCTTGTTGCTATTTTGTACTTTACTGTAGTGTGACCTTGGACATGTTAGTTAGGTTTTATGAGGCCCCCACTCCACCGTTTTTTTACATCTTTGGAATAGGAATTATTCATGCCCTAACTACTCTGCAGGCTCATTATGGGGAACATGCTTGTAAACTTCAAGTGTTCATGTGTGATGTGTAGTTTTTGAAGTGGTTGTGGCCATCCTTGGGCAAGTGGAAGGGTACCAAAATGGAAGCCTTTAGAATCTGAATATAGTTTTCTGGTTTTGTTATTTTGCCTAGTGCCAACTTCATTCAGAATAAATAAATAGAAGCTGTGAAGGGAGGTGATGTTGTCCCTGCTCTGATGCATTTGAGTAGATTAACAATTGCATTGCTGATGAGCCCTAGAATGCATGCCAGGGCTGCTGCATGGGACTGAGAGTTCATTTGTTTTCAATATGGCTGCCTTCATTATACTGGAGCTTTGTTTCCAGAAGATACGTTAATCAAGGAATCATTATACTGGATGATAGTTAACTGCTTTTTCTCTGAGAGCTGGCCAAGAACAAAGGGCTCAGAAGAAAATGTTTGTACAAGATGTGGAGAATTAGTTTTTCTGGCAATAAATGTCACTATTTCCAAATAGTCCTTTGAAACTAGTGTAGAGGTGTTCACATAACACTCGAAGGCCCCCAGCATATCACCCATGTAAATGATCCTGTCTTATCTTGCTACCACACCCTTTGTTTCTTCATTCCTTCACAAAGATTCCCCTCAACATATAGGCTAGCTCAGTGGAGACTACTGGAGCTACCTGGAGATTACAAGGTAGATTGGTTACTCTCAGTGAAAGTGTAACTATTGCCAGTGGAGGGTGCGTCTGGAAGTGGGATTCATTTGGAATAAGGAATGTTATTGTAGGTTTTAAAATGTGCACAGCCTGGGCAACAAAGCAAGACCCCGACTTTATAAAAAATAAAATACGTTAGGTGGGCGCAGTGGTGTGTGCCTGTAGTCCCAGCTACTCAGGAGAGTGAGGGAGGAGGATCGCTTGAGCCCAGGTGTTTGAGGCTGCAGTGAGTCATGATTGCACCACTGCACTCCAGCCTGGGTGACAGAGTGAGACCTTATCTCTAAAATAAATAAATAAATAAATAAATAAATACATAAAATATGCAGACTTCTATTTGAATATTACTCTTAATTAGATGCTTAATAATGTGACATTCCTTTATATCACAAGTAACTTTTTATCTCTCACCTTGTTCCTTTCGTATTTCTCCTTCATGGAAAGTTTCATGAGGTATTCAACTTTATAACGTGGTTTGGTATTTCTTACACCTCTGTAGCAATGGGAACTCTAAAGAGTGCTTCTCAGACTTTGTTCTGCCTACAGATCACCTGGAGATCTTGTTCAAATGCAGATATGATGTAGTAGGTTTTGGGTAGAGCTGCAACTCTGCATTTTTTTTTTTTTTTTTGAGACAGAGTCTCGCTCATTGCCCAGGCTGGAGTACAGTGACATGATCCCGGCTCAGTGCAACCTCCCCCTCCCAGGGTCAAGTGATTCCCATACCTCAGCCTCCCAAGTAGCTGGGATTACAGGCACTCACCACCACACCCGGCTAATTTATTTATTTATTTATTTTATTTATTTTTTTTTTTTTTGAGATGGAGTCTTGCTCTGTCACCCAGGCTGGAGTGCAGTGGTGCAATCTTGGCTCACTGCAACCTTCGCCTCCCGGGTTCACACCATTCTCCTGCCTCAGCCTCCCCAGTAGCTGGGACTACAGGTGCCCACCACCAGGCCCAGCTAATATTTTTGTATTTTTAGTAGAGACGGGGTTCTTCCATGTTGGCCAGGCTGATCTCAAACTCCTGACCTGATGTGATCTGCCTACCTGGGCCTCCCAAAGTGCCGTGATTACAGGTGTGAGCCACCATGCCTGGCCGACTCTGCATTTCTAACAAGGTCCTGGTGATGCCACTGCTGGTGGTCCCTGGGCCACATTTTGAGCAACAAGGCCCTCAGTTATCTCTACTGTAGGGCCAGGCTTCTCAACTCTTGGCAGGACATCAGAATCAACTTTGAAACTTTAAAGAAAACATGTGCTCATGACCCCACCCTCAGATTTCCAGATTCATTACTTCCGGAATAGTTGCTGAGGAACTGGATTTTTAAAGTTGTATGTAAGGTGAGAATCACTGCCTTAGTATCCTATTTAAAAATATGATGTTGATTGGTTTCAGTGTGATTTCTTATAATTTGAACTGTTATGTTTTTCCATCTTAAGTAATTCATGTTGTGATAACTTTTATTCAAACAGAATAAACAGAATCCATCATGCATTTTTCTTTTTTCCCCCTTTTTCAGCTTTGTGGAGGTATAATTCACTAATGAAAATTGAATATATTCAAGATGTACAACATGATGTTTTTATATATGTATACATTGTGAAATAATTACCACAATCAAGCTAATTAAAGGATCCATCACCTCACATAGCTACCTTTTTTTTTGTTTCTTATAGTGAGAATACTTAAGTTCTCTCAGCAAATTTCAAATATAATACATTATTATTAATTATAGTCACCATGCGATATACTTGGTCTCCAGAACTTATTCATCTTATGACTAAAAGTTTAGACCTTTGAATAATACCTCCCCATTTCCCCTACCCTCACAACTCCTGGTAACCACCCTTCTGCTCTCTGGTTCTTTTATTTTTGAGACAGGGTCTCACTCTGTTGCCCAGGCCATAATGCAGTGGTGCAATCACGGCTCACTGAAGCCTTGACCTCCCGGGCTCAAATGGTCTTCCCACCTCAGCCTCCTGAGTAGCTGAGACTGCAGGGACATGCCCTGCTAATTTTTTCTTTTAAAAAATTTTTTGTAGAGATAGGGTCTTGCTCTTTTGCCCAGGCTGGCCTCAAATTCCTGGTCCCAAGTGATCCTCCCACTTTGGCCTCCCAAAGTGCTGAGATTACAGGCGTGAGGCACTATGCCCAGCCTATTCTCTGCTTCCATGAGTTTGACTTTTTTAGATTCCACATACAAGTGAGATCACACAGTATTAGTCTTTCTGTGTCTGGCTTATTTCACTTAGCATAATGTCCTCCAGGTTCATCCATGTGGTCGCAAGTGGCAGGATTTCCTCCTTCTTTTTTTTCTCTAAACAGGGTCTTGCTGTGTCACCCAGGCTGGAGTGCAGTGGCATGATCATGGCTCACTGCATCCTTGACCTCCTGGGCTCAAGTGATCCTACTTTCTCAGCATCTCAAGAAGCTGGGACTACAGGTGCTCACCACCATGCCAAGCTAATTATTATTATAATAATTTTTTGTAGAGATGCAGTCTCACTGTGTTGCCCAGGCTGGATTTCCTTCTTTTTAAAGGCTGAATAAAATTCCACTGTGTGTGTATACATATATACATGTATATATGTATACATACATATATATCTCCCTATCTCAAAGAGATATCTGCACTCCCATGTTCACTGCAGCATTATTCACAATAGCCAAGATACATAAGCAACCTAAGTGTATACATATATAATATGTATACACACACACCACATTTTGTTTATCCGTTCATTCGTCATCAGACTTAGGTTGTTTATGTATCTTGGCTATTGTGAATAATGCTGCAGTGAACATGGGAGTGCAGATATCTCTTTGAGATAGGGATTTATTGGCCAGGCATGGTGAATCATACCTGTAATCCCAGCACTTTTGGGAGGCCGAGGTGGGTGGATCGCTTAAGGTCAGGAGTTCGAGACCAGCCTGGTCAACATGGTGAAACCCCGTCTCTACTAAAAATACAAAAATTAGCCAGGTGTTGTGGTGTGCACCTGTAGTCCCAGCTACTCAGCAGGCCAAGGCATGAGAATCACTTGAACCCGGGAGGTGGAGGTTGCAGTGAGCCGAGATCCTACCACTGCACTCCAGCCTGGGCAACAGAGCAAGAGTCTAAAAAAAAAAAAAAGAGAGAGAGAGAGTGATTTATTTCCTTTGGATATATACCCAGAAGTGGCATGGCTGAATGGTAGTTCTATTTTTAATTTTTTTGAGGAACCTCTGTACTGTTTTCCATAATGGCTATACCAGTGCACCGATCAACAACATACAAGAGTTTCCTTTTCTTCACATCCTTGCCAACACATATCTTTTGATTTTTTTTTCTTTGTTTGGTGCAACAGGGTCTTGCTGTGTTGTCCAGGCTGGAGTGTGGTGGTGTGATCATAGCTCACTGCAGCCTTAAACCACTAGGCTCAAGCAATCCTCTTGCTTCAGCCTCCCGAGTAGCTGGGACTACAGGTGTGCACCACCAGTAATTTTTTTTTTTTTTTTTTTTTGTAAAGACAGAGTTTCGCTGTGTTAACCAGGCTGGTCTCAAACTCCTGGCCTCAAGTTATCCTCCTGCCTCAGGCTCCCAAAGTGCTGGGATTACAGGCGTGAGCCACCATGCTCAACTGACTTTCTTTTTGAGACAGGGTCTTAGTTATCCTCCTGCCTCAGCCTCCCAAAGTGCTGGGATTACAGGCATGAGCCACCATGCTCAGCTGACTTTCTTTTTGAGACAGGGTCTTGCTATGTCACCCAGGCTGGAGGGCAGCGGTGTCATCTCTGCTCACTATAGCCTTGACCTCCCGGGCTCAAGAAATCCTCCCACCTCAGCCTTCCAGGTAGCTGGGACTACAAGTATGTGCCACCATACCCAGCCAATTTTTAAATTTTTTGTAGAGACTGGGTCTCAATGTGTTGCCCAGGCTGGCCTAGAACTTCTGGACTCAAGTGATCCTCCTGCCTTGGCCTCCCAAAGTGCTGGGATTACAGGAGTGAGCTGTCATGCCCAGCCTCTGGCTGACTTTTTGATAATACCCATCCTAGCAGATGTGAGATGGTATCTAATTGTGGTTTTGATTTACATTTCCCTGATGGTTAGTAATGAGTACCTTTTCGTGTACCCATTGGGTGTTTGTATACCTTCTTTGAAAAAACATCTATTCATCTTTTGCCCATTTTAAAATCTGGGGTTTCTTTTGCTATTAATACGAGTTCCTAATATATTTTGGATATTAACCCCTTATCAGATATATGGTTTGCAAATATTTTTTCCTGTTCCATGGGTTTCCTTTTATTTTTTCCTTTGCTTTGCAGAAACTTTTTAGTCCCGCCATGAATTTTATACATGGATTTTAGTCAACTCCTGTATCGTTTTATAGTCTAAGTAGGCTCCACATAAAGAACAGTGTGGTGAGTTATCATTGAAGTAACTGGAAAGCACTGTATGTGTTCATTATGTTCTTTCAGCTTGCAAGAAATGGGCATGCTCACCTTAGCTGATGGAGGCTTATTGGAAGGATATACATGTAAGTTGAAAGACATGGAAAATATCTCTGGGCCCGGTGGCTCACGCCTGTTATCCCAGTACTTTGGGACACCAAGGCGGGTGAATCACTTGAGGTCAGGAGTTCAAGACGAGCCTGGCCAACATGGCGAAACCCCATCTCTACTAAAAATACAAAAATTAGTTGGGCATGGTGGTGTGCACCTGTAATCCCAGCTACTCGGGAGGGTGGAGCATGAGAATTGTTGAACCCAGGAGGTGGGGGCTGCAGTAAGCCAAGATTGCGCCACCGCACTCTAGTCCCGGTGGGTGACAGAGCAAGACGTCTAAAAAAATAAAAGAAAAAAGAAAGACGCAGGAAGCAGTTTCAGAAGGTATTTGAAAATGAGAGTAACTCTAAAAAACTGATAGCAAATAGCTACTCTGGAGAACATTTTTTAATAAGTTGGAATGACTTTGTTGCTCCTTATGGTTAGTGACACTACAGTTTATTGATGTCTGCTTCCATGGCTTCTAAGGTACTAAATAATTGGCTGTCTTTTGTTTTTCTCACAGTCAGCCTCCCCAAGAAAGAGGCTCTAAGTAGGTTGGTCAGCCACAATTCTGCACAGGATGGCCTTTTGCAGCAGGGTTCTTATGCCCATTTACCTTGGAGGTGTATGGCAAACCCATAGAGAGCTGCCTTTTCAAACCCATCCCAGGTCCCTTTGGGGCAAGATGGCAGAGTCTTGTGGTACCCACATGGCTCACCTAGAAATGCCTGCAATTGCTTTTGTCTGATGGGACCTAGGGCCTGTGGGGGGTACCTTAAGGTTTCTCAGAATGGAAAGAGGGTAAAGTTGGTAGGCTCCAGGAATAAACTGACCACTCTGACTTTCAGCAATGTGAGATTCCTGAGGGAAGAGGCTTACTTTGTTCATATCCCTCATAACTCAGAACAGTGCTTGACACATGTGCTCAGTACATAGCTGTCAAATAGGACAGTCTTGAGTTTTTTAAAAGATGTTTTAGGCTGGGCATGGTGGCTCATGCTTGTAATCCCAGCACTTTGGGAGGCCGAGGTGGGTGGATCACTTGAGGTCAGGAGTTCAAGACCAGCCTGGCCAACATGGTGAAACCCCATCTCTACTAAAAATACAAAAATTAGCTGGGTGTGGTGGCCCGTGCCTGTAATCCCAGCTATTCGGGAGGCTGAGGCAGGAAAATCACTTGAACCCGGGAGGTGGAGGTTGCAGTGAGATCGCACCATTGCACTCCAGCCTGGGCAGTAACAGCAAAACACTGTCTGAAAAAATAATAATAAAATAAATAAAGATGGTTTAACGTAGTCTTTATTTTTAGTTCGATTACATTTCATTCTAACTGGAACTCTTATGTACACAAGGTTGGAAGGCAAATCCCTCTTCTGCTCATGGCTCACCCTGTGGAGGGGAAACCACGCATGCTAATATGCAAAACTTCACGTTTTCCTGTTTCTTTGTTAGTCCTGAGCGCTTTAGATGTTTGCCGTTTGGTGTCAATACAACTGACCCAGGCTTTGAGCTGCTGCACAGTTCATGGATGTCAAATCCAGGCCCAAAGGCCTTCCCAACTATCCTCAGAGACAGCAAAGGGGCCTCGCAAGGCCTCAAACTCCTGAACGTGATGCCCTTTGTCAGGCCCTGCGGGCACACACCTGCCTGACGGGTCTAGCACCAGGAACTCTGGGAAGGCAGAGCCTAAGGGTTGGCGCCCAGACGCGAGTGGCTTTTTGGGCTCACGAGGGCTGCGCCACCTTGGGTCCTGATTAATTTGGCTTTTGAAGCTTAAATGTAGATTTGGATATTTGGCCAAAGAAGGCTCATGTTGTTCAGGTAAGAAGGGAGACACTAAAAAGATAGAAGTCATCATTAGGGGCCGGGCGCAGTGGCTCACGCCTGTAATCCCAGCACTTTGGGAGGCCGAGGCGGGCGGATCACGAGGTCAGGAGATCGAGACCATCCCGGCTAAAACGGTGAAACCCCGTCTCTACTAAAAATAAAAAAAAAAAATTAGCCGGGCGTAGTGGCGGGCGCCTGTAGTCCCAGCTACTTGGGAGGCTGAGGCAGGAGAATGGCGTGAACCTGGGAGGCGGAGCTTGCAGTGAGCCGAGATCCCGCCACTGCACTCCAGCCTGGGCGACAGAGCGAGACTCCGTCTCAAAAAAAAAAAAAAAAAAAGAAGTCATCATTAGGAGTGATTGCAGCAGCTGCTGCTTTTTAAAACCCCAAACCCTGAAAATTGTAAGGAATGATGCGGGAGAGTGGATGATAAAGATATTTGAGAAGGAATCTACTGAGTTAGTGACATGGGATGCAGAGCCTGAACATGAGGGACAAGTCCAGTGTTGCTGACGTTTCATGAGTTGGAAAAAGGTGGTTACCATTTGACAGCCTCTTCAGGAAAGGGACAGTGACACTGAACATTTAGTATTAAACCTTAATTACAGCGCGTTTGCTATTAGTGTTAAATTTAATGATGAGTACTTACATAGCATTTAGAACAAACCTTTCAATAGCTCCTTGAGCACATGGGTTTTGCAAACCTTGTAGAATGTAATTTGGTATTGCTCACCTCATAGGTTTCCAATGAATGTTTAATGAAGTTAATGAAGAATTGGGGTTTTAATTCCAATATTCTTTTTTCCCCTGTTTTAGTTGAGTCTCCAGCTTTCTTACTTATTCCTGTAGTAGACTTTTTTAAAAAGTACCAACTTTTTAGCATATCTGAATAAAATATTCATCAATCATTTATTTATACTAAATATGTGTCAGGAACTCCTGTAATTCTCCTAACAATCCTGGAAGGCAGGTTCTTTTGTCATCCTGTTATTAAAATAAGAAAAATGACGTAAACAGAAGTTAAGTGCAGCTGAGATTTGAATCCCTGTAGTCTTTTCTTCTTTAATTTTTAAATGTACATACAGTAAAATTGGCTTCTTTTTGGTGAACAGTTCTATGAATTTTATTACACATGTAGTTTCTTGTGGCAACTACCATAGTCACCATACAGAACAGTTCCATCACCTGGAAATTCCCTGGGCTGACTTTGTAGTCAGACCTGTGCACGCCTTTCCACTGGCAACCAATGATCTGCTCCCTGTCTGTATAATTTTGCCTTTCCTAGAATATTAAATAAATGAATTCATAAAGTATTAATATATAACCTCTGAGACGGGCTTCTTTTACTCAGGAGAATGCCTTGGACATTGATTCATTTTGTTACTATATCAATAGTTTGATCTGTTTTACTGCCAAGTAGTAGTCTATTGTGTGAGTGTACCAGTTTGTTTATGCTGGTACACAATATCCTGATGAAGGATATTTAGATTGTTTTCAGTATTTGATGATTATGAATAAGCTGCTGTAAACATTTGTGTACAGGTTTGCTGGATCATATGGTAAATATAAATTTAACTTTATAATAAATTTCCAAACTGTTTTCCAGAGTGGCTATCCTGTTATGTGTTATCACCAGCAATGTATGAGAGTTCTCATTGTTCTGCATTCTCACCAGCACTTGATGCTGCTAGATTTTTTCTAGTTTTTATTTGTTTGTTTTTAGCCATTTTAATAGAGGTGTAGTGATATTTCATTGTAATTTTAATTTACATTTTCCTTTTGGCTAATGATATTGACCATCTGTTCATATGGTTAATTGCTATCCATATGTCATCTTTGGGGAAGAATGTTCAAATCTTTGCACATTTAAAAATTGGGTTGTTTAAATATGTTCAAAGAGCTAAAGACACTGTTAAATAGAATAAAAAGATAAGCTACAGACTAGGAGAAAATATTTTCAAATCATATATCCAACAAAAGATTTGAATGTAGAATACATAAAGAGCTCCCCAAACAATAATACAGAAGTATAAAGTCTTTGTCTAGTAAATCCAGCATCTGGGCTTCCTCAGAAAGAACAGTTTGTATTGATTACTTTTTTTTCTGTGTATGGGCCATATTTCTTATTTCTTTGCATACCTTGTATTTACAAGTTGAAAACTGAACATTTTGAATATTATAATGTAACAGCTCTGGAAATCAGATTCTTCTCCCTTCCCAGGGTTTGTTATTGCTGCTTGTTATGGTTGTGGTTGTTTGTTTAGTGACTTCTCTGAACTAATTTTGTAAATCCTATATTCTTTGTCATGCATGACACTGAATTTTCAGTTTCATTAGCTTAGTGGTCAGCTAGTGATTGGACAGAGGTTTTTGTTTTGTTTTGTTTTGTTTTGTTTTATGCCTAGAACCAAAAAGAACCTCCCAGCTTATGCAGATGGGCTCTTGTGTTTTGACACACCTTCAGTACTCAGACAGGCAGTTTACAAGTCTGCTTTGCCTTTACTTCTTTGTGCATATTCTGACAGTCAGCCAGAGGTGGCAGCTTAGGGCCTTCTCAGGTCTTTTCTGAGCATATGCCCATCCTGGTAATACAGTTGGCCTTCTAGATTCCCAGGAATATGTGGGAGCTATTCAAAGCCTGTATTCCTCAAACCATCTCATTCTCTAGCCTATCTTCCCAACCTTTTTGGTTAGCTTATTGTTTGCCCCAACTGTTATCCTTGTGCAGCAGCAACTAATATATTTGCTTGTCAGTGTTTTCAGCAAGTGCCCTCTAGCTAGCCACTTTTGCACTGATAATTCCAAATTAGGTAAGGTAAAAGAAAGTCTTCTCCAGGGAGAAACCAGACAGGTCAAGACAAATTATTACAGTTCTTTGTGAATAAGGTTGGTTTTGTTCTCTCTAGTCCTGATATTGGTACCAGGAATGCAGGCTAACATTTTTAAGGTTCCCACTGAGCTGGGAAGAGGGAAGGGACCAGGGTAAGTTAAAAATGCCACAAAGCTCAATATTCTAACCACAATCCAGCTAGTTTTTCTGGATTCAGTGTTTCATTAGTTGCTACAAGCTTTTGGTTGGTTTCTAGAGTTCTGAAAAGTTGATTCTGCCAGTTTCTATCAGGTTTTTATTGCTTTTATGGAGGGATAGACTTTTGGAGGTCTTAACTCTGCCATTTTTTCTGATGTCACTCAGATATGTCAAATATGGCTTAAAGAAAAAAACTGATTAAGATAATCAGAGCTGGGTTGGGTAGTATGTGCCTCTAGTCCCAGCTACTCAGGATACTTAAGTGGGAAGATTGCTTGAGCCTACGAGTTTGAATCCAGCCTGGGCAACAGAGTGAGGACCCTATCTCTTAAAAAAAAAAAAATCTGCTTTTATGAGTAAACCAGCCCAAGTTTAAAAAAAAAAATGAGAGAGCAAGAGAAGGTAGGGATACTCTTAACCCATTTTTAAGTTTTTCTACATTCTACAGTAGCATTATCAAGGTGTTTTTATAAAGAGGAGCCTCACTCAGCTGGTTACAGTGCTGGGCTCAAACCCCTCATTCAGACCTTGAATGGGCAGCTTACTTTTCTCATTTCTAGGCCATATACCACCCCAAACCCCTTTGTTACTTTTCAAAACATGATATCCAAGGGATATCTGGCCAGGGGAACTCTATATTCCTCTTTGTTGTTAAAGTAGCTCAGAGGAAGTAGCTTTACTGCACCGTTCTGAACAAATCAGTCATGTTAAAACATAATGTATGGCTAATACTCTGGGGAGTGGAATCGAGGAGGGCCTGGAGTGTGTCACTTTATACTTCTGTATTGTTTCAGTTACTTACAATGAATGTTTATTACTTTCAAAATTAAAGAAAAATAAATTTAAAATACTGTGAGAAATAATTGGCTGCTGGTCCAGTATATTTCTTGCTCATATTATGGTATTTTTAAAAACCTATTTTTCCCTAAAATGAATTACTGTAATAATCATAGCAAATGCCATCCTGTTAATAAAAGAAATGATTGATAATCTATTCAAGAAAATGGTGGTTGGAAGGAGTGTATAATTGTGTTTCCTCTGAAGATCATTTTTCAAAACACTGGCTAATTTATCATTTGTTTACCTGTTTGGTCTCATGACATTTACTTCTTTTCGTGAAAGCTATAATCACTCGAAAAGCAAATCCTCATTTATAACCAAACTGTTGAAAGCTGTTTAACATAATCAAAACCTATCTTTAGCATTCCCTGCTTTATTTATTGTGTGTATTTCATCTCCATCTTGTGACCCAACAGAACCTGTTCTAGAGGACTAGATTCAGAAGACATGCATTCTTTTTTTCTTTTTTCTTCTTATACTTTAAGTTCTGGGGTACATGTGCACAACATGCAGGTTTGTTATATATGTATACATGTGCCATGTTGGTGGCTGCACCCATTAACTCGTCATTTACATTAGGTATATCTCCTAATGCTATCCCTCCCCCCTTCCCCCACCCCACGACAGGCCCCGGTGTGTGATGTTCCCCACCCTGTGTCCAAGTGTTCTCATTGTTCAGTTCCCACCTATGAACATGCGGTATTTGGTTTTCAGAAGACATGCATTCTAATGCTCAGCCTCCCACTAGCCCGCTATATGACCTTGATTTAATCTCTCAGATTCTTCATTGACAGTATGAAAGATTTAGACCCAGAGCCCAGGCTCACTGACTGTTTTTGTGAATAAAGTTTCATTGTCTATAGTCGTTTTTTCCTACATCTGCAGAGTTGAGTCATTGCAACAAAGTCCACGTGGTCTGCAAGCCTAAAATACTTACTATCTCACTCTTTACAGAAAAAGTTTGCTAACTCCTACCAAGTTTCTTTTCAGGTTCAAAATTCTTTGTTCTAGTTTTGGAATACTTGGGCCAACTATTTTTTTCATCAGGTTTCTTCTTAGCAAATCACCAGAAAAATTTGACTTGAAGAGGGGAAACACCAATAAGTCATACATTCTTATTTGTTAGACACCAGTACCTGTCATATTTTGTTGTTAATGCTGTGATTACAAACAACCTCTAGAGCTCAGTATTGTGTAACAGTTATATTCAACTGGTGAGATGTAGCTCAGCCTCACCTGTGGTGCTCATTCTGGGATCCTGGCCGAAGGAGCAATCCCTATCTGGGAAAAAGATAGCAAAGCATGTACCAGTGTTTATAACGATGCTCAGAAGTGACATGTATCACTTCTACTCACTTCTTTGGTTAACCTGACATTAATGGTGTGGGGGTCCTGCAAGTTACATGGTACCTTGAGTGGCTGGATAATCTTTTTACACAGAGGGCAGTGAATCATTGGGAACAACAAAGTCATTTACCACAGCCTTCTTAAGGGCTTGCTAGTTTGAGCAGACCAAAACTCATGGCAAAAAACTTGGTTTTGGACCTCTTTGTGTGTTATTCTTCATAAACTCCTTGCAAATAATAGTCACTAGAAATTAGCCCAGGGAGCTTTTGGAATATATTGTAGTTCTCTCAGTTTGCTTATTTAATGCTCAATGTAAGAATGTAATGTGCCTTTGGGTTTCCTTTTTGTAGAGTCTTGATATCTTTAACTTATTGTATTGGTCCATTCTCACCCTGTTATACAGAAATAACTGAAACTGGGTAATTTCTTTTAAAAAGAGGTTTAATTGGTTCATGATTCTGCAGGCTGTACAGGAAGCATGGCTGGGGAGGCCTCAGGGAGGTTTCAATCATGGCAGAAGGCGAAGTTGGGAAGCAGGCACATCTTCACATGGCGAGAGCAAGAGGAAGAGAGAGAGCGGGGAGTGCCACACACCTTTAAAACAAGCAGATCTCTGGCCAGGCGCGGTGGCTCACGCTTGTAATCCCAGCACTTTGGGAGGCTGAGGCGGGCGGATCACCTGAGGTTGGGAGTTGGTGATGAGCCTGACCAACATGGAGAAATCCTGTCTCTACTAAAAATACAAAATTAGCTGGGTGTGGTGGCACATGTCTGTAATCCCAGCTACTCAGGAGGCTGAGGCAGGAGAATTGCTTGAACCTGGGAGGTGGAGGTTGTGGTGAGCCGAGATTGCGCCATTGCGCTCCAGCCTGGGCAACAAGAGCAAAACTCTGTCTCAAATAAATAAATAAAAACAAGCAGATCTCACGAGAACTCTGTTGTGAGAACAGCCCCAATGGGGGATGGTGTTAAACCATGGAGAAGCTACTCCCATGATCCAATCACCCCCCATCAGGCCCCATTTCCAGCTTGAGGATTACAATTTGACATGAGATTTGGGTGGGGACACAGATCCAAACCGTATCACTTACATTTCTTACCTCTAAACTATTTCTGTGCCAAGGTTCTATATCTCATTGAATGACAGACACCACAAGTTGCCCAAGCCAGAAAGCTGGGTGAAGTACTTAACTTCTTCCCTCACCACAATTGCCTACATATAGTCAGTCAATTACCAGATTCTATTAAATCTATCTCTGATGTAGGTCCTGATTCTGTCTACTTGTCTCCATCTTCATTGCCACTGTCCTGTTCCAGGTACCTCTGGCTGTTTGCAACAGACTTCAAACTGGCCATTCTGTGTCCTGACTTGTTTCTCTAATCCATTCTCTATACAACCACCAAAGCAATTTTTATAAAACACAAACTGATCATGTTATTTCCCTGAATTAAAACATTTCAGTGGTTTGTACATTATACCTCCGCCTAAAAGCTCAAATTTCTTAACATGGCCATACACCTTAAAAAAAAAAAAATGGAATGCTTGATGAATTTGCATGTCACCCTTGCCATGCTAATCTCGGTATCTTTCCAATTTTAGTATACGTGTTGCTGACGTGAGCACATGGCCATACTACCTTTTATTCCCTTTATTTTTTTTTAGTATTCCTAGTTCTGTCCATTTACACTCAGCTTACATGGCTTTAAAAATATAATCTTCTAGAAATTTTTTCCCTAGAGCATATTTTATGAACTCAGTATTTGCTAAATGTTTTTTTCATTTGTAGAGACTCAAACACTTGATTTAAAAAAAATTGTGCAAAGCTGATGTGTATAGTATCACGCATAGTCCAATGCACAATGCTCCCATCCTGCTGCTCAATAGGTTGTTCCTTCTCAGAAGGGCTGTAAAGAAAGCTAGGTTGACATTTTTTTTTTTTGAGATAGAGTTTCACTCTTGTTGCCCAGGCTGGAGTGCAATAGCATGATGTCGGCTCACTGCAACCTCCGCCTCCTGGGTTCAAGCAATTCTCCTGCCTCAGCCTCCCGAGTAGCTGGGATTACAGGCATGCACCACCACGCCTGGCTAATTTTGTATTTTTAGTAGACATGGGGTTTCTCCGTGTTGGTCAGGCTGGTCTCGAACTCCCGACCTCAGGTGATCTGCCCGCCTTGGCCTCCCAAAGTGCTAGGATTACAGGCGTGAGCCACCACACCCGGCCGACATTGGTTTTATTTCTTTCGCTGCAACCTGTTTTTAGAAGTTTAAAATAGGGCTATTTTGGAACTAGTTGTTTATTGGACCTCTTTAAATGGGTTAGCGTATTTTTCCTTGTATGACACTTAACTCAGCAGCCTCTGGATAAAAAGAATGTGAGACACAAGTGCATTTTTTTTCTTGTTTATGGTACTGTCTCCTTGAGGTCTTTCATATTAGCCCTCTGTTCCAGAAATTAAAATAACTTCATTGAACTCATAAGGGAATAGGAGATTTGTCCTAAAATCCAAACTTGGCTTTGAAGATGCTACAGTGATTTTAATTTTTTTTTTTTTTTTTTTTTGAGACGGAGTTTCGCTCTTGTTGCCCAGGCTGGAGTGCAGTGGCGCAATCTCGGCTCACCGCAACCTCCGCCTCCGAGGTTCAAGCGATTCTCCTGTCTCAGCCTTCCCAGTAGCTGGGATTACAGGCATGCGCCACCACGCCAGGCTAATTTTGTATTTTTAGTGGAGACGGGGTTTCTCCATGTTGGTCAGGCTGGTCTCGAACTCCTGACCTCAGGTGATCCGCCCGCCTCGGCCTCCCAAAGTGCTGGGATTACAGGCGTGAGCCACTGCGCCCAGCCATGATTTTAATTTTTTAAGGCCACAATGTTTTCATTATTTAAAATGTGTTGATACAGATTTCTTTGATCAACCAATTGCTATTTTTTGTTTTTATCTAACCTAGTAGTATGGAATTTTTAATAAAATTAATCAAACCTGTGAACTCTGAAGCTTTGCAGTAGTTGCAACCATAGCTTTCTGTTATCATAAACTAATTTTAAAAAGCAAGCTTAATTTTAACAAGCAAGATTTTAAACATTTAAAAAGGAATCAGTGGCATATTGACCATGACCAAATCCTTAAGTATGAGAAGAAAGGTTAGAGGGTGATGGTGAGGAACACTACGATTATGTGGGGGATTTGAACTTTTTATGTAAGGTATTTCTGTGACATTTTGTTTTTTGTTTTGATAAGTAGAAGTGGAAAAGGGGTTTTTAAGTTTTTTGAAGTGAAATGATATTCAGTTTCTTCCTCCGTAGGGAGGCAGCAATCTTACTGGGGTTAGAATAGGCTGCTTCGTGATTATATATAATGTTCTGGGAGTTCTATGAATATAGGGAATTCTTGAACATCTTGAAATTATATAAAAAATATTGTAAATGTGCATGAGTGCTTTCTTGGATGCAGTGTTAAAGGTGATGTGGAGAAGAGGGTCCATGATTCAAACAGATTGTGCTTTTATTTCTCTAGTCCTGCCCTCTCTTCTGAACTCTAGACTGCCTATTCAGCATCTTTACTTCGACATCTAATAGGCCTCTCAAATCTAAAATGTCTGCATTTAGTTTCCTATTGCTGTTATAACAAATTAGCTACAAATTTAATGGCTTAAAACAACGTGAATTTGGCTGGGCGCGGTGGCTCACGCCTGTAATTCCAGCACTTTGGGAGGCCGAGGCGGGAGGATCACGAGATCAGGAGATTGAGACCATCCTAGCCAACATGGTGAAACTTCCTCTTTACTAAAAATACAAAAATTAGCTGGGCATGGCGGCGGGTGCCTGTAGTCCCAGCTACTCAGGAGGCTGAGACAGGAGAATCTCTTGAACCTGGGAGGCGGAGGTTGCAGTGTGCCGAGCTACACTCCAGCCTGGTGACAGAGCGAGACTCCGTCTCAAAAAAAAAAAAAAAAAAAAAAAATTTATTATTCTGTAATTCTGGAGGTCTAAAGTCTGAAATCAATTTCACTGAGCTAAAATCAAGGTGCTGGCAGGACTGCATTCCGTCTGTAGACTCTAGGGGAGAATCCTGTTTTTGCCTTTTCTAGCTCCTAGTGGCCACCTGTATTGCCTGGCTCATGGCCCCTTGCTCTATCTTCAAAGCCAACAGTGTAGCATCTTCATTCCTCTCTTCTTTCTGCTTCCATCCTTCTGTCTTCTGCATACTCTCATTAGTATACCTGGCCCTGATCCTCCTATCTTACTCTTATAAGAAGCCATGTGATTGATTACATTGGTCCCACCAGATAATACAGATGATGTCCCCATCTCAGGATACTTAATCATATGTGCAAAATCCCCTTTACTACGTGTAGTAACATATTCACAGATTCTGGGGATTAGAACATGGACGTCCTTAGAGGGGCTATTGTTTAGCCTACCATTTGATTTCTCTGCTTGGCAAATCTATTCCTCCTCTAGCCTTCCTCATTTTATTTAATGGTACAACATTCTCAGGCCAGTAACCTATGGTCATTCTTGATTTCTCTTTGTCTTTATTTTTTCCTTCTACCATCTACATCCAATTCATTAAATTACATCCAAATCCAAACAATATGTTATCTTGCTTCTACTACCCAACTGTCTCTAGATTTGTCTTCTTCTCACTAATTTTCACTAAAAGCAGAGTAGCATTAGCATTCTGGAGCCATAGGCCCTCATCCTATCCTATTCTTTTCACTCCTTGGTGTTCAGAGATAATTATAGCACAAGGCTATGTGGGCTAAGTGTCATAAGAATGGCACACAAAGTGCCACAGGACTAGATTCCAATTACTTTATCCAACTACATGGAGATGGAAAGTGAAGGCTTACATAGTAGTAGACAGTGGAGAGAATTTAGGTTGGTTGAGGATAATTATCCTGGAAGGCAAATAGAATTTCCATTAAAGATTTCTATCTTTTTTATTCTTCAGACAGTGAATGTTTCTTCTCAATTATTAATAGCCGAGAATACATTAATCTGATTTCTGATTATTTTGAATGACTCCTCCCCTTCCTCCTTTTCCTGAAGCAATATATTTTAAAAAGTTCTCAGGGAGCTGATTTCTAGTGTGTGGATAGACTATACACAGTTGGGCAGGAAGAATGAAGTGAAACATTTGAAAAGAAAACATTCACTGTCGAAATAATATCAAAATATAGCTTTGACATTTTATTATTCTGAATCCTTTTTCTGTAATGTCCTCACATTTTTGGGGTAACATTACAGTTTAGTGGAATATAGGGAAAAAATGGGTCATTATTTGAACTAGTCTATTGAAAAAGATCTGGAAATAACTAAATTTACAAATCTTCCCCACATTTAGGAAAAAAATTGCTCATAGGATTTTTAGCAACCTTTATTTGTTAAAATCTCACCTTAATTAAAATTTCTCAAGATGTGTGAAATGAAAATTGAAGCATATTAAAATCAGATATTCCACAGAATAAAATATTCTGCAAATTTATATTCATTTTTAAGGCAGAAATGCTGTATTGAGCCCCATAAAAGTAAAGGTGTCCCTATTATTTCCTCCTCATTTGTGGTGTTACTGATTAAATTAGTTACCAGTAAATAATAAGTTTGTTTTGTGAATGCATATGTTTATTGTGTGTTTATTTATTTATTTATTTTCTGCAGGGGACAGGCTCTTAAGTGTACACTGGGTGGCCGCCTGCCAACTCCGAGTGGCTCCCTCCCCCACACAAATGTTTATTGATCTTTTTCCCTCCAGTAATGTGTTACCAGGTGCTGTATCTCATGTTTGGGGTTGAACTTTTCATTTTATGTCTTAGCAATTGAAACAAAATGTACATAGGTAGGTTGAGCTTTTCTTTGAAATAGAATCACAGAAATCGTTTAGATCTGTGAAGAGCCCTAAATATATTACAAATGAGGAATTATTTGTATACTTGAAGCAGGAGAGAAACTCCCTGTTCATGTTTTAAAAATAGCTTCAATGAGTTATAAATCGCATACCATACAGTTTACCTATTCCCTGTTAATTTTTTTAAAATTCTCTTTTTTTCCCTATTACTCTTAAAAACGATTTTCTTTCTTTCTTTCTTTCTTTCTTTTTTTTTTTTTGAGACGGAGCCTTGCTCTGTCGCCAGGCTGGAGTGCAGTGGTACGATCTCAGCTCACTGCAACCTCCGCCTCCTGGGTTCAAGTGATTCCCCTGCCTCAGCCTCCTGAGTAGCTGGGACTACAGGCTCATGCCATCATGCCTGGCTAAATTCTTGTGTTTTAGTAGAGACAGGGTTTCACCATGTTGGCCAGGATGGTCTTGATCTCCTGACCTCGTGATCCGCCCGCCTCAGCCTCCCAAAGTGCTGGGATTATAGGCGTAAGCCACTGCACCCGGCCTAAAAACCGTTTTCTAGGGTTCTTTTAATGTGTTTTTTAGATATTCACTGCCTCCTTTTCTAATCAGTGGGCAGAAATAAGTGGGTTGAGGTATCAAAAGAAAGGTATTCCAGGTGTAGAGGACAGAGGAAATAAAGCCTTGAGGTGGAAATGGAATGAAGAAATCAGAACACTTGTCTGAATAAGAAGAAAACAAACAGGAAGTGAGTTAGCTGTTTTGGTGATGAATTCCGAAGTCAAAGGTAAGAAACTTGGGCTGTACCTTTCTCAAGTCACTTGGTAAATAGGGCCTTACTCTAAGGACAGTGCAGATAAAGAATAGGGGACGGTAAGACAGCACATAGCCTCATGTGGAAACTCACTGATATTCAGGATACAGCAGTCCTTGTTTCACTCAGCTCTACTTCAGTGCCTTGGTGTCTGATTCTTTCTCTCTGCTTTTTGTTCTGACTCTGCTACCATCTGACTGCCCTCTTTGCCATCCTGGCCCCCTCCTGGCCTCTGCATATTCCCATGAGCAGTGGTGTGGGATTCTCTACTCTTCTGTTCTTTCATCATTCCCTTGCTCTCACTTCACCAGTGGCTTCTCATGTCACTGAGAATGAAATTCAGAGTCCTTACTGAGGCCTAGTAGCTTCTGCAGGACCTGGCCCCTGCTCCCTTTCTTTCTGGTCTCAGTTCATACACCTTTCCACCTTTGCTCACAGTGTCCCAGCCACATTGACCGGCCTGTTCTTCCTCACACCCACCTAAACTCAGAACCTTTGTACTCGCTGTTTACTCGACCGCACCTTCTCTCCTTTTTTAGTCCTTGCTTCCCTCCTCTGTTTAGGCCTCTATCAAATGTCACCTCCTCAGAGAACCTTCCCTGACCACCCTAAGGTGGGATTTCCCATCCTGATACTCTTATCTGCTTCTCTTATTTTATTATCAGGCTTTCTTGTACATGACATTATTATAATATGAATTTATTTTGCATTTGGTTATTGTCTGTCTTCCACTGCAATGTAAACTACTTGAAGCCCAGCTTGATTTGTTATATTTACTGTAGTGTCCTCCATGCCTGGAATGGTACCTGGTACATGGTGGGCACTTAATACTGTTGAATGCACGTAGACATACTGTATGACTGACATTTGGATTTCTCCAGAGGAGGGTCTGTTGTGTTGTCCAACACTGAGTGCATCTGTTGGGTAACATGCTGGGCTAACTGCCCCACCACCCCCTGGGCAACTGTTGTGTTAGGTGCCTACCCTTGGTGCATCCACCCAGTAGTGATGAAGATAGTGAGATCATGTCTTATTCTCTTGATATTCCTTTTTTTGCAGTTGCATGGCCTGGTCCTTCCTTTAAGTTTCAACTCCTTGTTAATGAGAAAAATGTTGCCAGATCCTATGCTGTGGAACAGTTACTTCCAATTTCAAACTAACTTGTATTTAACTGATATTTGAAAACCTACTTTGTGCGAAACATTGTGTCAGGTTCTGGGCTACCTCCATAAACAATATCCAGGTTCTCACAGTACAGTTAGGGAGACAAGCTGAATATTACTCATTGATTTTTTTCAACAAATTATTGAGACTAGGATACAGTGGTGGATAAAAACAAAAATTCTTACGTGGACTTACAGTTTGATAAGATAGACATATGTTAATTAGACAACTACATAAATGAATGTTCAATTATAGCTATGTTGAGTTCTATAAAGGAGGGCTTCATAGTGCTATGAGAATTAGGAGGACCTGTCCTGGTTAGGAGAGATGGGGATAGCTTCCTTGAGGAAGTGAAGGGTAAATTGAGATCTGAAGGCACAGTAAGAATTAACTAGACAAGGGCAGCAGGGGAGAGGGAATAGTAGATGCAGAAGTCTGGTGCTGAAAGGGTGCTTAGAATGTTTGAAGAAGTTTAAGCATAGAGAATAGGCTGGAAAGTGAGCCAAATGAGGCTGAAGAGACAGGCTGGGGTCAGATTGGCCGGACTTTGTAGGCCACAATAAGGGATTTTGTCCTTACTCTGTGAGCAGCAGGAGGATGCCTTTGAAGTGCTATAAGCAGGGGGAAAAGAGGAGCAGTATAAACAGTACTTTTATTTTTAAAACACTAATCTGAATGCTGTGGAGGAGAATAAATGGAGTTGGGTGTAAATGGAAGGCATAAGAAAGGATGTGGAAATGCTAGTTAGGAGGCTGTAATGGCAATCCAGATGCTACTAACCCAGGTGGGGTTAATAAGGGTTAGCAAGAATTTTAAGTTTCCAAATCTACCCTTACTTTTTTTTTTTTTGGAGACGGAGTCTTGCTCTGTCGCCCAGGCTGGAGTGCAGTGGCGCAATCTCGGCTCACAGCAAGCTCCGTCTCCCAGGTTCACGCCATTCTCCTGCCTCAGCCTCCCGAGTAGCTGGGACTACAGGTGCCCGCCACCATGCCCGGCTAATTTTTTTTTGTATTTTTAGTAGAGACGGGGTTTCACCGTGTTAGCCAGGATGGTCTTGATCTCCTGACCTCGTGATCTGCCCGCCTCGGCCTCCCAAAGTGCTGGGATTACAGGCGTGAGCCACCACACCCGGCCAGTCTACCCTTATTTTCTATTAAATGTATTTCCATTAAATGTACTTTATATTTTATTTTATTTTATTTTGAGACAGAGTCTGGCTCTCTCGCCCAGGCTGGAGTGCAGTGATGGGATCTTGGCTCACTGCAACCTCCAACTCCTGAGTTCAAGTGATTCTCCTGCCTCAGCCTCCTGAGTAGCTGGGATTACAGGCACCCGCCACCATGCCTGGCTAATTTTTGTATTTTTGGTAGAGACAGGGTTTCACCATGTTGGTCAGGCTGGTCTTGAACTCCTGACCTTAAGTGATCCACCCTCCTTGGCCTCCCAAAGTGCTGGGATTACAGGTGTGAGCCACCTGTAGCTTAAAGCTTAAAGTAAGCCAAAATGTACTTACTTTAAGTCAACTTTCAGAAACAAAGTTTTTTTTATAAAAGGATCCGTATCTTGTAAAAGACACAGATGCAATAAAACTTAAGTTCATTTAAATGAGAAATAAAGGATGACTTAAAGAAGTATGAATGGAATTATACCAGAAAATCTGTGGTGAAGATAATGATTGTAATTGAGTTCAAAAGTTAGCTCTGAGTTTCTGGCAGCCTAGGTATAGAAGGGAATAGGATAGGTTGTGTGATTGTTTAACAAAGGAAGCATGGGATATAATGCTCTTTTCTATAATGTCCTTTGTTCCAAATATTTAAAGTGTTTTTTTATAGATGTGAAGTTAAACCACTTAGATAGGTCCAGATTGTTGAAACCCAAGACCTCAGCTCTTGAGATCATAGCATTAATCCATTGTTCGTAGTAGGTCACACTGGTATTTTAAAAAGTAAAAACTTAAGAAAAATATAGGGCTGAACTACATATATGCATTTCCTTCCTTCTTTTCTTTTCCTTTTTTTTTTTTAAAGACAGGGTCTTGCTCTGTTGCCCAGTCTGGAGTGCAGTGATGTGATCATAGCTCACTGCAGCCTCGAACTCCTGGTCTCAAGCTATCCTTCCACCACAGCTTCCCAAGTAGCTGAGACCACAGGCACATGCCACCATTCTTGGCTAATTTCTTATTTCTTTTGTAGAGACAGGGGCTGTGTTGCCCAGGCTGGTCTTCATCCCCTGGCCACAAGTGATCCTTGGCCTCCCAAAGTGTTGGGATTACAGGTGTGAGCCAACATGCCTGACCCATGTTTGCATCTCTTTTTTTTTCTTCTTTTTTTACTGCTCCTTATGGAACAGGGCTAGCTAATCTGTAGGCAGTGTGCTTGGAATTGGCTTTATATGAATTTTTTATTAGCCCTCTTGTTACAGTTGAGGAGTAAAGGGAGGGTTAGAAGGGAAGTTAAAGATAATAGAGAAGGTGAGAAATAATAGACTAAAATCCCATGATGCAACCCATGGGCACGAGGTAGACCCTTATTATATTTTCCTGTGTCATCACAGATACTTGCCTGCCTCTGTAGTAGCTATTTAATTTGTGTCTACAAATACTTATTCATAGAGGACATCTTCCTGCCTTGGAAGACACATTAGTCTTATAGCTATTTAATTTGTGTCTACAAATGCTTATTCATAGAGGACATCCTTCCTGTCTTGGAAGATGCATTAGTCAAGGACAAAGAATGTACAGAAGTGACAGTTTTATTTCTTAACTCTTCACATTCCAACCCCAAAACTTCCAAAATCAAAAACCTTAAAAACAAAATCATTTCAAATTGTAAATAAAGTCACCCAGGGTTAGCAGTGGCTCTCCTGTGAGTTATCTGCCCCTGGGACTAAATCTCCATGCATTCTCTTCCCAGCCCTGTATGCAAGCAACAGCTTCAGCTACAGTGCCTACTCTGTGTATAGTGTTAGGTCCAAAGGCACAGGAGGGACGCAGGAGAGCCAGAGAGAGTAGGACAATAGGGAACAAGAAGTCAGAGAAGTCTAGATTGTTGGCTCTTGAAATAGTGGCATTAATCCATTTTTGGTAGTAGATTACATTGGTGTAGACTCCAGGAAGAGATTTACCACATTCTAATCCCCAGCTTACTACTCCTGTCTGGATCCATACACCATCAATGTGACACGACAGAGGCCCTCCAGAATCACCCTAAGGAAGAAATGAAAGGTAATGAGCATAGTGAAAAGAGGCATAAAGAAGAGAGTAGTAATAAGGGGTGGAGAATTCTTTAAAACTGGGCCATGAGACCCATGGAGCTGTGGAACCCTGCAGGGGGCTGGACTAATCACTGCTTTAGGGAGATATCACAGGAATTTTAGAATCATAGAATTGAAATTGTCAGAGACCTTAGTGAAATATATTAGTAATTTCAAAATATTTGTCTGTGATAAAAAGAGAAATAAAACTAATGAGATGATTTTTTCACTAAAGATAAATTTATTCAAATGAATGAACTGCCTTAATTTCCTGTTCTTACTGCTCTTGTTTAGTGTTAAGTAATCCATTCTTACCTAAAATGATAGTGATAGTTGTTGGTAGTAGTCTTCTAGTCTTGTTCTCTTTCTTTTTTGTAACAGCTTTACTGTCATATAATTCACATACTACACAATTCAGTGGTTTTTAGTATATTTACAGTGTTGTACAACCATCACCACAACCCATTTTAGAACATTTTTATCACCCTAAAAAGAAACCTCATACCCATTTGTAATTATCCCCATTTCTTCCCAACCCTCCCAGCTAGGCCAACCAGTAGTCCACTCTCTGCCTCTATGGATTTGCCTATTTTAGACATTTCATATAAATGGAATCATGTAATATCTGACCTTTTGTGTCTGGCATGTTTCAGTTAGCACATTCTTTTCAAGGTTCCTTCATGTTGTATCAGTACTCCACTCCTTTTAGGGCTGAATAATATTCCATTGTATGGATGTACCACTTGGTGTTTCTGCATTCATCACCTAATGGACATTGTGATTGCTTCCATTATTTGGGCTATTATATTATAAATAATGCTTCTATGGCCCAGCATGATGGTTCGTGTCTGTAATCCTAGTGCCTTGAGAGGCCAAGGCAGGAGGATCAGGCCAGGCATTTGAGACCAACCTGGGCAACCTAGTGGAACCCTGTCTCTTCAAAACAAATAAATAAGTAAATAGCTGCTATGGTGGCATATGCCTGTCATCCCAACCACTCGGGAAGCTGAGGCAGAAGTATTGCTTGAGCCATGTTTACAATGAACTATGATCCTACCACTGCACTTCAACCTGGGTGACAGAGCAAGACCCTGTTTCTAAAATAATAATCATGCTGCTGTGAACACTTGTGTACCGGTTTTTTCTTTGTTTATTTAGAGATGGGGTCTCCCTGTTTTGCCCAGGCTGGTCTTGAACTCTTGGGCTGAAGCGATCCTTCTGCCACAGCCTTCTGAGTAGTTGAGATTACAGGTGGAAGCCACTGTGCCCAGCTCACGTGCAAGTTTTTGTATGGACATATTTTTATCTTTCTTGGTCATATACCTAGGAGTGGAATTTCTGGGTCATATGGTAATTCTATGTTTAACCTGTGAGGAACTGCCAAACAGTTTTTCAAAGAGGCTGCACCATTTTATATTACCACCAACAGTGTTAGAAGGCTCCAATTTCTCTACATTTGCATATCTTTATACCAGTTGGACATTTGTATATCTTTAGAAAAATATCTATTCAGATGCTTTGCTCTTTTAAAAACTGTGCTCTTTTTATGATCGAGTTACAAGTGTTCTTTTTTCTAGATACAGATCCCTTACATATATGATTTGCAAATATTTTCTTCCGTTTCATAGGCTACCTTTTTACTTTGTTGATGGTGTCCATTGAAGCATAAAAGTTCTGAATTTTGAAGAACTCTAATCTACTTTTTTTGTTGCTGCTTATGCTTTTGATAACATATCTAAGAAAATGTTGCCTAATCAAGGTCACAAAGACCTACCTATATGTTTTTTCCTAAAGGTGCTATAGTTTAGCTCTTATATTTAGGTCTTAGATCCATTTTGAGTTAATTTGTTATATGGCGAGGTCAGGGTCCAAGTTCATTCTTTTGCATGTGGTTGTCTACTTGTCCCAGCATCATTTGTTGAAATGACTATTATTTGTTCATTGAACTGATTCAATACCAATGTTTAAAAATAATTGACCATAAATATAAGGGTTTATTTCTGTACACTCAATCCTATTTCATTGATCTATAGATGTCTCTCCTTATGCTAGTACCACACTGGCTTGATTACTGTTAGTTTTGAAATATGAAAAATGTGAGTCCTTCAACTTGTTTCTTGTTTTTCAAGATTGTTTTGGGCCCCTTGAATTTCCATATGCAGTTTAGGATCAGCTTGCCAATTTCTGCAAAGAAACCAGCTGGGTTTTCATAGGGATTACATTGAATCTGTAGATCCATTTGGAGAATACTGCAATTTAAGCAATATTAACTTTATTCCTATTTTATTCTTTTTAAAACTATTATAAATGGAATATTGTTTTCTTAAATGTTTCCTTAGATTATTCATTGCAACTGCATGGAAATACAGTTGCTTTTTTCTTTTTTCTTTTTTTTTTAAGACAGAGTCTCGCTTCGTTGCCCCGCCCAGGCTGGAGTGCAGTGGCGAGATCTCAGCTCACTACGCCCAGCAAGTTTTTGTATTTTTAGTAGAGACGAGGTTTCACCATGTTGGTCAGGCTGGTCTCGAACTCCTGAACTCAAGGAATCCACCTGCCTTGGCCTCCCAAAGTGCTGAGATTACAGGCCTGAGCCACTGCCCCCAGCCTACAGTTGCTTTTAGTATATTGTCCCTATATCCTTCAGTTTTGCTGAATGTGTTTATTAGTTCTAATTTTTTGGGGGTGGCATTCCTTTAGATTTTCTATTTATAAAATCATGTCATCTGTGACTAGAGATAGTTTTACTGTTTCTTTGCAATCTGGATGTCTTTTTATTTGTCTCTTGCTTATTAATTCTGGCTAGAACCTCCAGTACAGTGTTGCATAGAAATGACAAGAATAGACATCCTTGTCTCTTTCCTGACCTTATGGCAAAAGCATATAGTATTTTACCACGAAGTATTTTAGCTGTGGGTTTTTTTGTAGTTGCACTTGATCGAGTTGAAAAACTCCACTCATCTCATTGTTGAGTGTTTTGTTTTTTTTTTAACGTGAAGCGTTGTTGGATTTTTGTCAAATTTTTTTCCATATTTATTGACATGATCATATGGTTTTTGCTCTTTATTCTAAGAACATGGTATATTAACATTGATTGATTTCTGGATTTTAAACCAACCTAAGTTTCCTGGGATAAATCCCAGTTGTTTATGGTATATCCTTTTTATTTTTTATTTTTTGAAAAATAAAAAAAGAGAGAGGGGTCTCACTTTGTCTCCCAGGCTGGAATGTGGTGGCACAAACACTGCTCACTGTGGCCTCGACCTCCCGGTCTCAAGTGATCATCCCACCGCAGCCTACCGAGTAGCTGAGACTACAGGTGGCTAATATTTAAAATATTTTGTAGAAACGAGGTCTCACTATGTTGCCCAGTCTAGTCTTGAACTCCTGACCTCAAGTGATCCTCCCGTCTTGGCCTCTCAAAGTGCTGGGATTACAAGGCTTGAGTCACCACATCCTAAAAAGAACCCACATACCCATTTGTAATTACCCCCAGTTTGGATTTTGAGGTCAGCCAACTTGACTTCCTGTTGAAACATGAAATCGGCATTCCGGTATATATAGTCCTTTTTATATGTTGTTGGATTTGGTTCATTGAGGATTTTTACACCTCTGTTCATAAAAGATACTGGTCTATAGCTTCCTTGTGATGCCTTTGTCAGGTTTTGGTCTCAGTAATACTGATCTCGAATGAGTTGGGAAGTGTTCCCTCTTTTTTTTTTTTTTTTTTTTGGAGACAGAGTCTTGCTCTGTAACCGAGGCTGGAGTACAGTGGCATGATCTTGACTTACTGAAACCTCTGCCTCCCGGGTTCAAGTGATTCTCCTCCCTCAGCCTCCTCAGTAGCTGGGATTACAGGCATGAGCCACCACACCCAGCTAATTTTTGTATTTTTAATAGAGACAAGGATTTACCATGTAGGCCAGGCTGGTCCCAAACTCCTGACATCAGGTGATCTGCCTGCCTCGGCCTCCCAAAGTGCTGGGATTACAGGTGTGAGCCACTGTGCCCAGTCCCCTCTTTTATTTTTCAAAAGAACTTGTGTAGAATTGGTATTAATTACTATTATTATTATTATTATTATTATTATTTTTGAGACAGAATCTCACTCTGTCACCCAGGCTGGAGTGCAGTGGCGCGATCTCGGCTCACTGTAACCTCTACCTCCCAGATTCAAGTGATTCTCATGCCTCAGCCTCCCGAGTAGCTGGGAATACAGGCACATGCCACCATGCCTGGCTAATTTTTGTATTTTTTGTAGAGATGGGGTTTTGCCACATTTGCTAGGCTCGTCTCGAACTCCTGGCCTCAATTGACCTGTCCGCCTTGGCCTCCTAAAGTACTGGGGTTACAGGTATGAGCCACTGCCTGTGGCCAGAATTGGGATTAATTATTTAAATGTTTGGTAGAATTCATCAATGAATTCTATCTGGACCTGGTCTTTTATTTCTTCGTAGTTTTTTTTTTTTTTTTAATCACAAATGCAATCTCTTTACTTTTTATTAGGTTTATTCAGACCATCTATTTCTTCTTAGGTAAGTTATGGTAGTTTGTGTGTTTCTAGGAATTTGTCCATATCATCTTAGTTATCTAATTTTTTGGCATACTGTTATTCATAGTAGTGTGTTACAAATTCTTTTTATTTCTGTAAGGTTGGTAGTAATGTCCCAGTTTTATTTTTAACTTTAGTAATTTCAGTCTTTTTTTTTTCTTGCTCAGTTTAGCTAAAGTTTTTTTTCAATTTTATTGATCTTTTTAAAAACCAACTTTTGCTTTTGTTTATTTTCTCTATTGTCTTTCTGTTCTCTATTTCAGTAATTTCCACTATATCCCTTATTTCCTTCTTTGTATTTTCTTTAGGTTTAGTTGTTTTTTTTTTTTTTTTTTTTCTTTAAGACAGGGTCTCACTGTGTCACCCAGCCTGGAGCACAGTGGTGCAAATATAGCTCACTGCAGCCTTGAACTCCTGGGCTCTAGCAATCCTCCCAAGTAGCTGGGACCACAAGTGTACCACCATGCCTGGCTGATTTTTTTTTTTTTTTTAGAGATAGGGTCTCACTGTATTGCTCAGGCTGGTCTCGAACTCCTGGGCTGAAAAAAAATCTCCTACCTTATCCTCCCAAAGTGCTGCGATTACAGGTATGTGCCATCACACCCAGCCTTTTTTTTAGTTTTATTTATGTATATATATATTTTTAAGAGACAGAGCCACAGAGTCTTGCTCTGTTGTCCTGGCTGGAGTGCAGTGGTGTGATCATAGCTCACTACATATGTGAACTTCTGGGCTCAAGGGATCCTCCTGCCCCAGTCTCCTAAGTAGCTGGGACTACAGGCTTGTGCACCATACCCAGCTAACTTTTTAAATTTTTAGTAGAGACAAGGTCTCACTATGTTGCCCAGGCTGGTCTTGAACTTCTTTTTCCAGTGTCTTGTATGGAAGATTAGGTTACTGATTTGAGATATATTGTTTAACGTAGGCATTTACAGATATAAATTTCTCTCTAAGCACTGCTTTAGCTGCTTCCATAAGATTTGATATGTTGTTTCTTCATTTTTATTCATCTCAAAATATTTCCTAATTTAGCAGTGTGTTACTTTCCACATATTTGTGAATTTCCATATTTCTCTCTTATTTACTTCTAATTTCATTCCATTGTGATTAGAAAATATAATTTGTATAATTTTAATCCTTCCAACTTTATTGAGGCTTGTTTTACAGCTTAGCATATGGTTTATTCTGGAGAATGTTCCATGGGCACTTAAGAGGAAAGTATATTCCGCTCTTCTTAGGACTCTTTCTGTTTTTAAAATTTCTTATGGGAGTGACTTGTCTCTGACAAACTCTGCTTCGGGTAACAGTTATAAATTGTGGACAGCATATAAAAGGCTACTCTCTGAAGGCAGTGGAGAGTGGCCAATAGCAGGCAGAAACTAGAGTCAATCCTTGGAAGAAAGGAATGACACTCTTTTTTTTAAAAAGTGGCTTTTCCCTTAAAGCAGGCCCCAGTCATTATCATGCATAGTGGCTGGTAAAAGAAACCCACAGTCTTACTGACTTGAGGAATTAGAGGATAGAGTTCAGAGCTACCTTAGCAGTTGGAAAGTGCAGGGAAATATACCAGAAAGGAGAGAGCCACAGAGCGAGAGTCCCAAGTTCTGCATATAAACTCTGCTCAAATTTCTGAATACACCCTGAATTACATACATGTGCAGGTTAGACTCCAAGCAGCTCAGCTAAGGCTAAAATAACTGCTGATGCCTATCACAGGAGAGATCCAGTTTGGATTTTGAGGTCAGCCAAGTTGACTTCCCGTTGAAACAGGAAATCAACATTCTTTAGAGAAGCATAACAATCTGTACTCCCTACACCATGCTATTGACATTGTCCAGGATATATTCCAAAATGATTAGATATTAAAGTAAACAAAACAACAGGAAAACGTTTTCCAAGATAAACTGGAAAATGCTACTCATGAGAAAAAGCAATTGTTGGAGAATATCCCTGAGATAACTCAGATTGATTTTGGAATTAGCAGATAAGGATTTAAAGCAACTATTATAACTGTGATCAACACATGTAAAGGAAAATATTTATAATATACAGCTAGAAAATCTTGGCAGAGATGTAGAAAGTATATGTGGATGAGAGGAGAGAATAAAACCAAATGGTCATTCTATAACTAAAAAATAAAATGTCTGAAATAAAAACTTCACTAGATGGACTTAAAATGTAAATGACAGCAGAAAGAGGCAGTGATCTTCAATACAGATCAATTTAAAAATATCCAATTTGAAGAACAGAGAGAAAAACATAAAAATAAAATGGACTTGTGTGAAAATACCAAAAGGTATAACTTAACAAGTTTATGGTTTCATCTAGAAGGGGAGGAGAGAGAAATGAGGCAGAATAGTTTTTGAAGAAATCATTACTGAAAAATTTCCAAGTGTTGGTGAAATATGTTAAAGAATAGATTTAAAAAACCAAAAACTCAGTGAACCCCAAATAGGATAAATGCAAAGAAAACCACACCTAGTACATCATATTCAAACTGCTGACAATCAAAGGTAAAGAAAAAATACTGAAAGCAGCCAGAGCAAAACAACACATTACACTCCATGGAATGACGATGCAAATAATGGCTGATTTTTCATCAGTTATGACCAGGAGACAATAGAACGACATCTTTTAGGTATAGAGTGAAATGTTCTTACTTGAAAAAATTTAAAAGTTGGCAATTCTGCTTCAACCTCATAATATACTTATGAAAATATACAGGTCTATAAAAGTCTAGCAACCCAAGGAGGAAGGATTGCTTGAGGCCAGGAATTTGGGATCAGCCTGGGCAACATAGTGAGACCTCATCTCTACAAAAAAATGAAAAAAGTATGTGGGCCTGGTGAGGTGTGAGCTTGTAGTCCCAGCTACTCAGGAGGCTGAAGTGGGAGGATGACTGATTGAACCCAGGAGCTGGAGGCTGTAGTAAGCTATGATCATGCCACTGTACTCAAGCCTGGGTGACAGAGCAAGGCTCTGTCTCTAATTTAAAAAAAAAAAAAAAAAAAAAGTCCAATGACCAGTCGTTAGTATTGGTCTAGATCAATAGTCTTATAGTTGAAGAAACTGATTTCACAGATAGAAGTTAAGTGATTTGTCCAGGGTAACATAAGAGTTATTCTTAGAACCCTCATCTCCTGACTCCCAATCCACTGTTATTTACAGATAGGAAAACCTGGATCCAAATTAAGATCTCATGTTTAAAAAAAAATTCTCTAGAGCAAACCCTGACCTTGCAACTATCCTTCATGTTTTGAGTATCACCAGCACAAATCTTGTCTTCCTTGATGACTGGCTCCAGTGCTGGCAAGAAGATACCGATGGGATTGTAGAGCTGTTCACAAGCCTGGCGGTCAATAATGGGTACTTCTGCTTCCTGAAGGGCAGAATGGTAATCTCTATCTGTGGAGGAAGACAGGAACAAAAGATTAAAGCAACCTAGAAAAGTGCAGGGGCAGCATTCAGTCATGATGTGCAGAAGTCTCTGAATGGGAATCCAAAAGCAGCTTACAATGCCTTTCCAATCATATTTGCTTATGGGTGGATCTTTTGGTACACTTAAATCTAAAACTCAGTAATTCTAAATTATTTCTGCTTCTTTGAGGTTTTTTTTTAATTGAGCCATTGTTCTAAATAATGAGTACTTCCGATAAATTCTGATTGAGTAAAGGTATGACTATTCTAAAGGATTCTAAAACTTCTTCCTTTCCCATGTTTTTTGCTTCTAGATCAGTTCTTGTCTTGTGTCTACTCCAACCTGGGAAAGAGTTGACGTAAAACTTGAAAAACAGTTAAAAAACACTAGACGCTCTCCAAACTTTAAATCAGTCTTATTAACCTCTGTTTGAGAGAGGTAGTTATGTGTTTAAATTGTTAGTATCTGCTCTTCCAGCTATAGCTAGACTCTGCAAGATGCAAGAGTAAATAACATAAAAATATAAATGTCAAAAAAGATATTTTATTTAAAAACTTATAGATAATATCATTAGATTGATCTGGTTTTGTTGAAAAATATTTTCCATGGTAAGGATATGCCTAGAATATGAATGTTCTGGAGTACAAGAGGATGACATATGAAACAACCCTTCTCTCTGCCCATTCTCACCTGAACTTTCCTTAACTTTTCCCCATCCGGTCACCCAACAAAAGGGTGGAATTGCCAACTGCTTTGTGACACTGGGCAAGCAAATAGGCAGGATGGCAGAAGTGAAGGTGACTTGAGAGGACAGTTTCAACAAGGCGACGTCTGCCGTTGTATCTTGGTACTTGGGATGGATGACGATTTTGGACACGTAGTACTTCACACGTTTCCTTGAGTCACCTACTGTAATCGATCCTAGCCACACAGTATATGAAAAAGTAGTCCAGGTCCTATGGGGAAAAGAAAGGAGGCCTGCTTATGGCCTGCAGCTGGGTCAGAACAGGCTGCCTATATGTAGCACTAAGTCTCTACTCAAGAAAGGAGGGTAGCCAACTGGGAATTAACCATGGTGCTTCCAACTTCAACTAGGGTTGATTTGTCTCCTTCTTTCCTCTCTTTCTCCCCGTCCTTCCCTGACCACTCTTTCTGTGGTCTCTTCCTAGAGGCTTGTGGCTTGAGTTTTGCCCTGTGTTTTCTCTCCGGTTCTCTCATTTACCTCTCCCATTCTCCATGGTTTCAGCCATCACCTGTATGCTTAATAGACATTGCTGTTTATTGTCCATACTAATTTCTGTTCTGAGCACTAGACCTTCATTTCTGAATAAAATTTTAAAGCAAAATATAACCACAGTTACACATATACACAGTTAAAATGCCAGGTAATTTGATAAGATGTACAAAATAAATAAATAAATAAATAAATAAATAACAAGTTCTCTGCCCCACCACCCTCAGTTCAAACTATTTAGAGGCAATGACTTTCAACTCTTTTAGCTCTTAGTAATTTTCAAGTGTTTTCAAGAAATCCTATATATAGCTGTTTCTTGATTTTTCTTTTTCAGTTTTAGAATCCTGAGTTCCTAGTGTGGAAGGTGAGGATTGAGCTTTCTTACACATCGCTGTCTACCCCCCACCTCCCACTTCCATTCCACCCATCCTCCTAGCCAGTGTTATCATAACTTTTCGTTAGATCAGTATTTAATGCGTTTGTTCTTGTGACTATGTAAACATTGTTCACTACTGGGTCCTATTGGGTGATTACATTTCTTATAAAACGTTTTGCTTCTCCTGGAGTTGATAAGTGGGCTCACTTTGGTTTTTTGTTTTTATCTTTATACCCATCACCAGTCTCATTCCCCAGGCTCTCCACCAGAAGTGTAAATCTCCTCTCATTTTGTTCAAACTTGTCAGGCATTCTATCAATACTATCTTTTTTTTGGAGCCCTCTGCTCTCTTGTTCTAATCTGGGCTGCTGCACAGCCATCATCTTGGCACTTTCTTTATCCTTTATGACTTTCTTAGGGATTCTCTTCTGTGTTTTATTCCCCTTTTGTCTGGATCCTGTGTTTTCCTGTTTTTCCCCCTTTATTTTGGTGGAGCAGATTCTCCTATGGCTTCTTGAGAAAATGTGCATGAGAGGTAACATTTTTGCTGCTTTGTGTATGTGAAAATGTTTTACTTCTATCCCACATTTGATTGATAGTTTGCATATGGGTAGAATTCTAAGTTGGAAATAAATTTTTTTTAGCATTTTGAAGTTATTACTCTATTTTCTTTGAGTTTTTTTTTAAACTTAATTTTTTTTTTAGAGACAGGGTCTCACTCTGTCGCCCAGGCTGGAATGTGTGGTACAATCATAGGTCACTGCAGCCTTGAACTCCTAGGCTCAAGTGATCCTTCTACCTCAGCCTCATGAGTAGCTGGGATTACAGGTGCAAGCTGCCACACCTGGCTTATTTTCATTGAACTTTCAGTGTTGTTATTGAAGAGTCCTGGAATTTTAATTTCTGTTGTGTATTAGTTATCAATTGTTGCATAATAAGTTATAAAGCTTAGTGGCTTAAAACAACAAATATTTATCTCATAGTTTTTATGGGTCAGGAATCAGGTGTGACTTAGTTGAGTACCATTGACTCAAGGTTTCTCATGTGGCTGCAATCAAGGTGAGCTGCAGCTGCAATCAAGGTGAGCTGCAGTCATCTTACTGGGGAGGATCTGTGTCCAAACTCACGTTGGTAGGCTTTGGGTCTTCTCGCTGTTGACTAGAGATGCGGGTTCCACATGGGCCTCTCCATAGGGACACTCACCACATGACAAGTTGCTTCTCTCACAGCAGTGGCTCTTAGAGCTCAGATTGTGTTTATGACCCAAAAACACGACAAAAATCTCCTGACTGGTATTTAGAAGGTGATTTGGCAAAAAATAAGAAAAGTCTTTAATATAGTGCCTGTCTCCAACTTTCCTTTTTCTACTTCTATGCCCTGTCTCTAGTTGTTTCGGGTTTGATAGTCTGACATGACCTGGGTTTCCTTCCGCCCTGCCTATTTTACCACTTTCATTTGTCTTTTGGTTCATTCATGAAGTGATGCAAATATTCACTGAGAACCTGTCTGTGTGTTAGCTGCCAGCTAGAACTCACGGTTGTATGCAGTGTGCTGCTGTCAGTATCAACCTCTCACTGACGAGGGAACCTCCACAGATAAAGTTGTGGTCAAAGTGTAGGCTGACCTGCCAAGGCCAGCGCCCTGCAGCAGCATCCTGGCCACCTACAACGCGGCTGGAGTATACAGGTTGCCCACACACTAGAGAAAGAGAAGAAAGGGAAATGTGGAAACCTAGGAGTCCTGTTTCTCTGGTCCCCACCTTATCATCATTCCCAAACTCCCATCTATTCCTAGGACCTGAACCCTCCCTAGACACCATACTCCATCCTATTCTGGTTCCACACCCAGCAGTCTTGGGCTCAAAATGGAGACCACTCCCCTGATTGTAGCTCTTTCTTTTTGGGAAAAGAGTGTAAGCAAGAACCTAAGGAAGAAATAGGGTATCATTAACACATAGTAACACATCTAATATCTAGATTCACTGAACAGAGAACCTTCCTTTATATTTAAATTTTCCAGATTGGTGTTAAAGGCCAAAATTTTCAAATGCCTTCTACCTATTAGTGGGAATCTTCACAAACATACTTACCTGCCTTCTTTAGCAGCACACATGGAATATCATTTAACTTAAAATTTTTTTTTTAAACCAGGGATAGTGGCTCATGCCTGTAATCCTGGTGCTTTGGGAGGATGAGGTGGGAGAACTGCTTGAGGCCTGGGCAATATAGTGAAACCAGGTCTCTAAAAAAAAAATTGAAAAAGAAAAAGATTTCCACATTTCTCTTTCTCTTCTTTCTCTAGTGTGCTGGTGACCTGTATACTCAAGACGTGTTGTAGATGGCCAAGATGCTGCTGCAGGGTGCTGGCCTTGGCAGGTCAGCCTATACTTGGGCCACAGCTTTATCTGTGGATGTTCCCTGGTCAGTGAGAGGTGGATACTGACAACAGCACACTACATACAAGTGTGAGCTCTAGCTGGTAGCTAGCACACAGACAGGTTCTCAGTGAATATTTGCATGACTACATAAATGAACCAATAGACAAATGAAAGTGGTAAGATTGACTGGGCACAGTGACTCACGCCTATAACCCCAGCACTTTGGGAGGCTGAGGTGGGTGGATTGCTCAAGTCCAGGAGTTCAAAACCAGCCTGGGCAACATGGCCAAACACCGTCTCTACAAAAAATATAAAGAAATTAGCCTGACATGATGGTGCATGCCTGTAGTCCCAGCTACTTGGGAGGCTGAAGCAGGAGGATTGCTTGAGCCCGGGAGGTGGAGGATGCGGTGAGTTTAGATCATGCCACTGCACTCCAGCCTGGGCGAGAGAGTGAGACCCTGTCTGAAAAGAAAAGGAAAAAAATGTGGTGAGATAGGCAGGGCAGAAGGAAACCCTAGGTCACATGGGACTCTCAAACTAGGGATGACCAGAGATAAGGCACAGAAGTAGAAAAAGGAATGTTGGAGACAGGTGCTATATTAGAGACTTTTCTTACTTTTCACAAATCACTTCCTAAATACTAGTCAGGGTTTTTTTTTTCTTCTTTTGGGCCACAAACACAACAGGTGTGGTTCAACCACACCTGTAGTCCCAGCTACTAGGGAGGCTGAGTGGGAGGATTGCTTGAACCCAGGAGTCTGAGGTTGCAGTGGGCTATGATTGCACCACTGCACTCTAACCTGGGTGACAGAGTGAGACTCTGTCTCTTAAAAAAAAAATGCTCTATGAAGATTCAAATTTAGCTTTTACTTGATTCAAGGTCACCATCAGGAATATGAAGTATGTTAGTTTATAAATACAATGATGCCCTCAGATGCGGTTGAGGTTGCAAGCTGTTTACTTTTGTGCTATTTGGTTTAACTGAATTGGCATTTTGCAGTATTTGTGTATCTTTCTTCTTTGCTACCTGTTAAGTTTTTTGCTCTCTCAGCATACCCTTTCTGTTTTTTGGGGGGACGGGGTCTTACTCTGTCGCTAAGGCTGGAGTGCAGTGGCGCTATCTCGGCTTACTGCAACCTCCACTTTCCAGGCTCAAGCACTTCTCCTGCCTCAGTCTATTGAGTAGCTGGGACTACAGGTGCCCGCCACCACGCCCGGCTAATTTTTGTATTTTTTGTAGAGATGGGGTTTCACCATGTTGCCCAGGCTGGTCTTGAACTCCTGATCTCAGGTGATCTGCCCGCCTTGGCATCCCAAAGTGCTGGGATTACAGGCGTGAGCTGCTGTGCCTGGCCAGTATACCCTTCCTTTAAATCCCTGTGGACCAGAAAAATAAATGAACAAGCATATACCTGAAATCATAGAATAGTGTTTGCTCTTCCAGTTCCCTCTGCTTGAGATGCTCTTTTCCTGGATCCTCTTACTTAATTTAGTTATCCCCTTCAGTTCTGCTCAAATGACTCCTTCTTAGTGAGGCCTTCTTTAACTACCCTTCTAAAGATTGCAACACTCCTGCCCCTGTACTTCAGATGCCCCTTTCCTTTCATAGTACTTATTACCTTCTAACAAGCCTTATAATTTACACATTTAATATGTGCATTGATTATAAGTCCCACGAAGATAGGGATCTTGTGGGTGTGTGTGTGTACTGCTATTTCCAATCGGGAGCATTGGAATGGTGCTGGGTATATAGTAGCCTCTCAGGACCTTCTCAGGCTGTGCTACTCATAACTAACATCCCATGGGTGAAGTGTCACATTGTTCTATGTGATGCCCTCTTTAGTAAAAATCCTCTGCCTCTGCCTTCTCAACCCCACCCTGGCGCTCACCTGAGATCCCCAGCAGAAGGAGCAGCGTGAAGGCACAGCCAGCAGGGCCCATGTCTCTGTCCTCAGAGCCAGTGAGCGCTTCCTGCTTCCTGGACTCAGGCTCCCAGGAAGAGGCCAATGGGGAGCTGCCAGAACTAGCTTCTCCTAGATGGATTCCTCTGCTTCACCCCCTCCTCTCCTTTGGTCTTCACCCGCTGCCAGATCCTGAAGGGACCAGACTTCAGAAGTGCAGCTGCAGGACCCAGGGGAGGAACTGGGGTCTGTGGCGCCCCCTGCTGTCCTGGGAGAGCAGGGTTTCTGGGGTTTCTGCCTGTGGTGTTGAGGAGTGGCTGGTTGAGGGCACTGGAAGAAACAGGACCCTGTCTCTAGCAAGGAGATAGAAGGTGGACAGGATTCTCCAAAAGCAAGAAATGGAAAAGAGGAAATGAACCCAGTATCTGGTTAATTTTTCTGAGTTTTTTTGTTTGTTTGTTTTCATTTCTGTTACAGTGTTAGCTGCACTGCAAGTCAAGTTTCCTGGGAAACAGACTCTAAGACAGAGATTTGTGTGCAGGAAATTTATTTTAGAGTGGTCTCAGGATCAGCAGCTCTTGGGTGGGTAGTAGGATTGGTTAGAGGGAGAGTTGAACTGTGATGCGTTTGCAACAGAGGCCACAGCCTATCTCACAAGTTTCTCTGGAGCTGAGGTGGCCCTCAGAGACTTTCTGTACTGAGCTAAGAAGGATGCGTTCTTAGGGGTCTGCATCATTGGATGCAGGCCACCTCCTAGGAGGGGGCATTACCTTGGGTGAGGTGGCTCTGTTGGCAGTTCTTGGAATAAGACTTAGCTGTGAACTGTCAGCAGCCAACACTCCTAGCTGCTAAGGGAATGAATGCTTCAGTTCTAAAGGGGGGTCTGGATGGTACACCACAACATCTACCTCAGAAATCTTCACTCTGCCTTTTGTTTTCTGTGCCAATTGTTTGTAGGGTGCTAGGTCTGTGGAGGCAGAATTCAATGAACTATTAAAATGTTACTGCTCTCTTGCAACTTAAAATATTGGGATGCTTGAAAGAAACATATAAGCAGTTTAAAACTAATAGGCCAGGCACGGTGGCTCATGCCTGTAATCCCAGCACTTTGGGAGGCCGAGGCGGGTGGATCACCTGAGGTCAGGAGTTTGAGACCATCCTGGCCAACATGGTGAAATCCCGTCTCTACTAAAAATACAAAAATTAGCTGGGTGTAGTGGCGTGCACCTGTAGTCACAGCTACTCGGGAGGCTGAGGCAGGAGAATCGCTTGAACCCGGGAGGCGGAGGTTGCAGTGAGCCAAGATGGCGCCACTGCACTCCAGCCTGGGCGACAGAGCGAGACTCCGTCTAAAAAAAAAAAAATAATAATAATAATAATAATAATAGAAGTGGCTGGGCGTGGTAGCTTACGCCTATTATCCCAGCACTTTGAAAGGCTGAACGGGGAGGATCCCTTGAGACCAGGAGTTTGAGATCAGCCTGGGCAATACAGTGAGACCCTATATCTACAAAAATTTAAAAATTAGCCTGGTGTAGTGATGTGCACCTGAAGTCCCCAGCTACTCGGGAGGCTGAGGCAGGAGGATCACTTGAAGTCAGTAGTTCAAGGCTACATGAGCTATGACTGTACCACTGTGCTCCAGCTTGGGCGACGGAAAGAACCTGTCTCAAATAATAATGGAAGACCAGAAAATGTAGATATTTTGGTAAGAACTATTCAGTTACAGGCAACTGAGGCTCACTTAAGCTAGCTTAAATCAAGAGGAGATTATTTTAAAGCTATTGTTTTGAGCTGAATTATGTCTCCTCAAAAATGTATCTTGAGGCTGGGCATGGTGGCTCACGCCTGTAATCCCAGCACTCTGGGAGGCCGAGGCGGGTGGGTCACGAGGTCAGGAGATCGAGACCATCCTGGCTAACACAGTGAAAACCCGTCTCTACTAAAAAATACAAAAAATTAGCCGGGTGTAGTGGCGAGTGCCTGTAGTCCCAGCCACTTGGGAGGCTGAGGCAGGAGAATGGCGTGAACCCTGGAGGCAGAGCTTGCAGTGAGCCGAGATCGCGCCACTGCACTCCAGCCTGGGCGACAGAGCAAGATTCCGTCTCAAAAAAAAAAAAACGTATCTTGAAGTCCTAACCGCACTTCCATACTTCAGAGTATGACAATATTTGGAGATAAGGTCTTTAAAGAGGTAATTATATTAAAAAGAGGTCATTAGGTTGGGTTCTAATCTCATATGAGTGATGTCCTTAGAAGAGGAAATGTCATGTACGTGACATCTATAGAGGGAGAAGACAGCTATTTACAAGCCTAGGGTGCCTGAAACAAATCCTTCCCTCATGGCCCTCAGAAAGAACCAGCCATGCTGATACCTTGATCTTGGACTTCCAGCCTCCAGAACTGTGAGGAAATAAATTTCTGTTGGTTAAGTTCGTCTAGTCTGTGGTACTTTGTTACAGCAGCCCTAGCAAACTTATGTAGATGTCTATGGAATAATAAGAACAGGATAACAGGGACACCTGGAGCTGCCATAGGACAACCCTGAAGACCAGAGCTGGAAAGGAGCTCTGGATTCATGACAGCTTAAGAGCTCATAGCAGGATCTTCTCTCTGGTTCTCTGCTATTAATATGGCTCAACCGAATTCCATGTCATTTCTTTCTGTCCTACTATAAACTGCTCAAGTTGTTCCCTATTTTCAGTTCAGACTCCCAAGACGTCTTATTTGGCACAGATTATCTTTTCTAACCAGGATATAGGTTCATGGCCATGGATTAACTGTCCTTGGGGTAAGTACCCTCATATGGGAAGGTGAGAAGATGGGGATGCAGAAATATGGCCAGCTCAGTTGCAGGGGCTATTGTGGCAGGGCAGATGCCAGGTTTGCTATATCTCAGTAAAGTAGCATAAAGATGTTTACCTCTTTAAATACATTTTAAAAGATTTTAGAAGTGAACACGTGAAAAAAATCTCTCCATTTGCTTTTTTAAGCAAACACTGCAACACCATGAATTTTTACCAAATTTATGTTTTTAAAATTCATTTGTTTTCATTTGTGTCTGCTTGATGGGGATGAAAATCTACTACTACTATTACATTTGTGATAGTTTCTGAATACATTTTTAATGGTTCTTGTTTTGTGTATCCAATTTTGTTTTTGTGGTTTATGCATTCACTCTGGTTTTCTGCTACTCACTGATTTTATCATTATACAATGACTCTTAGTATTTTTCATCTTAATTTTTTCTGAAATTAACATTACAACCGGCAGTTTTCTCCAGCTCGTTTCATTGAAGAAAAAGATTTCTTATTCATAGCACAACCATCTTTGTGAATATTCCAATTAATTTATGGTATTCACAGACAATTTTAGCTATTGAGTTAACTCACTTAATATAGTTCTTTTAAAAGGTCAGACCTCAGTTTGAGATTTGCCTTCTGATCATGTTTAGAGTAAAGGTAGCTTATTATTCATTTTGCAGAGACCTGAAAGCTTTGGACAGATCTTTCTGTTGACTTACCACAGGAGCAAAAAACTTGACCAGAGAGTCCTTTCCCTCTGAGGATTTTGTGGTTGTCCCAGGTCTTTGGACTTCTTTTTTTTTTTTTTTTTTTTTTTTTGAGATGGAGTCTCGCTCTGTCGCCCAGGCTGGAGTGCAGTGGCGTAATCTCGGCTCACTGCAACCTCCGCCTCCGAGGTTCAAGCGATTCACCTGCCTCAGCCTCCCGAGTAGCTGGGACTACAGGCGCCCACCACCACGCCCAGCTAATTTTTTGTATTTTTAGTAGAGACGGGTTTTCACCATGTTAGCCAGGATGGTCTCAAACTCCTGACCTCGTGATCCACCCGCCTCGGCCTCCCAAAGTGCTGGGATTACAGGTGTGAGCTACCGTGCCTGGCTGGACTTTTATTAATACATCACTGGACAAATCGGAAGTACTGGCTTATACCCTTTATATGTTAGTTGGATTGCTCACAGAATCTCTCCTCTCCTTTGTTTAAATGTTTTGTAAATAGATATTTCAGTTTTGGTATCTGTTAAATTTAGTTGGAAATAAACTCTACATCAGTTACTGATGTAACTAAGGCACCAGTACTTTATTTTGAAAATTGGAAGGTAAAAGGAAAGAATTAAATAGTTATCCTAGTTTTCCTGTATAAAGTGTAATTCAGAGTATCAAAATAGGTTTAGTTGGTGAGAGAAGAATTCCAACTAATAAATGTAGTTGGACCAGCAGCATTAGAAAATCACCACTTACAGCCCCTCATGTAATAATTGATTCAAGGAATGACTATCAAGTCTTTAGATGAAAAGTTGATAAGAGAGCTGAGGCTGTTACCATTTGAACCCTCTGATCACTCTTAGCATCACTAAAAGTGGGACAAGGCAGACATGTGCCTCCTGATGTTACCCCCTATGAAGTATCCTTGTTAAAAAAAAAAAAAGAAAAGTGAAACCTGAATCTCTAAAGCTACTTTCACTTGCAGCAAATATAAGGGATAAAGGAGTAAGTCAGATTACAACTTAAGGAAGTAGATAGACAAATCCAGAATGTAGGACATTTTACAAAGCAGCTGACCCAGTTACTGTTGTAAGTCCATGTTGTGAAGGTAAAAAAGGGAGAGAGACTGCTCTAGATTATGACACTTAAGAGACATAAGTGTGTTTGGATCCTGATTTAACAAACCAGTTTATTGTTAATCTTGACAGGTGTGATAATGGCATTTAGCTTTGTAAGAAAATATCTATTCCTAAAGACAAAGGTGGGACCCTCTTAACCCTTTCTAAATCTAAGCTAAAATGATGTATCATTTTGGAGAAAGTTCCTCTGGTTTTCAGCCCACAGTGCTATTCTTTCGTTTTCATGGGTATGGCTGTATTACCTTATTACCTTAAGCAAGTCATCTTTTCCCTAAGGCTTTTATTTTCCCATTGTACCATGAAGGTGCTGGAATCAGTTGATGATCTCAAAGATTAAATTATGCATTGCTTGTTTATCACCGTATTTTATCTATTTATCTTTGCCTTTTGCCTACATTATCTGTCTATAAATAGTTTCTTCCTTTTTATTCAGTAATCAAGAAACATGTTGGATCTGCCATTTTACTGCTTCACTGGCTCTTATAAGGAAGTGCCAAAGAGTTGGAAGCAAGAGAGTGGGTTCTTAATGCTCACCCCAAGGACTTTCCTGAACACAGCTCTTACAGTTTCTTCCTCTCTCATCGTGCCGTGTCTTCAGGTCTTAGATTATCTGTCCCCAGATTATTACCCTATGCCATCATTAACGTTATCTTTAAATACCTCTGCCATACACAATAAATATAATAATAATTGCTGCAAAATAGGAATAATAATATCCCACAAGATTTTCATAAGAAATGAGATATTATAGAGTTAATACTTAGCTTGGGTTTGGCCTATTTAGCATGTGATAATTAATGGCAGCTGTTATTTTTATTATTGTTGTTATTGAACTCATTTCTCAGCTTTAAGTATTTAATTCTACCCAAACAGTTTATCTTGGTGATGGCTTGGATTGATGTTGATGGTACCTATTGACCAGGGCTTCTCAACCTTGGCACTATTGACATTTTGGGCCAGATGATTCTTTGTTGTGGGGTAGCTAGCCTGTTCATTGCAGGATATTAAGCAGCATCCCTAATCTCTACCTATTAAATGCCAGTAATACCTACTACACCTAGTTGTGACAACCAAAAATATCCCCAGACATTGCCAAATGTCCCCTGGGAGAACCACTGCTGTAAAGCAAAGATGCTACTTCAAGAATTCAGTCTTCTTTTGAGCACCCTGAGGATAAAACAGGGAAAACAATAGATTTGCAAGTTTTGTAGCTTTTTATCTGTATTAACAGAAAGGGCAAATGGACACCATTGTCTGTTTTCTAATTCAACCCATCAATCAGTCTACTATATTGGAAAATGAATAGCTCTCCTTATAAAACAGTCTCCTAAAGAATATCTGAGGCCACGCATAGTGGCTCATGCCTATAATCCTAGGCCTTTGGGGGGTCAAAGTGAAAGGATTGCTTGAGCTTAGGAATTCAAGACCAGCCTGGACAACATAATGAGACCCCCATCTCTACAGAAAAATTAAAAAATTAGCCAGGCGGGGTGTTGCATGTTTGTAGTCCCAGTTACTCAGGAGGCTGAGGTGGGAGGATTGCTTGAACTTGAGAGGTTGAGACTGCAGTGGGCTATGATTGGGACACTACACTCCAGCCTGGGTGACAGAGTTGAGACCCTGTCTCAAAAAAAAGAATAATTGACTTCTCTAGTACGTGTATATCAGGCCTTGGCTTTTGCCTTTGTGTACTAAAAGGTCCAGTCTAGTTTTAGTTTTTGAACTTGGACAAGAAATTTTTTGTGAAGCTTTTGTTTCACAAATCAGTAAGTGCTAGAATTAGTCCATATACAGTCATGTGCCTCATAATGACATTTCAGACCACTTATACTAGGTTGGTTCCATAAGATTATAATGGAGCTGACAAATTCCTATTGCCTAGTGACATTAGAGCTGTAGGGCAATGCATTACTCAAGTGTTCATGGTGGTGCTGTTATAAACCTACTGACTGCCAGTTGTATAAAAGCATAACATATACAATTACATACAGTACATATGTGGCAGGCCATTCTTCTATTGCTGTAAAGAAATACCTGAGACTGAGTAATTTATAAAGAAAGAGCTTTAATTGGCTCATGGTTCTGCAGGCTGCACAGGAGGCATAGCGGCATCTGCTTCTGAGAAGGCCTCAAGAAGCTTCCAATCATGGAAGAAGGCAAAGGGTGAGCAGGCACATCACATGGTGAAAGCAAGAGAGAGAGTGGGGAGGTGCCATACACTTAATGAACAGAAGTCACACACTATTTTGAGGATAGTACCAAGAGGATGGTAATAAACCATTCAGGAGAAACTCACCCCTGTGATCCAATCACCTCCCACCAGGCCCCACCTCCAACATTGGGGATTACAATTCAACATGAGATTTGAGTGGGGTCAGCATCCAAACTATATCAACATAATACCTGATAATGATAATAAATGAGTATGTTACTTCTTTATGTATTTATTATGCTATACTTTTAATCATTATTTTACAGTGTACCCTGTCTACTTTAAAAAAAAAAAAAGTTAACTGCAAAACAGCTTTAGGCAGGTCTGTCAGGAAGTATTCTGCAAAAGGCATTGTTATCATAGTAGATGACAGCTCCATACATGTTATTGCCCCTGAACACCTTCCAGTGGGACAAGATGTGGAGGTGGAAGACAGTGATACTGATGATCCTGACCCTGTGTAGGCCTAGGCTAATGTGTGTGCTTGTGTCTTAGTTTTTTTGTTTTTGTTTTTTTTTAAAGAAAAGCTTAAAAGGTAAAAATAAAAAATTTTTAAAAAGAGAAAAAAGCATATAGAATAAGGATACAAGGAAAGAAAATATTTTTGTACAACTATACAATGTGTTTGTGTTTTAAGCTAAGTGTTATTAGGAGAGTCAAAAGTTCTTAAAAATCAAAATGTTTATAAAGTAAAAAAGTTATAGTAAGCAGAGATTAATTTATTATTAAAGAAAACTTTTAAAAATACACTTAGATGGATTAAAGACTTAAACATTAGACCCAAAACCATAAAAACCCTAGAAGAAAAGCTAGGCATTACAATTCAGGACATAGGCATGGGCAAGGACTTCATGTCTAAAATATCAAAAGCAATGGCAACAAAAGCCAAAATTGACAAATGGGATCTAACTAAACTCAAGAGCTTCTGCACAGCAAAAGAAACTACCATCAGAGTGAACAGGCAACCTACAAAATGGGAGAAAATTTTCGCAACCTACTCATCTGACAAAGGGCTAATATCCAGAATCTACAATGAACTCAAACAAATTTACAAGAAAAAAAACAAACAACCCCATCAAAAAGTGGGCAAAGGACATGAACAGACACTTTTCAAAAGAAGACATTTATGCAGCCAAAAAACACATGAAAAAATGCTCACCATCACTGGCCATCAGAGAAATGCAAATCAAAACCACAATGAGATACCATCTCACATCAGTTAGAATGGCAATCATTAGAAAGTCAGGAAACAACAGGTGCTGGAGAGGATGTGGAGAAATAGGAACACTTTTCCACTGTTGGTGGGACTGTAAACTAGTTCAACCATTGTGGAAGTCAGTATGGCAATTCCTCAGGGATCTAGAACTAGAAATACCATTTGACCCAGCCATCCCATTACTGGGTATATACCCAAAGGACTATAAACCATGCTGCTATAAAGACACATGCACACATATGTTTATTGTGGCACTATTCTCAATAGCAAAGACTTGGAACCAACCCAAATGTCCAACAATGATAGACTGGATTAAGAAAATGTGGCACATATACACCATGGAATATTATGCAGCCATAAAAAATGATGAGTTCATGTCCTTTGTAGGGACATGGATGAAATTGGAAATCATCATTCTCAGTAAACTATCGCAAGAACAAAAAACCAAACACCGCATATTCTCACTCATAGGTGGGAATTGAACAATGAGAACACATGGACACAGGAAGGGGAACATCACACTCTGGGGACTGTTGTGGGGTGGGGGGAGGGGGAGGGATAGCATTAGGAGATATACCTAATGCTAAATGACGAGTTAATGGGTGCAGCACACCAGCATGGCACATGTATACATATGTAACTAACCTGCACATTGTGCACATGTACCCTAAAACTTAAAGTATAATAATAATAAAAAAATACACTTAGTGTAGCCTAAGCGTACAGTGTTTATAAAGTCTACAGTAGTGTACTATCATGTCCTAGGCGTTCACATTCACTCACTGCTCACTCACTGACTCATCCAGAGCAACTTCTATTCCCGCAAGCTCCATTCACAGTAAGTGCCCTATATAGGTGTACCAGTTTTTATCTTTTATAATATATTTTTACTGTACCTTTTCTATGTTTAGATACATAAATACGTCCCATTGTGTTATAGTTGCCTACAGTGTTCAGTACAGTAACTTGCTGCACAGGTTTGTAGCCTATGAGCAATAGACTATAGCATGTAACCTAGGTGTGTAGTTGGCTGTATCACTGAGTTTTGTGTCATTTCACTCTACGATGTTCACACAATGACGAAATCACCTAATGACACATTTCTCAGGACGGATCTCCATCATTAAGCAACATGTCATGTACTTAGCATCTGTTATGTCAGGGCCAAGCCTTGGACAACCTTTCACAGACAATCTTCTTTCTCTTCCTGGCTGTTTGCTTTATTGACCAGTCTACAGGTTTCCCTGGACTGCACTCATCTCCTCCACAGGGACTAATCTTTCTCTGAGCACCATCCTACTTGCTTGAAACACTAATGCCCTTTAAAACCAGTCCCCCTTTACAGGGGGGACTGGTTATTTTGATCACCAACTAATGCACCTGTTCTTTTGGTCACTAACAAAATACATTTCCCTTTTTATGTTTATTCACTTCTCATACTAAAGGAATTCTTCCCTATTTTTTTGACAGCTGGCTTTCTATAGTCTATAGTTCTCATTTTGTTAATTGAAAAAAACAAGATTTGATACTTTGTTTGCAGGATACTACGTGTTGTTAGAAGGTCAAAAAGATGAATAGGACATTAGTTAATTTTCTCAAGTCTGTTTTTATCTATTCAGAAGGAAAAATAAAAGCTATGTTCACTCAAGGAACTACAAATAGAGATAAGAAGTACAAGAGGTACAAATAACTAGGGCCAAAGGGCAAGTGTTATTTTGGTGTAATGTAAGGAAAAACCTTATAGCTTTCCAACAATGAACGGAGGTAATTTGGTATAGTGGAAAGAGCCTTTTTTTTTTTCTTTGACAACAGGGTCTTGCTCTGTCGCCCAGGCTAGAGTGTAGTGGCGCAATCACAGCTCACTGTAGCCTTGACCTCCCAGGCTTAATCAATCCTCCCACCTCAGCCTCATGAGTAGCTGGGACTACAGGCACGTGCCACTATGCTAGACTAATTTATTTTATTTATTTTTTTTTTTTTTTAGAGAGAGACTGAGTCTCACCATGTTGCCCAGGATTGTTGCAAACTCCTGGCCTCAAATCATCCTTCCACCTCGGCCTCCAGAAGTGCTGGGATTACAGGCGTGAGCCACCACACCCAGCTGAAAAAGCCATATTTTTGAAGTCTGACAGCCCTGGCTAGATCTGTTAAATTAAATATTAGCTGTTTAGTCTTAGGCAGATTACTTAGCCTCTTTGAACCTCAGTTTTGTGTGTTTTTATTTCATTTGTAAACGGGGCTAAATAGTACCTTCTTGAGTTGTTAAGACAAAATAAGATAATATTTAAAGTGACCAGCATAGTACTTAACACAGAGGAGTCATAAAGTAAATATGAGTTTCTGCCATTGTTAGGAAATGAGATAGATATGTCATGTTATCCAGAGAATTCACTTAGGCAGGTCTTCCATAAGCAACATGACTTGACTCAAGTAATCTCAATCTAGTCTCTGGGTTCTTAGCTTTTTAACTTCTGGACTTCAGGCCTTGTCAGAGCACCTAGAAGAGATCAAATTCAAGGGACTGACTCACTAAACTCTGAGGCTTATGTATGAACCAGAATATTTATTCTCACTAAGGGCTATTCATTTCCATTATTCGGAATTTTCACTTTTCCCAACCAGGGCACCTCTTCTTCATATGAGTCGAGCAACTAAATGTGTTGTGGTTTAAAGAGGTTTACAATGAGAACAAATGGAGGTAGCTAATCTCCATGAGCATTTCACTTACAAAGATGAAATAGCTCATCTTTACAAAAACTGAAAGACCACTTTTCTATAACAGAACATGTTTTTCTTTAAATTTAAAGTTTATATTCATTAGACTCAGGGTCTTTCTCCCTTAACAGCTTAGAATCTGATGAACACATATAGTTAACGGACTTTTCCCTTCTTAGATTCCATGCTGACTATCCTCCGTCTTAATCCTGGTTTTCTTCAACCAGTGCATAATACTGTTGATTAGATTTAAACTTTCATCGGTACGATCTCATTCCTAGTACGTTGCCTTAAGATTATACCCAAGTCTCCAAGATTACCTTCTTCCTAAAACATGAGGTGTGTATTTACTAAAATCTTTTAGGTTTGTCCTACATGTAACTATCTCATCCATTATGTGTGTTATTTTACTTGTTAACTTTCAGTTTTAGATGATTCTTGTGGGCAAGGGGTGGGCAATACTGTGTAGTGAAAATAGTTCCCATTCCCTCATTCCCAACAATGAATAATTTTCCAAAGCTGCTGTAATAAGTATAAGGGGGCCAGGCGCTGTGGCTCACACCTGTAATCCCAGTACTTTGGAAGGCTGAGGCGGGTGGATCGCTTGAGGTCAGGAGTTCATTACCAACCTGGGCAAGGGCAACATGGAGAAACCCCATGTCTCTACAAAAAATATAAAAATTAGCTGGGTGTGGTGGTGCACACTTGTAATCCTAGCTACTCCGGAGGCTGAGGCATGAGAATTGCTTGAACCTGGGAGGTGGAGGTTGCAGTGAGCTGAGATTGTGCCACTATACTCCAGCCTGGGTGACACAGCAAGACTCTGTCTTTAAAAAAAAAAAAAAAAAAAAAAAAGAAAAGAAATAAAATAAATATAAGGATTAATTGATCATTCTATTAAAAAGCAAACTTATGCCTTGAGCTTGGAGTAGTATCGGATAATTTGTAAAGTGCCTTCCAACTGTTATATTTTGTGATTTTATAACCTCCTTTTATCTCCTTCTATTTTTTGGCTCCACTATCTAGATCCATCATCTTCTCTCACATTCTATCCTCTTTTTTTTTTTTTCAACTGATTTAGCATCCCACATGTGTAGTGAGTTTACCTTTTCTTTTGCTGAAGCATTTTCCACAGTGTCAAGTATGCCTTGTTTGAAATTCTGTGGTGTTGTCATCTGCAAAAATTCTAACAAGATGTTACTGACATAAACAGTATGCCTTTGAGAATAAATTGTAATCATTCTTTATCCTGCTTATAATTTGATAATTTTTGCATTTGGGAATTTGTTTTTTTCTGAATTCTTTTTTTATATGTATGGAAAGCTTTTTAATGGCCCACATTTAATTAATTTATTATTATGTAATTACCTTTTGTGATTATTTATGAAAATTATCATTTTTAAACAATGATTTTATTAGCATTCAATTAGAATGAGGAATATTCACTTTGCAGTTGTTCATTCCACTGTCTTGCCAAAACTCCTTCCTTATTTTTTATTCTTTATTCATCAAGTAATGTAGAGCATTGTGTCTATTATTGTATTTTAATCCGCATCCTATGAAATCCAACTCAGCTCTGGTCAGCATCAGATCCCATGTTTTTAACCATTCTTTGTATATCAGAAAAAAAGGAAAAAAAGAAAATAAGGCAGCATATTTTTCATATGAAACATGTTCTTAGACTACTCTGATTGTCTACAGGATGTTACATTTTGGAAATATCTCTAGTAAACACCTTCATTAACACCAACACACCTGAGAACACAACTATAAAATTTAATCCATGACTACTAAACACAGTCAGCCTTAGCTTCTCAGGCTCTCATTCCAGACTCTTCCTGTACTCTCTGTTTGTGAAGACAGCCTTCAAGATGGCCTCCAATGATCTTCAGCTCCTGATATTCACACCTTGTTGACTTACTACTAAAGAATAGAATACTATAAGAAATAATGAGATGTTAGGGTTTTTTTTTTGTTTGGTTTTTTTTTTTTTTTTTGAGACAGAGTCTCACTCTGTTGCCCAGGCTGGAGAGCAGTGACGGGATGTTGGCTCACCCCCAGCTCCCAGGTTCAAGCGATTCTCCCCCTACCTCAGCCTCCCGGGTGGCTGGGATTACAGGCGCCCACCACCATGCCCGGCTAATTTTTGTATTTTTAATAGAGACAACGTTTCACCATGTTGGCCAGGCTGGTCTTGAACTCCTGACCTCAGGTGATCTGCCCACCTCAGCCTCCCAAAGCTGGGATTACAGACGTGAGTGAGCCACTACACCCAGCTGAGTTGTCAGTTTTGAGATTAGGTTATAAAAAGACTGTGGCTGGCCAGGCATGGTTGCCCATGCCTGTAATCTCAGTACTTTGGGAGACGAAGGCAGGAGGATCACTTGAGCTCAGGAGTTCAAGACCACCCTGGGCAACATGACAAGACTTTGTCTCCACAAAAATTTTAAAATAGCTCAGAGTGGTGGTGTGTACCTGTGGTCTCAGCTACTCAGGAGGCTGAAGTGGGGAGGATCACTTGAGCCCAGGTGGTCGAGGCTGCAGTGAGCTGTGTTTATACCACCACACTCCAGCCTGGGCCGCAGAGTGAGACTTTGTCCAAAACAACAACAACAACAACAACAACAACAACAAAAACTGTAGCTTCCATTTTGGGTGTTCTCTATTGCTCTGTCTTGGATCATTCACTCTGGGAGAAGCCAGCTGCCAAAGGCATTCCTTCAGCGAGGCCCACATGAATGGTAACAGGCACATGAGTGAGCTTGGAAGCTGATCCTTTCCTAGTTGAGCCTTGATGACTGCAGCTGTGGCTGACACAGCAGTAGCTTTTTGAAAGATCCTAAACCATAACTAACCAGCTAAGTCTTCCAGATAACTGTCCTGCAGAAACTATGAGATAATAAATGTTCATTGTTTTAGCTACTGAGTGTTGGGGTTATTTGTTGTACTGCAATAGATAACTAATATACTGCCGGGGCTCCTCCTCCGGCCTGGCCCGTTTTATCTGAAATCTTCTAATCTTCCAAGTCCCTACTTTTTCCTCAGAATCCAGTCTAATCCCAGGGTTGGATGGTTTTCATCTTGGATTAAGTAAGTGGCAAACTAACCTCTGGACCCCAGCATCTTCACCTATAGAATGTGTTGGGCTAAGTGATGTCCAGATTCCTTTAACCCTCAAGTTCTCTGCTTCTGCACTTCCCCAGGCTCTGTCTTCAATTTCATCAAAAGAATGAATATAAGAACTAATTTGTTAGAATCAACCAAATTTTATTCACTCTGGGGATCTTGTTTACTAGGCTGACTTGTGCGGGGGAAAGGCAACAAGCAAATTAGGCTTATGGGACAGCAGAACTGCGTCTGTCTTGCTGACTCTTCAAAATCTGTCTTCAGAATCCTCAACTCTGGAATTTCCTTTTTCTCTCATTCTCAACTGTCACTTTACCCAGGGCATACTGACCTCAGCCAGTTAAGGTGGCCTCAGGAAAATCAGAGGCAGAAGCATAATAGGCAGGAGCCCAGAGAGGCCCAGACTGAGGGTAGCAGAAAACTCAGCAAGCGAGATGGGAGACTTCTCAATCCAAGACTTGTAGAAATGGATGTTTGTGTATATTCCAGGCCCACTGGTTTGGATGCAGTTTGATCCCTGGCTTACCACTCCTGCCAGGACCTAGAAATCTTCAACTTGACACATCACGGGATCTCATCTACTGCCCAGAGAGAGAGAGAGAGAGAGAGAGAGAGAGAGAGAAGAATGTTGGCTAGACAGTACATAGAGCAAAGGGAAGGAGGTGAAACTCTTCAACAGTTTAGCCAAGAACTGTACAGTTAGGCCTGTCCAGACACTCCTGGGTTCACCCAGGGTCTCTGAAGATATGAGAAGTGGAGGAAGCACACTGGGGAAGGCAAGGCCTGTGAAAGGTGCCTGAGGGGTGGATTCTTACAGTACACTGATCCATCTGCCCCACTGGGAGCTTGGAGCAGATCATAGCTTCACTGATGATGAGCTCAACTCCGTGCAGCAAGATTTCATTTTGATAGTGGTCACCGCATGTCTGGAGATCAATGAGGGGCACTTTCAGCTCCTTCAGTGTATAAGAACGCTTGATATCTGTAGGGCCAAAAAGAGTCAAAGCTGTCTTAATTAAAAAGTGACTTCTGGCCATGGATACAGATTTTGTGCCTTTGATTTTCAGATAAAGCTCTAATTTCAAATATTCTGCCCCATGTTAGATAGCATCCTGATTTCTGGTTTGGGAAACAACCTAAAGGCTGAGCTCCCTGGCGCTGAACAAGACCGTGGGCAGTTGGCTCCTGTTCACATAGCACAAATTAGTAACAGAAAAATCTTGTAATTTAGGAAAACCCAAAACAGAATGCGGATTTAAGTTGTCTTCAGAATATGTATTTATTTTTCTATAGAAATAAGGGGTAGATCTAGTAAGAAGAATTACCCAGAAATGAAGCTGTACTCTCCTAGCTAGTTTGAGTCAGGAACTTTTGCTGAGTGTCCTTACTTTCCTGAACACATCTTCATGTCTCCTTCCCCTATCCACCTACCCACACACACTCCACCCAGGTATGGAGGGAAAACTATATTACTTCTCAGACTGAACAGAACTATCCTATCTCTAAATTCATTACTCTGTCCTTTTTACTTTTAAGGTCTCAGCACTATTGCTAAACAAGAACAAAAGCAGGTATCAATAAGCAAAGAGATTATAGCAGAAGAAATATGAAAGAGGCAAAGGGTCACAGAGAATTTGAAGTCTGAAGCACCTCAGATTACTGTAGTATATCTGGTGCTCTAGGGCTAGGATAGAGAGCAGGCAGAGAGAATGTCAGTCGAAGAAGTTAGAACACAGAAAATCAATGTATCCTCACATTGGAATATTCCAGTATAGCCCCATCCAGTCACCCAGCAGGAGGTTGTATTCTTCTTCAGGTAGACTTCAGATGAGGGAAGGCAGATGAGCAGGACAACAGGGCTAACAGAAACTGGGGAGGGCAGTTCTACCACAGCGATGGCACTAGATGTGTTTGCTTGGAAATCAGGGTGGGGGGATAATCTGGGACACAGGTATTATCGTCATTTTGGAGTCTGCACAACCAAAGATCTGAGCCCACCAATACACTGTATTTCCTGGCATCCTTAGACCTGAGAAGAGAAGCAGAAGAGATACCGTGGGTTTCTTGTGACTCTGCCCTGGGTCATCATAGCAGAGCCCATTGTTCTGGATATGGCATTTTTCCTCTAGTTCTTCTGAGGCTTTCATTCCTTCAAAAAGTATTGAGCATCTCCTGGTAGTATAAATGAAATTAAAATAGATACAATCTGGCCGTCACAGGGCTATAATTTTAAGGGGTGTGTAGGGGTGTGTGTGTGTGTTGGGGCAGGGAGAGAGAGACAAGCAACAAACAAGTACAAAATTTAAAATTGTGATAAATGTTATGAAGAAAACACACAATTTTAAAGTAGAGAGTAAAGGAAGCGGGGAGAGTCTTTATTGGATGGTCAGGAAAGGTCTTGTTGAGGTAACTTTTCAACTGAGTCCCAAAAGGAAGAAGTCAGCCTTAAGATCGATAAAAGCATTCCAGACAGGGAATAGAGTATGCAAGGCCTTGAGGGTGAGAAAGAGCTTGGCAGTCTCCAGGAACTGAAAGAAAAGCTGGAGAATAGGATGAGGTTGGAAAAGTGGGCAGACACCTGGTGATTCATGGCTTGTAGGCCACAATGTGTCATTTGGGTTTTATTATAGGTGCCTGGGCAACCGCTGGGGGATTCAAAGCAGGGAGTGATGTTATCTCACCTCTAACTTTAAAAAGTCATTTTTTGGTGTGTATTGAAGGTAGTAAAACCTATTATACTATTGCAAAGGTCCAGGGGTAGCTATGTTAGAGTCAAAGTATATTTTGGAAGTAAAACTGACAAGAATGGTATATGCATTGCATGTGGAAGGTGAGGGAAAGTGAGATACAATATTTGTCTTGAGTAACTGGTTACATTGGTGAATGAAATGGGGAAGGCAGAGAGAGAAAAAGATTGGGGGACAGTGATGGTGGTAAAATTACCTTTTCTGACCATGTTACCCTTGAGATGCCAAATAGAAGTGCATCAGGACTAGTGTTTGGGGCTAGAGATGCAAGTGCGAGTGTTATCAGCAAATATATGACATTTAAACCAAGGGAAATGGAAGAGGGTGGATAATGAGAAATTACTTAATGGGTACAATGTACATTATTTGGGTGATGGATACCTTAAGAGCTCTGACATCACTGCTATGCAGTCTAGGCATATAACAGAAATTATACTTGTACTCCATAAATGCATACAAATAAAATAAAAATATTTTAAAATAAGAGGCAAGTGTAAGCACACTTTCTTTCAAAAAGGAAAAAAACAAAGATGGATGAGTTAACTTAGGGGTAGTGAAGAAGGCTCAGGATTGTGCCTCTGAAGAGTGGTATGAGGTGTAGGCATGCTGCTGTAAGGGAAGGAGCCCTTCCTGGGGGATGTCTCCTGGGTAGAGGCTTCGAATTGAGGAATGGGGTGGGAGAATGTAACTATTTTTAGGTAGTCATTTCAATCAAGATAATGTTAAATTTGAAGAAGCCTGAAGTCTGAGAGTAGTTGCACTGAACTGAGAGCTAGAGTAGGAAGTATTTGAACCCATTAATAACGCACAACATAGTGTATTGGGCAGTGCACGATAAGCCCCACCCCGGCCTCTCAGGCGGTGCAGTCACCCAGGTGCCCTGATGGGTCTCCACACAGCAGGGCCAGCACTCACGGGAAGCAGATCGCCACTGTCAGCACCCACTCCTCTGAGATGAGGGTATCTGAGCAGACGTGAATCAAGCCCTGGCGGATGCTGACCTGCCAGGGCCACTGCCCCACACTAGCCCCCCAGCCTGAGGCAATACCAGATGAGACTGTGGGCCGCCCACAGACTGCCAACAAAGGGCAAGAAGACTTGGAGGGATGCAGCCTGGAATCCTGCCCCTCCACCCTCACCCCTCCATGGTCATTTCCCAAACTCAGGTCCTCTTTCCTCCTTACACAGATTCCCTTCCCTCAGTCCATCCAGGCATGCTGCCTCTGCCTGAAGTGTCTTACTTGACTTCAAGAGATTCTCTGGTTCATCCTCATTTGTCAGTTTTGGAAGTAAAACTGACAAGAATGGTATGTGCATTGGATGTGGAAGGTGAGGGGAAGTGAGGTACAATATTTGTCTTGAGTAACTGGTTATATTGTTGAATGAAATGGGGAAGACAGAGTGAGACAAGGTCTCACTCTGTTACCTGGGCTAGAAGTACAGTGGGATGATTATAGCATACTGCAGCCTAGACCTCCTAGTGGGAGAATGGGGAATATGGGAGGCACTCTTGATGGATTCTTGCTGCTACAGAGGGTCCTCACCCATGCCCTGTGCAGCCTTTCCTAGTCTGAAGCCCCTGTCCCTACCTAGGGCTTACCCCATTCTGGGGGCTCACCCGAAATCCCCAGCAGAAGGAGCAGCGTGAATGCATAGCCAGCAGTGCCCGTGTCTCTGTCCTGAGGGCCAGCACTCCCTGCCCCTGGACTCAGGATCCCAGGGAGAGGCCAGTGGGGAACACCCAGAGAAGGGGGAGCAGAACCATCTCCTCCTAGATGGACTCCTCTGCTTCACCCCCTCCTCTCCTTTGGTCTTCACCCCCTGCCAGATCCTGAAGGGACCAGACTTCAGAAGTGCAGCTCCAGGACCCAAGGGAGGAATTGGGGGGTCTGCGGCGTCCCCTGCTGTCCTGGGAGAGCAGGGTGTCTGGGATTCAGCCTGAGGGTGGGTGATGGGAGGTAAGAAAAAGGGAAGGTTGGAGGTGGGCATTGGAAGGAGCAGGGCTCGCTCAGTGCTTAGTGACCCTGGTGTTGAACAAGTCTAAGTTCACACACTTCCCTCTGCCTAAACTGCCACATCTCAGGGACCTGCCCTGGTGTGCCCATTTAATTCTCCCCTGACCAAAGGTGAACCAATGGAGGGCAGATCCCTGATTTGGGATCTCAAATGGCTGTGCAGACTGGCCACCCTAGGTCCTTGGCCTCTAGAATGGTTCTGACAGGACTGACAGGAGAAAATAAAGGGGAAATAAACCAGTCAGTTTTCTGACCAGTGTTTTCTCTCTTTCCCTTTGTGCCTCAATCATTACCTGCTCTTAGCCTTCCTTAGGTAGCAAATATGTATTAGGTCTGCGTTGTGTTAAGGATATTGTGTTAAATGTGGAACAGGATCTATAGGGAACTGCCTGCCTTCAAGGAGTTTACATCTAGTGGGAGAGAGGTGGAATAAGGAAGTAACTCAGGAGGTTTTTACTTATAATTTATATCCTGTTCATTTGAAAAGGGGGACAAGGGACTATGGAAACTAAACAAGGGACTGTGACATGGGACTATTGACAGAGCATTTGTATGTGTGGCACAGACTATTCAGCCTCATTCCTGGCTCTCCCAAGGACTGGCTTTGTTGGTTGCTTTTTTTATTTTTAGACAGACTCTCACTCTCTTACCTAGGCTAGAAGTACAGTGGCATGATCGTAGCATACTGCAGCCTAGACCTCCCAGGCTCAAGCGATCCTCCCTCCTCAGTCTCTGGAGTAGCTGGGACTACAGGCATGCGCCACCACACCTGGCTAATTTTTTGTAGAGATAGGGTCGTGATATGTTGCCCAGGCTGTTCTCAAACTCCAGGACTCAAGCAATCCTCCCTCCCCAGGCTCCCAAAGCATTAGGATTACAGCCTTGAGCCACCGCACCCAGCCACGGTTACTATTTTTAATAGCATGATGATGATGATGATGATGATTAATAACATAATAATGATGATGAAGAAGAAGAAGAAATAGTTGTTGAGACCCTTTAATATTCCAGGCCCAGTGCCTGGCACAGGAGGGCATCATGTGTACAGTAAAAATGAACAGAGTTAGAAGGGCCATAGAAAAAACTGGGGAAGATTATACTTCCAAAAATCAAGGCTGGGATTATTATAATTATTACAATTGAGTTATCTCCTGGGCATGGTGACTCACTCCTGTAATCCCAGAACTTTGGGAGGCTAAGGCGGGTGGATCACCTGAGGTCAGGAGTTCGAGACTAGCCTGGCCAACATAGTGAAACCCCGTCTCTACTAAAAATACAAAAATTAGCCGGGCATGGTGACACGTGCCTGTAGTCCCAGCTACTTGGGAGGCTGAGGCAGGAGAACTGCTTGAACCCGGGAGGTAGAGGTTGCAGTGAGCCAAGATCATGCCATTGTACTCCAGCCTGGAAAACAGAGCAAGACTTCATCTCAAAAAATAAATAAACAAACAAACAAATAAATAAATAAATAAGAAGAAAAGAAATTAACTAGATTAGGCCAGGAAGGCTCTGTGACTCATGCCTGTAATCTCAACCCAAGGCTGAGGCAGGCAGATCACTTGAAGCCACGAATTCGAGACCAACCTAGCCAAAATGGCAAAAACCCTGTCTCTACTAAGAAAACAAAAATTAGCCAGGGATGGTGGCACATGCCTGTAATCCCAGCTACTTGGGAGGCTGAGGCAGGAGAATCGCTTGAACCCAGGAGGTAGAGGTTGCAGTGAGCTGAGATCAGCACCACTACACTCCAGCCTGGGCAATAGAGCAAGACTCTCTATCAAAATAATAATAATAATAATTAACTTGAAGCTTTCTAGAGGCCAAGCCAAAAAAAAAAAAAAACAACAAAACAAAAGTGTACCATACACCTTATATCATCAGATAATAAGAACAATACTCTTTAGTCAGGAGAAAATTTTTCCCCATTGTAAAAAGCACATTGGTTAACATAATATGCAGTTCTATAGGGGACTGAGAAACATTCCTCATTTTTTATATTGTCTCTCAATGAATGCGAACACCATCATTTTGAATCATGATTAAGGCATTTCTGTGAAGAGTGAAACTAATTTAATTGAAGTATTTATATTTATTGTTATGTAACTTGAAACAAAAGTGGAACCTAATAGAAGATGTCTCTTTCCTCTTTCAAATACTTCTGCTTCCAGCTGTGCTTTGGCAAGGCCCATGTTCTCTCAATGGCCTTTGGACTTTCTCGACATTTTACATAAACAGGAATCTGACTTGTATTTCTGCACCTGTGGGAAGGATAGTTCCAGAGCCAAAAGTATCAAAGATCTCAAGATGACAAGTCTCATATCCCCCTATTTAGAAGAGAATGGATAAGGCCTCAGGACAGAAAACAAAAATAATATTGGCCATAATGCCCAGAAGTTGATATGATATTAAAGTATACAATTTATATATAGACAATTACAAACTCTAGAGGGAGAAAGACAGTTTAAAATCTTTATTATAATTCAAGGCTCTCCCTCTCCCTCTCCCTCTCCCTCTCCCTCTCCCCCTCTCTTTCCACGGTCTCCCTCTCATGCTGAGCCAAAGCTGGACTGTACTGCTGCCATCTCAGCTCACTGCAACCTCCCTGCCTGATTCTCCTGACAGCCTGCCGAATGCCTGCGATTGCAGGCTCGCACCGCCACGCCTGACTGGTTTTGGTGGAGACGGTGTTTCGCTGTGTTGGCCAGGCCGGTCTCCAGCCCCTAACCGCAAGTGATCCGCCAGCCTCGGCCTCCCGAGGTGCCTGGATTGCAGACGGAGTCTCGTTCACTCAGTGCTCAATGGTGCCCAGGCTGGAGTGCAGTGGCGTGATCTCGGCTGGCTACAACCTCCACCTCCCAGCCGCCTGCCTTGGCCTCCCAAAGTGCCGAGATTGCAGCCTCTGCCCGGCCGCCACCCCGTCTGGGAAGTGAGGAGCGTCTCTGCCTGGCCGCCCATCGTCTGGGATGTGAGGAGCCCCTCTGCCTGGCTGCCCAGTCTGGAAAGTGAGGAGCGTCTCCGCCCGGCCGCCATCTCACCTAGGAAGTGAGAAGCACCTCTTCCCGGCCGCCATCACATCTAGGAAGTGAGGAGCGTCTCTGCCCGGCCGCCCATCCTCTGAGATGTGGGGAGTGCCTCTGCCCCGCTGCCCCGTCTGGGATGTGAGGAGCACCTCTGCCCGGCCGCGACCCTGTCTGGGAGGTGAGGAGCATCTCTGCCCGGCCGCCCCGTCTGAGAAGTGAGGAGACCCTCTGCCCGGCAACCGCCCCGTCTGAGAAGTGAGGAGCCCCTCCGCCCGGCAGCCGCCCCGTCTGAGAAGTGAGGAGCCTCTCCGCCCGGCAGCCACCCCATCTGGGAAGTGAGGAGCGTCTCCGCCCGGCAGCCACCCCGTCTGGGAGGGAGGTGGGGGGGGTCAGCCCCCCGCCAGGCCAGCCGCCCCATCCGGGAGGGAGGTGGGGGTCAGCCCCCCGCCCGGCCAGCCGCCCCGTCCGGGAGGTGAGGGGCGCCTCTGCCCGGCCGCCCCTACTGGGAAGTGAGGAGCCCCTCTGCCCAGCCAGCCGCCCCATCCGGGAGGGAGGTGGGGGCGTCAGCCCCCCGCCTGGCCAGCCGCCCCTCCCGGGAGGTGAGGGGCGCCTCTGCCCGGCCGCCCCTACTGGGAAGTGAGGAGCCCTCTGCCCGGCCACCACCCCGTCTGGGAGGTGTGCCCAACAGCTCATTGAGAACGGGCCAGGATGACAATGGCGGCTTTGTGGAATAGAAAGGCGGGAAAGGTGGGGAAAAGATTGAGAAATCGGATGGTTGCCGTGTCTGTGTAGAAAGAAGTAGACATGGGAGACTTTTCATTTTGTTCTGTACTAAGAAAACTTCTTCTGCCTTGGGATCCTGTTGATCTGTGACCTTACCCCCAACCCTGTGCTCTCTGAAACATGTGCTGTGTCCACTCAGGGTTAAATGGATTAAGGGCGGTGCAAGATGTGCTTTGTTAAACAGATGCTTGAAGGCAGCATGCTCCTTAAGAGTCATCACCACTCCCTAATCTCAAGTACCCAGGGACACAAACACTGCGGAAGGCCACAGGGTCCTCTGCCTAGGAAAACCAGAGACCTTTGTTCACTTGTTTATCTGCTGACCTTCCCTCCACTATTGTCCTATGACCCTGCCAAATCCCCCTCTGTGAGAAACACCCAAGAATTATCAATAAAAAATAAATAAATTTAAAAAATAAATAAATAAATAAATAAAAATAAAAAAAATAATAATTCAAGGTATCCTTTTGGTTTACAAAGTGACTAAATCTTCTAAGCATAAACTATTGTCTAAAAATTTTAAAGTAATTCTAAATAGTTTAACATATGTGATCAGTTACAGAAGCCTGATAGTGTTTTACATTTGCCTGACATTTTCATTCACACAGAGGGTAACGCATGTTTTCATTCCCTTTATAGATGAGGAAACTGAGGCCCTTGGAGGTTAAATGGCTTAACTAATTATACTGTGCAATAACAAAGCTGGGCGTCACTTCTATTTTCTTGTCTGTAATCATACTCAAACCCAGATCTTCTAAGTCATCATCTAGTTATCTTGCTACAGCAGCCTCCCAAGTCCAGGAAACCTCATTTGTTTGTCCAGCAATCATTTATTCAATACCCACGCCAGGGACCGTTTTCTAGAATAGAGGTATGAAAACATAGAAAAAGCCTCTGTCCTCGTAGAGGTTGTATTGTAGTTGTAAGTCAGAACATGACAAGTGCTTTTTTGTTGTTGTTGTTGTTGTTGTTTTCTTGTTTTTTTTTTTTTTTGAGACGGAGTCTCGCTCTGTCGCCCAGGCTGGAGTGCAGTGGTGCGATTTCGGCTTACTGCAAGCTCCGCTTCCCCGGTTCACACCATTCTCCTGCGTCAGCCTCCTGAGTAGCTGAGACTACAGGCACCTGCCACCACACCCAGCTAATTTTTTGTATTTTTAGTTAGAGACAGGGTTTCACTGTGTTAGCCAGGGTGGTCTCAATCTCCTGACCTCGTGATCCGCCCGCCTAGGCCTCCCGAAGTGCTGGGATTACAGGCGTGAGCCACTGTGCCCGGCCAACAAGTGCTTTGTTTAATAACAGGCTTAGATACTTAGGGATGCTGGAGTGGGGCATAACTTTTAAATAGGGTGGTCAGACAAGGCATCACTGAGGTGATTTCTGAGCAGAGACCTGAGAGGTAAGAGAGGAAATGAGCCAGGTGGATAACTGAGGGAAGAGGGGTTGAAGCATGGAGAACAGCAGTACAAAGTCCCTGAGGCAGGGGTGTGCTTGGAACGTTTAGGAAACACTATGGCCAGAGCAGAGTGAGGGGCTCCAGCGGTGAGAAATAAGGTCACACAGGGATTGGAGGCCAAATGATGTAGGCTCTTGCAGGCTATTGTGAGGACTTCGGTTTTTATTCTTAGTAGTATGGGAAGATAGTTGATCTGACTTAAATTTTAAATGAATCAAACTGGCAAGTAGATTGATAATGGTCAGGGATAAAAGCAGGGAAACCAGGCAGAAAACTATTGCAGTGAACTGGGCAGGAGGTGATGGTGGATTTGGACCAGGGATATAGAGAAGTGGTAAGAAGTGGCAGATTCCAGTTGCATTGTGAAGGTAGAACACACAGGACTTGCTGATAGATTGGATGTGGTTGTGAGAAGAAGACAGGAGCCAAGGATGACTCCATTTGGCCTGAGCCATTGGAAGAGTGGAAGTACTGTTTACTGAAATGGGGCACAGTGTAGGAGGAGAAGGTTTCTGGAGGGTAGATGAAGAGTTCATTTGTAGGCATAAGTTTAAGATGCTTGATCGATGTCTAGCTGGAGATGTCCAGTAGGCAGTTGAATATATAAATCTGGAATTTGGAGACTTGGCCCAAACTAGGGCTAGATTAGGGTGTCATCAGCATGTCATAGTATTTAAAGCCATGAGATGAGATTAGGTCCCCTATGGAGTGAGTATAAATAAAGCCCACTGTGAATGCTAAGGATTGAGCCCACCTAAGTTTCATGAGATGAATAAGAACCAATAAGAGACTGAGAGGATAGTGGTGAGGTAGGCTGAGAACTGAGAGTAGTATCCTGGAAGCTGAGAAGAGAAAGTGTATCAAGGAGGAAAGTGATAGGCTGCCAAATGCTGCAAATGGCTGAGAACTGACCATCAGATTTAGCATCATGGAACAGGCTCAAGAGAGAATAAAAGGGGAGTACTTTGAGATAGAAAAAGTAGTTTTGCTGTAAAGGGAACAGAGAAACAGCTGGCAGAAGAGGCTGGGTGGCACAGTCTTTTGTTCTTGTTGTTTTAAGATGAGAGAAATTACATCCTGTTTGTGTGCTAATGGAATTATCCAGCAAAGAGGAGGAAATTGATGACACAGAAGAGAAAGCAAATAGTGCTGCAATGGTGTCCTTGAGCAGGGGACAGATCCCAGCTCACCAATTGGAAGGTGAGAATGCTTAGATTGGAACACAGACGGATTTTCCTACACAGGAACAAAGGCAATGGGCACAGATGCCACTTGGCAGCAGGTGTGGTGGTGGAATTCCTCTGCTTATTGTTTCTGTTTCCTCAGTGAAGCATAGAAATTATCCATTGAGAAAGAGGATGGGAATGGAGGTATTGAGGACTTATGGAGAAGTGTGCTAGTCATGTAGCAGTGAGGGAGATGAATGAACTAAGAAAATAATAGTGTGACTGCGGGGCAGCTGAAAGGATCCACTTGAATTAAGTGAAATTGGCATAGTTGTGTGTTCACCAGTGCTGCTCAGCAACATGGGTAGAGGCATGGAGAGAGCAGAGAGTTGGCTGCAAGCAGGGTGAGGTTTTCAGAGGAAGGTATGAAGAAGGGTGGACAGGGGAGTGATTATAATGAGAAATCACTAACTTAAGCTGGAAAGGAGGAAAGTAAGCAATGAAGGGGGTGTAGAGAGTAAAGCGAGATAAAGTCAGTAGATTATAAATCCTGATGGAGTAGAAAATTATTGGAATTGGCCTTCTTGCTGTAAGGAGTTCAAGAAAGAACAAATGGGCCATGTGCAGTGGCTCACACCTGTAATCCCAGCACTTTGGGAGTCCAAGGCTGGTGGATTGCTTGTGATCAGGAGTTCGAGACCAGCCTGACCAACATGGTGAAACCCCTGCCTCTACTAAAAATACAAAAATTAGCTGGGCATGGTGGTATGCGCCTGTAATCCCAGCTATTTGGGAGGCTGAGGCAGGAGAATCCCTTGAACCCTGGAGGCAGAGGTTGCAGTGAGCCAAGATCACACCATTGTACTCCAGCCTGGGTGATAGAGCAAGACTCCGTCTCAGGAAAAAAAAAAAAAAAGGAAAAAAAGAAAAAGAAAGAACAAATGGGTTGGCAAGGTGGGATGCTTAAAAATGAGATTCTGGAAAGGGTGCAGGTATTGGTTATAACAAGGTCAGGAAGACCATGGAAGTAGTGCCTAAGGTCTGGTGAAAAATCATTTAATCCTAAAGGCAGATTATGATGAAAAGGCAGTGAATGGAGGAGGGATAGGTGAGGGCTTCTCAGGAGTATTCTGGGGTCTGTGCCCTCCCTCCCTGCCAGAGCCCGTGAAACTTGAGACTGGAATGGATCCATCGGCCAACAGTCTTTGTTGACTGATCCTCAGCTAACGACGTATCCAGCCAAACTGTGCTCCTTTTTGGGCCGCAGGTTTCCATTTGGTTCACAAAAGCATGCTGGGAGACTTTGTGTTAGGAATTGTGTACTGACAACCAAAGCAGAATGCTCTTTATCTCCAGCAGACTGATGGAAAGAAATCTGAGAATTAATAGCTGTTATTAAAATATTAATAGGTTTGACTCCTCTTCTTCTGGTGCCTGCTGGGCATAATATATGGTTGGGTTTTTTCTTTACAATTACTAAAAAAATTTCAACACCAGAGAAATGTATAAGGTAAAATAGAAAGTTTTCTTCCTTATTGTCTCCACTTCTAGCACCTGATGGGTTGTTTGTGAGCATCATTCCAGATCTCTCTCTCTCTCTCTTTCTTGTCTTGCTGTATATCCATATATATTTGTGTGGGGTCCATATACACATGTCTGTATATAATATATATACACACACATATATATAAATATGTATATATTTTCATCACAGGAAAACATGAGAATATTCTATATATCATTCTACATGCAACTTAACTTTTTTCAAAGTCCTTCCATGCCACTATGTACCGACCTGATTACTGTTCTTTAAAATAGCTGCATAACATTCCACATACAGAAGTAACCTAACATTAAAATCATGCCTGTGTTGATGGACACTTAGATTTTCTTTATTTTTTGCTGTTATAAATTATGCTTCAGTATATATATTCTTTACCCCTCTTTTTGAGTACTTGTGCAATTGTTTGATGTGGAAGTATTAAAGAAAAGACAATCTGCATTTAAAAATTTGACCTCTATTGCCACATTATCCTCCAAAGAGATGGCACCAATTCACAGTGATGGAGAACATCCCTTTTCCCATGTGCTCATTCACACTGATTATCTCTTCCCCCAGTCCCTACATTTTGGCCAGTTTGATGGGACCATCAGGAGAAAATATTTTAACTCAAGCATACGGCACTAATTTGGGAAGAATAACTGAAATTCAGGAATTAGAAAATAGGAATATATTTTATTCTTTTTTACGTAGAGGATTGAATATTAATATTTCTCCAAAATTTAATTTAAGACTTTACTTGAATAGATCTGGCCTTAACTAATTGCTGAAAGAGGAAAGTGATCAGGGGAAGAAAGAGAGAGTAATGAAAGTCATCAAAGCATTAAAAAGGTCAGATCTGATTTCTGTTCCTTTGTTCCTGAAAATGTTGTTTCTAAATCTTTTTTTTTTACACGAAGTTTACAAAAATTGCAAATTTTGTGCTAAACCCTTATGAGATACTGGTTTCAGATTTCATATGAGTTTAATTCTGAGTTTGTGGTGATTAAGTTGGAAAGAAGTTTTATGTCAATATTCAGGTTTTTGGGATCTTTAAACTTTGACCTATTTTGGAAAGAGGGACCTGTAATAGTATATGTTTAATACATAATAGTACAGATTTAGAGTTAATAGCATTTTTCATTTGCTCGTGCTAATTCTATACAGAATATTTTATTTATGATCTCCATCCAATTAAAAGTCACATTTCTTACTGATCACTTGATAACTTTCTAATACTTCTTTCACAGAAACATTTGAAAACAAGTCTTAAGTATGAAACTAGAAGAGCCAATTATAAATCTTTTATTGAACTAAGAAAATATTTTTAAATATTGTGACTTTTACAGATACAATCAATATATACCTAACATGAAGTGTATGGACAGACTCTGAATACGTGTATGAGTATATGTGTGTTTTGAATACCTTTATTGTGAATTTATACTTGTCAGCACAATAATTACATACCCTTGAGTGTTTTATAGTTGGGCATTCATGTAAGTACACATCTGTTTAAATCTCAAAACAATCTTGCAATATGCACTTAAATGTTTTTGAGGCTCACTTTATGTCTTTGAGTAGAAGAAGAAAAGTAACAGATGGCCAACAAGGATATTGAGTTGACAAGAGAAAAACTTAACTTAGTTACTTTAGTTCCTGAATTTAAAAAAAAATTAATCAGTATAAATTCACTCTAAGGAAATCTTGGGAGTATGTTTCCATTGAAGTGCGTTGTTTGCATTTTGTTTTGTTTTGTTTTGTTTACAAGGGGGTGCCAGGCAGGGAGGAGGGAAAGAAAGAGGTAAGAGGAAGAATATATTGGACACCTATCTAGTGGTTGTTGGACCTGAAATTTGAACCCATGTGTATGGCTTCAAAGTCCATGCGCCTTCCACTTCTCCAAGAGTTTGCTTTCTGTTGACCTTTATCAGTGGAAGAATTTCTCAATGCTGAGAGCAATTTTTCCAATACTCTTAGATCTAAAAATGCTACTGACTGGATTATTCATGTTTGAACATGTAAAAATATTTTCTTGTTAAATTAAGTTTAATCTTATACTTAAAGTTCGCTGTGTTATGGAGAGAACTTTGAAGCAAGAATCAGAAATCAAATAACACTAATGCTTCCTAATTAGAGAAATCTCTATTCAATGCAAACTAAAAATATATTGGCTGGTGTTCTAATCAGCTGTGCTTAATTCTAAGCACTAAATTCTGAACACTGTGGGTAAAACACTTTGTTCATTTCAGAAATAGCTAGACTTTTCCTAAACTCTCATTAGGAAAAATAGAAGAAATTAAGAAAATAAAGCTGGGCACGGTGACTTACACCTGTAATCCCAGCTTCTCAGGAGGTTGAGGCAGGAGGGTTGCTTAAGGCCAGGAATTCAAGACTAGTCTGGGCAACATAGCAAGATCCCATCTCTAAAAACAAAAACAAACAAACAAAAAAAAAAAAGTAAAACATTAAAAAATACCTTACAGTTTGAAAATCTGGTCAACATGAAGTAAAGAATAACAGCAATGTCATCTGTAGGCAGGGTGGTTATTGTGATCATATTTTGATATTAGCTTCCTATTGCTTGCTGCCAATGGGGCTGTAAGGAATATGTGTTTATGGAAGTCTCAGCGCTGATCATAGGAAGATGAAAACAGTCATACTGTTTGTTTTTTCCATAAGTACCAGGTAGCTTTAATGAGCTATAAGAAAATTATACTATTTGTGCAGAGTACCACATTCAATTCTTAAAGTTAAATATTTTTTATATAGTATAGTCACATTATATACAATACATCCAAGATTTATCTCCGCTATCTTATTTAATCCACATAAAATAAACATGTCTGTTTATATACATTAAAGTTATAGAGCTGAACTATTAAAATGGAGGAGCTGGTGATGGCAGCAGGGATTGACTGCAAGTGGGCACAAGCGATCTTTCTAGAGTGATGGGAATGTTCTAAAATGATCTCATTGTGATGATTGCACAACTCTGTAAATTTACTAAAAATTATCCAATTGTACATTTCAAGCAGGTAAATTTTATGGAATATAAATTATATGTAAGAATCTGTTTAATTTTTTAAAAGAAATAGAAAATATATGACTGTATCTGACTCCAGAACTCTTAGAAAATCTGAAAGAACAGTTATTATTGATGAAACAAAGAAGTTGTCATAGAGCTACCCTCCTTTCCCTCTCCTTCAGAGTTTGCAAAGAAATTCTACCAAACTTTTAAGAAACAGATTATTCTAATGCTATTTTAACTGTTCTAGAACATAGAAAATGAAGGAAGGCTTCCAGTTCGTTCCTTTTTATGAAGGTGAAATAACATTGATATTGAAACACAGAAAATATATTTCTCCTAAAAGAAGACCAGGGACCAATTTTGCATGTGAATATTGAAACAAAAATCTGAGAGAAAAATTATAAAAATTTTATCATTTTATAGAATTCAGGATCACATTTGAAAAATAATACACAAAAGAAAAATAAGAAAAGTAATACACAAAACAGCAATATGGTGTAATGCTAAAGAGTTTCAGCTCTGGAGCTGGACTGCTGGTTTGGAACCCCAGCACCGTCACTTCCTAGCTCCATGACCTTGGGCAAGTTTAAACATGGATCAATCCTATGTAAATCTTGTGCCATTCAGTATTAACTGCAGGTTCTATGGGGCCGAAAAGGAATTATTTGTAGCAGCAATGTCATTACTTCTTTACTTATGATAAGCAGAATAAATAAAACAATGAACCCATCCATTATAAGGCATGAGATATTCAGTGTTCATTTTTCACTTCTTTCTTTTCTCATCAATAAATGGGAATTCTGGGTAAGAGAACATACTTCATAGGGCTCTTGAGAAGGTCAAGTGAGTTAAGCAGTTAGGTAAGTACCTGACAATGTCGAATATGATCATAACTGTATAGTATATTTTAAAAATTATTAATGGCAAAATTTAGATTTGCTATTGTAAAGAACAGTGCCATAAATATCTTTATCTGGAAATTTATCTCACCTTTCTATTTCCTGGAGATAGCTTTTTAGAAGCTGAATGTTGGAGAAAAGGTCATAAACTTTTTAAAGGCCCAAATTACTCTCCAGAAAGATCATACCCACTCCTACCAATGGTAGCTAAGAATGGCTCTATCCTGCACTATTTGTACCAGCTTTGAACATCATCATTGCAAGGAAAATGCTAGGTAATTTGATAAGCCAGAAACAGAATTTGATCATTCTATGTTAGATGATTCAGATGTTGAAAGGATAGATACACAACCTTAATTCAGATGTTACCCTGAAATCCGTGAAACTCAGAGAAATAGAAATGTTGTCAGTACCCATCTATATATATACCAGGAATTAGGTTTTCCTTTTCAGATTCAAATTTTATGTGAGTATTTGCCTTTTGTAACTTTAGCTATTTAATCTGATGGAGAATTTTTCCTGAAAACATAAATTAAAAAATAAGATACCAGAACAAATGCCACCAGGGAAATACTTTATATTTCAGCCTTTTTTTTTTTTTTTGTATGTCTTCAATGGGGTTATAAAGTCATATATCTTTCCAATCTTACTTATTTTTCCTGCTCCAGTTAACTTCATCCCAATCTTTAAACTCTTTGGGAAATGAGAATGGGTCAAGTCCCAGTAAAAGACTCATAAACCCAGGCCGGGAGTGGTGGCTCATGCCTGTAAATCCCAGCACTTTGGGAGGCCAAGGCAGGCAGTCACTTGAGGTCAAGGAGTTCGAGACAGCCTGGCCAATATGGTGAAACCTCGTCTCTACTAAAAATATAAAAATTAGCTAGGCATGGTGGCGCGTGCCTGTAATCCCAGCTACTCAGGAGGCTGGGGCAGGAGAATCACTTGAACCTGGGAGGCGGAGGTTGCAGTGAGCCAGGACTGCGCCACTGCACACCCGCCTGGTGACAGAGTGAGACTCCATCTCAAACAAACAAACAAAAGACTCAGAAGACCACACTGGACCAATGCAAAGCCATCCAATAAATTTGAATTTAGATGACTTTTCAGCTACAGTAAACCAGGAATGTTTATGGTCTTTTACAGGGAACAGGTATGAGGAATATCTAGAAACTCTGGGCACAGTTGCCATTAAAGTCTGGAAAGTAGAAAGAACCCATCTCTATCCAGGCTTCACGCTGCTAAGGGAGGAGTCCCTTTTCCTTAATCAAGCATTGATGTGTAAATCTTGCCAGACAGTGTCTCCTCACTTTTTCCCCTAAAAAAAAAATTAACAAGGAACTGAATCAGGGAACTCAGTAGTTAGTTACACTACTTAATTAAGACTTGAACAAATTAATATATTAGTGATTTTTAAAGGCTTTAACTCAGAAAGGTCAGTAGTGATAAAGCTCCTAAGCAACTTAATTATTATTATTATTATTTTATTTTATTTTATTTTTTTGAGATGGAGTTTTGCTCTGTTGCCCAGGCTGGAGTGTAGTGGCGTGATCTCGGCTCACTGCAACCTTCGCTTCCTGGGTTCAAATGATTTTCCTGCTTCAGCCTCCCGAATAGCTGGGACTACAGGTGTGTGCCACCACACCCGGCTAATTTTTTGTATTTTTAGTAGATACGAGATTTCACCGTGTTAGCCAGGATGGTCTCTTATCTCCTGACCTCGTGATCTGCCCGCCTCGGCCTCCCAAAGTGCTGGGATTACAGGCGTGAGCCACTGCACCCAATTATTTTTATGTATATTTGAATTCTCTACAACAGAGAAATCTGTTTACCTGTCATTTTTGCTATGGCTATGTTTTAGAGATAGCTACACCCAGTGACACTTGGTTAACATTTCAATTCAATATTGGAAACATGTTTTATGTACAGATTAACTGTTTTAAATTGTTGACACAAAAGACTACCACACTTCTGAGGTACACTGGCACCTTAGGCTCTCTCAGAATGTACATTTCACTTGACTGTACACACTGTGGTCTCTGACTATAACATGATTTGGTCAGGCCCTTTCAAAATAGACCTGGATTTACATTTAAATCTCAGTTCGAATAATCTTTATTGTTTGTTTTTATTTACAAGATAATTCTGAGAAGAAGTCATTCTTTTGTGATCCTCGGGTGTAAAAAGAAACAACTTAGAAGCAAGTATTAGAATCTTCCTTTCCCGACTTCGTTGCAGATTCTCTTTTCCTTGGGTTAAATTGAATGTTAAGCTTTCCTTCTATGCCCTATCAACATTTGAACAATTTCTCTAAAATCTAAAGGCTTGTTCTCCAAATTCATATACTAAGATATCTTTGAACCAAACAAAACAAAACAAAACCAAAAACCCTTAAGCAGGGTTGGGTTTTTTTGTGTATTTGTTGTTGTTGTTGTTGTTGTTGTTGTTTGAGATGTGGGAAGATTCTGTGGTATTACAGTAAGATGTCTGTGTCTTGTTTACTATAGACTCTTAAGGGTCAAATAAACTTTTATTCCCTAGTTATTAAATTCAGGGGCTAATAGCCAACTGTTTGATCAAGTCACAGAAATAACTCAGCCTCCCTTCCAATCAACACCTGATAATGCTTTGAACAAATGTACATAAGGCTCTGGAAATTCCACAGTGAGTCTTCAAGGTCCACGGAATTTTTTACTCTTTGAAGAAGGCATGATATTTGGAGATGTACTCCTTGTTCAGTTCTTGGTCTAGCAAGAGTTTGAAAATCTCTGTTGATGGTTTGTCTCCTTTTTAGCAGCAATTCTCAAACTGCAGTACTCAGTCTTCTCTGAGCTTATATCCAAGAATAGCAATTTTCCTCAATACTCAAAAATAAGTAGTTTTTTTGGAATGTCCAGCTTTTCTCCCAACAGTTGTAATGCTTTGACTTACGGTATAGCCCTGGAGACATATGATACAGATCTAGTGTCTCATGGTCTGTTTCAGTTTTCAAAATAATAGCACTAATAATTAGCCATTTGTGTTATGAAGGACCCTCATACCCATTATCTTGCTTAATCTCTTGTCCATATAGGACTTAATTTCTGCCACTAGGCAACATAATATAAACACTTAAAACAGCTAAGAACTTCCATATTGTCAGTGACATCCTGACATGTAAGAGACAGGGATCACTTACATTCCCTCTCATTTTGTTTTGAGGGCCCATGCCAACAACTTATACAATTTCACTACCACATCTTAATGGTATTTACAGAGGGAAATAGAAAGCAAGTGACATTTCTTTTTCATTTTATAGTATAAAGGCTTAAATTTTCATTTGTTGTTTATTATACTTTTTATTGCTCATAACAGAGTACTCTCAATTTAGATATTAAATGATTTTTCTTACAAATAGTTGGACACAGATTACTTAGGAAGTATACAGATTCTTTATTGCAGCTCTATTTGCTCCAAGCTGATTAGCATCATAAAGACTGAGGACAGATAACCAGGGATAGGTCTTTCTTTTTTATTGTGCTATTTGTTTCTAGGGAAATGGAAGAAAAGTTTGGGAATGTTCTCTTCTCTGTAAATCTTTTTGCAATTTTTCTAATAGAATTAATTACCTCATAGAATTATCAGTGCACCTGTCACCTGGAGTTGTTATTGGGAAATTTCTTCTGCATATTCTCTTTTCCCTCTTGATTCATACAGCTTGGTTGTACTATCAATGCCAAATCTATGTTCAGCTTCCTATGTATATCTGGGAGATTTTCTTACAGGTTTTTATTGAAAGATCATTTATCTTTTTTATTTCCCATGTATCATATTTAGAGGTTTAGAATCTTATATCCCTTGTTAAATATAACCCCTCTATTAGTGAAGCTCTCATAACCAGATGCTTTATGTCTTAGAATATTATCATTAATTTCCTAATCAACTGTCACCCAAGGGTATAAAGAATTATATAAAGTCATATAAAAGCTGTGCTTCTAAATATACTTTCTCCTTTTCATTCCATTTCAGTTTTTCCTTTTTACAAGCAAAACTCCTACTTATTAATAAAAATGTGATGCTTTTACTTTCTTTCGCTACCTGTTTTTTAAAGATATGTCAGGAATGTGTTGCCTGAAAAGCCACCTGGATCATGGGACTGCAGTCAGGCTGAGCCAGGTTCCAGTCTCAGCTCTGCCCTTTGCTGGTTTTGTGACTCTGCGCATGTTATTTATCCCCTAAGAACTTCAGTTTCCACATTCTAAAATAGGACTCATTGTAGGACAGTGAGGATTAGAGTTGATGCATATGGCCCACAGAATGGAAGTCAATAAACACAGGTCTAATTATTACCATTACTTTTCAGTTTGGCATAGATCTTGTTGGCCAAGCCAGTATATGAAATTTGTAAGTCATTTTCATAAAGAACCAGAAATCCACTTCTAGAATGTTGTTAACTGAAAATACAAACCTTTTTTTTTTGTTTTGAGACAGGGTCTCACTCTGTTGCCCAGGCTGGAGTGCAGTGGTATGCTCCACTGGAGCCTTGACCTCCCAAGCTCAAGCAATTCTCCTGCCTCAGCCTCTTGAGTTGCTGAGACTGCAGGCTTGCACCACCATGCCTGCCAAATTTTTTGTTTTTTGTAGAGACAGGGTCTCATTTGTTGCCCAGGCTGGTCTCAAACTCCTGGGTTCAAGCAATCCTCACACCGCAGCCTCCCAAAATGCTGGGATTACAGGCATGAGCCACGGACACTGGCCAAAATATGAACTTTAAAATTTTTAATATCATACCAAATTGTATCCATTGAAAACATACTTAAGAGTTCTCATTCATATAGTCTTATACTTCTATAAGTATTAAAATGAACAGCTCAACCATTCACTCATTTAATCAGGGTTATTCTTTTTTTGGTAACAGCTTTATTAGATATAATTCATATACCATAGAGTTCACCCATTTAAAGTGTACAATTTAGCTGGGCACAGTGGCTTGCACCTGTAATCCTAACACTTTGGGAGGCCAAGTTGGGCGGATCACTTGAGCCCAGGAGTTCAAGACCAGCCTGGGCAACATAGTCCCTGTCTTAAATAAATAAATTAGATAAATAAATAAATAAATAAAGTGGTTTTTAGTGTATTCACAGAGTTGTGCAGTCATCACTATAATCAATTTTAGAACATTTTCATAATCCATAAAGAAACCCGAACGTTTTAGCCTTCACTCCTTCAACTCTAGACAACCACTAATTTATAATACTTTCTGTCTTTATAAATAGACCTATTTATTCTAGACATTTCATATAAATGAAATTATGTGACATGTGGTCTCTTGTGACTAGCTTGCTTGCTTACTTATTTATTTACGTATTTATTTATAAAGATAGGGCCTCGCTTTGTAACCCAGGCTGGAGTGCAGTGGCACAATCATAGCTCACTGCTGCCTTGAATTCCTGGGCTCAAGGAATCCTCCTGCCTCAGCCTCCCAAGTAGCTGGGACTACAGGCATGTGCCACCACGGCTGGCTAGTTTTTTAATTTTTTTTTTTTTGTAGAGATCACGTTTCACCACCTTACCCAGGCTGGTCTCAAACTCCTGGGCTAAGGCAATCCTCCCACTTCAGCCTCCCAAAGTGTTGGGATTACACCTGGCTGGCTTCTTTTACTTAATGTTTTCAAGAGTTATCATGTGTGGCATGGACCAGTACTTCGTTCCTTTTTCTTGCTAAATTACATTCCATTGTATGGCTGTACCACATTTTATCCATCACCGGTTGATGGATTTTGGAGTTGTTTCACTTTTTGGCTATTACAAATAATGCTACTATGAATATTTGTGTACAGGATTTTGTGTAGACATGTTTGTATTTCTCTTTGATATAAACCTGAGTAGAATTTCTGAGTCGTATAATAATTCCATGTTTAACCTTCTGATAATTGCTGGACTGTTTTCCAAAGCAACTGTACCATTTTACATTCCTACCAGCAGCGTATGAGGATTCTGATTTCTCAACATCTTTGCCAACATTTGTTATTAATATTAATCTGTCTTTTTCATTATACCCATCCTAGTGGGTGTGAAGTGGTATCTTATTGTGTATTCTTAGTAACTTCTTAAAATTAAATATATACAAATTATATTGCTCATGCTTTGGTGACATCTGGTCAATGGTGAGACTGAGAAATTAAGCCTCATGTGCAGTACCTTCTGCTTATGAAACACGTAGTGAAGAGAACTTCCCTTGACTTTTTTTTTTTTTAAGAGACATGTTCTTGCTTTGTCGCTCAGGCTGGAGTGCAGTAGTGCAATCATAGCTCACTGCAGCCTTGAATTCCTGGGTTTAAGGGATCCTCCTGCCTCAGCCTCCCAAGTAGCTGGGACTACAGGCTCGTGCCACTGTTCCTGGCTAATATTTTAATTTTTATTTTTTGTAAAGACCAGATCTCGCCATCTTACCCAAGCTGGTCTCAAACTCCTGGATTCAAATGATCCTTCCACCTCAGCCTCCCAAGTAGCTGGGACTACAGGCCCATAACATTGTGCCCAGCTAATTAAAAAAAATTTCTTTTGGTAGCGATAGGATCTCCGTATGTTGCCCAAGCTAGTTGCAAACTCCTAGCCTCAAGCAATCCTCCTGCCTCAGCTTCCCAAAGCACTGGGATTACAGTGTGAACAATGGCACCTGACCCAAGAGTTTTTTCCATAGCAGAATTTTAGAGCGTGTTCTACAGATAAATCTCCTCCTGGTCATTTATCCACTAAAGTCTCAGGGTACCTTATTTCATATTTATAACTTTTCAGCTGCCATACCTTTGAACATGTTACCCCCTCTATTAGCTCTATTATCTAATTTTATGCTGAATTAGCATTTCAGGAGAAGTATAAAAGAATGAATGATATGGACCTCTTGAATCTGTTTTTCTTGGCTCTTAATTTTTATGTCTTCTATCTCTGTGTTTTTGACTTGTGTTCTTTAAAATTCTGTCAACATATTTTTTAGATTACATTTATCTATGTCTGTTCCACAGAAGGGAATCCTTTGTGTAGCTTCCTATGCTTCGTCGTCGTAATTGCATTGCTTCCCACCCCTCCCAAAACAGTACATTTTTCATTACATGAATATTATGTTTTTAGTAATTCTGCAATTCTGAAGTAGCACTTCAAAATGCATTCTTTCCAAATAAAAAATTTTTGAAGCCTTGTGGTAAGCACAATACTTCTTCTCTATGAATTAATAGCATCCACCCCTAAAAAAAAACAAAAACAACACAGAGGCTTTTTAGCTCAGCTGATCTCCAGCTTGCAGAGGTGTGGAGAGGACTCATACCAGTATATTCGACAACAGACACTTATGTTGTACCTATTTTGTGTAAGGTGCTCTGCCAGGCATTTCAAGGGATATAAAGGCTCTGTCTTAAAGAACCTTATCGTAGTGGAAGCAATAAGACATAAAGAGGATTATAATGTGAGTCAAAATGTGGTAAGTGCCCATAGGTGCTAAGCACTGAATATATAGATGTCGAGGTGGAGGGCATTATTTCTGCCTGTGGAAGATCAAATAAGGCTTCAAAGTAAAGGTGACAGATGTCTCCAGGTGTCTCTTCTCACTCAAGAATTCTGTGAATCTTTAGAACTGTGAAAAATCAGAATTGGGCACTTACTTTAGAAGCATTCTACACAGTGAGTAATAGAATGAAACAATTGAACATTCTCTTTGTTTGTATTTCTGTATCATTTTGAAAGTGTTGTCTGGATGGAAGTTAATGAAGTGGAGAGGAAGGACAGGGGTGGGCTTGAATTTGCAACAGACGTTGTGTTGTACAGAGAATACATTCCCTATCCTCAGGTAGTTTGTCAAGGCCTGGCTGTGGCTTTACCTCTTCTTGATTGGAAGAAAAAGATTTTTTTTTCACTCTAATGTAGAGTGATAATTCTACATTAGAGACCAAGACTGCCCCACTGTGGATAAAAATCTCAGTTAGAAGTCACAGATCGGAAGAATCCTCATCCAAGCAGAAAATGTTGCCAGAGCTGAGTGTTCTTATACCAGAGGGAGGTGCCTGGTCTTTGGAGCCCGTGAAGGAGTCTTTTGGTTACAGCAGTTTCTGATATTTGTTCATTTTGCAGGGTCAGCTACACAAAGGTATAACTTTATGAGTTCTGTGGCACAAACAAAACTAATGGAAGAGAAGACAATAAAAAGTGGGCCTTTTGCCCTTTAAAGAAAATAAAATCTTTATTTTTACCCTTAACAGCTGAAAACCAATGTGTAGAGATGTTATCCGTCCTTTGGCACCTGAAATCATAATTTTAATTTTTGTTTTCTGTATTCTTGTCTAAGAATTCCATACTATCCTGAAATATGGGAGATTCCAGTAATTTCATAAATAGATAAAAAAATTTACATTTAATCTATCTAGTTCCTTTCTTTATGCCACTCTTTCATCCTACTCAGAAAATTCATTTGGGGACTCTTCTCTTAAGTCTTAGAAAATGACAGTGAGGACTAAAACCCACATGATGAACTAGGAATGAGGGAAGACATTAGGGAGAATGGAAGGGATGGTGATCCCTGGTTGGCACAGTTTATCTGTCTGCCTTTTAGCTCTCTTTCTCCCTCTTCTGCTTACTTTTAGGGCTTATTTATTACTTCTGCCAGAGGCTACAGTGGGAAAATGAAAATCAGATTTATTAATTTTCATTATAGCCCCTGGTTCAGAAGGGCTGGGAAGAGAAAGAAAAGGAAAAATAGGCTGAACCGTTGAATAAGGGAAGGTTTAGAAATTATTTATTAGTACATTGCTGTCCTCTTGACCAGTAATAAAAAAGAAAAATCCTGCAGATTAAGAAATCCCTGTTCGACAAAGGATAATTACCCTTTAGGTAATTCTGCCCACAATATTATGAACTTGCTAAATATTCTGTATTCCTGATACTATTATCATAATAGTAGATGTTTATTGAGCACTTACTCATAGCAAATATACTACCCTTTGTGTACCTTTATTCATTTAATCCTCATTCTGTTTGATGAGATGAGTATTGCTATTATTCCCCATTTTACAGATGTGGACACTGAAGCTTAGAGACGTCAGTTTGTTGTGGTCCTTCAGGTAATAAGTAGTGAAGAACTCAAAACAAGGCCTGTCTGACCTAGAGTTCCTGCTTTTAACATCTACCTAGATTGTCATACTGAAATATTTATTGATTTTCCACTGCAGGCACACCCCAGTAGTAGACACCTGGAGATGGTAAGCAATTGGTGCTGACCTTCTTTATGTAAGCTGTTATTCTGAGATGTACAAATTAACCTAAGCAATGCAAAATCAAAGATATATAAGTGATAGAATTAAAGAAAAAATATAATCTTAAAAGATCTTAAAAGGTTTGTGACCTTATGTCCGAAATTGGCGGGTTCTTGGTCTTGCTGACTTCAAGAATGAAGCCACAGACCCTCGCGGTGAGTGTTACAGCTCTTAAAGGCGGCGTGTCCAGAGTTGTTCATTCCTTCCGCTGGGTTCGTGGTCTCGCTGGCTTCAGGAGTGAAGCTGCAGACTTTCGCGGTGCATGTTACAGCTCATAAAGGCAACACAGACCCAAAGGGTGAGCAGCAGCAAGGTTTATCGTGAAGAGTGAAAGAACAAAGCTTCCACAGTATGGAAGGGGACTTCAGCATGTTGCTGCTGCTGGCTTGGGTGGCCTGCTTTTATTCCCTTATCTGGCCCCACCCACATGCTGCTGATTGGTCCATTTTACAGAGAGCTGATTGGTCCATTTTACAGAGAGCTGATTAGTCCGTTTTACAGACAGCTGATTGGTCCATTTTGACAGATTGTTGATTGGTGCATTTACAAACCTTTAGCTAGACACAGAGTGCCGATTGGCCATTTACAATCCTTTAGCTAGACACAAAAGTTCTCCAAGTCCCCACCTGATTAGCTAGACACAGAGAGCTGATTGGTACATTTACAAAACCTTTAGCTAGACACAGAGTGCTGATTGGTGCATTTACAATCCTTTAGCTAGACACAAAAGTTCTCCAAGTCCCCACCAGATTAGCTAGACACAGAGCGCTGATTGGTGCATTTACAACCCTTTAGCTAGACGCAGAGTGCTGATTGGTGCGTTTACAATCCTTTAGCTAGACACAGAGTGCTGATTGGTGCATTTACAATCCTTTAGCTAGACAGAAAAGTTCTCCAAGTCCCCACCCGACCCAGAAGCCCAGCTGGCTTCACCTCTCAATGGCCCTCGCGGTGGGACTTTGCAGCACCTAGCCCGGGCACTCCGGCAGCCCAGAGGGAGCTCATCCCCCAATCAAGCCCAGCAGGTGCCAGCCAGCTGTGCCAAGTGCGGGGCCCGCGGAACCCACGCACACCTGGAACCCCCGCCAGCCCGCAAGCCCCGGGCGCAGCCCCGGCTCCCGCTTGCACCTCTCCACGAGCTGAGGGAGCCGGCTCTGGCCTCGGCCAGCCCCAGAGAGGGGCCCCCACAGCGCAGCGGCAGGCTGAAGGGCTCCTCCAGCGCGGCCAGAGCGGACGCCGAGGCCGAGGAGGCACCAAGAGTGAACGAGGGCTGCTAGCACGTTGTCATCTCTCAACCTGATTGGATTGGAGGGGAGACTGATTTATCATTGCGTCCCACTGGCTTTGGCACTTGGAGCCTGTGCCTGGCCCTATAGCAGTTGGAGTTCAGTTCATTTGAGAAGTGGTAGCTATGGGTCAGGCCTGGTGCTGGACACGGAGATGACTAAGACTAAGCTCTGTATAAGGGACTTTGGTTTCCTGGGAGAGTGGATGGTGATAATGAGATAACATTGTCTTTGCTTAGGTACCAGATACCAAGTCTGATCCAAATTGATTTTGTAAGAAAAAAAATTTTTTTTTGAGACAGAGTCTTGCTCTTTCACCCAGGCTGGAGTGCAGTGGCGCAATCTCAGCTCACTGCAACCTCCACCTCCCTGGTTCAAGCAATTCTCATGCCTCAGCCTCCCAGGTAGCTGAGATTACAGATGTGCACCACCACACCCAGCTAATTTTTGTATTTTTAGTACAGACAGGTTTTCACCATGTTGGCCAGGCTGGGTCTTGAATTCCTGGCCTCATGTGATTCACCTCCCTTGGCCTCCCAAACTGCTGGGATTACAGGTGTGAGCCACTGCACCTGGCCTGTAAGAAATGTTTTATCCTCAGATTAGTTAGGAGAATGTGTTAAACAAAGTTAAATAAATTTTTTTAATTGCAGGATTTTGAGAGGTTATTGTAATTTGGGAAACACTGAAAGCAATCTGTTATTAGGTCACTTTCTCAGATTGCCTTGCTTATAGCATATCTTATTCCAGGTTAAATTTATGACCTTTATTAAAAACCCACAGAAAACCAAATACCACATGTTCTCACTTAAAGGTGAGAGTTAAACATTGAGTACGCATGGACACAGAGAAGGAACAATGGACACTAGGTCCTACTGGAGGGTGGAGGGCGGGAGGAGGGGGAGGATTGAAAAATGACCTGTTGGGTGCTGTGCTCATTACCTGGGTGACAAAGTAATCTGTACACCAAACCCCTTTGAAACATGTAACAAACCTGCGCATGCACCCCTGAACCTAAAATAAAAGTTGGAGGCTGGGTGTGATGGCTCATGCCTGTAATCCCAGCAGTTTGGGAGGCTGAGGTAGGAGGATCACTTGAGCCCAGGAGTTCGAGACCAGCCTGGGCAACAAAGTGAGATTCCATGTCTACAAGAAAAAAAGTTTTTTTAATTACCCGGGTGTGATGGCACATACCTGTAGTCCCAGCTACTGGGGAGGCGAGGTGGGATCTCCTGAGCCCAGGAGGTCGAGGCTGCAGTGAGCCAAGATTGCACCACTGCACTCCAGCCTGAGTGACGGAGTGAGCCCCTGTCTAAAAAAAAAAAAAAAAAAAAAAAAAAAAAAACACAAACTTGGAAAGAAAACAAAAACCAAAAAAGGAAAGAAAAACCTTTAGGAATGGCCCAATATTTTGCATTTGATAGTCAGGGAACTAAAAGGTCTTTTTATACCTCCTTAAATCACAAATTTTGCTTGCTGAAAAATATTTTATAACAAAAAGAGGTATGAAAGTAACTATTAAGGCAAGAGAATCATTAGGGAGCTTAAGGAGGGAGCAGCAGGAAGGGTTGATGACCCCCTTTCTCTAAGCCAGCTTCCCTTGCCGCTCCCCTCCCTGCCTTACTTCCCAGGACCCAAGTGACACTGATTAAATGTTCATTTTCCTAAAGTCTCTACCAAATTCACCCTGCAGTGAAAAGGGGCAATACAGATGGTGGCTTTGATTTCATCTCTGAAACAACTAACATAAGAACCCCAAATCATTAAAAGCCTGATTCAATAGTCAGTTGAATTCAACAATCAGAATGATTCATTTGAACCATTTCGAAGAAGAACTATTAAAAAGAATTAGCAGCCTGTCACCAAATAGCTGGTTTCTCTTCCAGTTCAAATGTGCTGTAGTTTTTTCCTGTGCGTTTTTTGTTTTGGAGAAGACTATGTTGAGCAGAAGAATAGACCAAATGTGAATTGTTTTAGGAGAAAGTTGACACCAAAATCACTATTGTATTTATAAAAAGTCAAAAAAAAGTATGGGAATTCTTAAGACACATCATTTTGCAGCAATATTAGATATATCCATGAACCAACTACAGCATAAAGGATGCAGGGCAGAAAAGAAAATGGGAGGGCATTGGATAGTACCATTATGAACAAACATTACAGAGTACTGACTGTGAAGCAGAGTCTAACACAGAGACCCTGCCTACATCAGACGCTGCTTAGATAAAGGGGACAGACACATGCTCAAAACCTTATAAACAGCAGTGCACCCTGTCATGCTTAGTGTGAAGTGAGTGCTATAGACGGATAGTCTGAGAGTTCAGATAGGGTGCGTTAGGCAGAATGATGCTATCCCCCTCCGCACAAAGATGTCCACATCGTAATCCCTGGAACCTGCAAATATGTCACATTTCCATGGCAAAGGAGTATTAAGGTTGTGAGTCAACTTGACATAGGGAGATTATTCTGGATTATCCTGGTGTACCCAGTGTCATCATAAAAGTCCTTTAAAGTAGAAGAGGGAGGTAGATGAGGAAACCAGTCAGAAAGAGATTTTTAAATGCTACACTATTGGAGGAAAGGACGACAAGCCAAGGAATGCAAGTGACCTCAGGAAGCTGCGAAAGGCAAGGAAAGGGATTCTCTCCTAGAGCATCGAAAGGGAATGTAGCCTGGCAAACACCTTAATGCAGCGGTCCCCAACCTTTTTGGCACCAGGGGCTGGTCTCATGGAAGACAATTTTTCCATGGACCAGGTGCAGAGGGCTGGTTTCAGGATCATTCAAACATATTACATTTATCGTGTACTTTATTTATATTATTATTACATTATAATATATAATAATTATACAACTCACCATAATGTAGAATCAGTGGGAGCCCTGAGCTGGTTTTCCTGCAACTAGATGGTCCCATCTGGGGGTGATGGGAGACAGTGACAGATCATCAGACATTAGATTCTCATAAGGAACACAAAGCCTAGATCCCTCCCATGTGCGGTTCACAATAGGGTTCAAGCTCCTATGAGGATCTAATGTGGATGCTTATCTGACAGTAGGCAGAGCTCAGGCAGAAATTCTTGCTTGCTTCCTGCCCTGTGGCCCAGTTCCTAACAGGCCATAGACTGGTACTGGTCCATGGCAGAGGGGTTGGGGACCCCCGCATTAATGGGTCTGGGGATACTCATTTTGACTTCTGGCCTCTAGAACTTTAAGATAATACATTTTTGTTGTCTTAAGCTGCTAAGTTTGTGGTAATTTGGTACAGCAGCAGTAAGAAATGAATACAAGGATGCTGAAGAGAGAGAGGAATCAGGGACAGCTTCATGGAGAAGGTGGTTCTTGAGCCATGCATTAAAGATATTAAGAGTGGTAGTCACAGAATTAGAGTCATAGAATTGATGGTCTAGATATTGAACTAAACCTTTCATACCCTTTAATTCATTTATCCTCATAAAAACTCCATAAGGATAGTATTTTCCCCTGTTTTGTAGATGAGAAAACTGAGGCTTAGGGAGGTTAAGTGACTTGTACAGTCACTATGATGCAGTATCATTTGCTACAACTAGTTAATAGCTGGCCTTTTAACAACATGACGGCAGCTGACATTTGTGGTATGCTTAAGTGTACAGACAGGGTGCTAAGAATGTCACTGGCATTATCTCATTTAATCCTCTGAAGATCTAAGTGATTTATAATTTTCTGAGGCCTAGATTTATTTGGCCAGCAATGTGATTGGGTTAGAGGGAAGAAACTGGGGCCAGAAAATCCAGTCAGGACATAAGAGTCCAGACAATTGCTGATAAGAACCTAAAATGAGGGTAAAAACAGTGGGGATGGGAAGGAGAAAACATTCCAGAGATAGTCTGCTTCTTTGTTGAAACATAAATTCTTTTTTGAGACAGAGTCTTCCTCCATCCCCCAGGCTGGAGTGCAGTGGCGTGACCTCAGCTGACTGCAACCTCCGCCTCCCGGGTTCAAGCGATTCTCCTGCCTCAGCATCCTGAGCAGCTGGGATTACAGGTGTGCGCCACCATGTCCAGCTAATTTTTGTAGTTTTACTAGAGACAGGGTTTCACCATGTTGGCCAGTCTGGTCTTGAACTCCTGACCTCAAGTGATCCGCCCACCTCAGCCTCCCAAAGTGCTGGGATTACAGGCATGAGCCACCCCAGCCAGCCAAGACATAAATTCTTGTTTGAAGAAACTTCCTTTCCATCTCCAATTCTTCCCTTCCTGGGTAATTAGAGTACTGCATTTTAATGAATTTTAATGAATTTAGGCACTTTAATTAATGAACGATGTCACTATTGATAGTGCTGTAGACCAGACTTTCCCACTTACCCATGGAAGCATGGGCAGCAGCAGCCATGTAAACTTCTCTGTAGTATGTCTTATTTCTCCCCTGCAGTGGTAACTGACAGAGACCCTCTTTAATTTCTTGGCTTTTTTAACCAAGAGAGTAGGAATTTTCTGACTTAATGTGTTATTTCAGCAACAACAAATATATATTTATTGAAAAGGTATCATTTAAAAGAACAATAGACCATCACTGTGGGAATCTCAAATGTAAATAAAAATCAGTTTGGAGACACACCTAAACAAGGCTGTCAAATAGAAAGCAGAGGTGGATTCATATTAGTTGGTGTCAGTAACTTTGTAGAATGAGCACTGCCTTCTTTTCAAGTGTATGTATATATATGCTTGAAGTATATACTTGAAATATATATATATATTTGCAGTTTTCTCTCTCTAAATATAGGAACCATTTAAGGTTTTTAGAAAAGTTATTTGAAATTCTGATATCTGATAAGTAAAATCCCATCCATGGTCTATTTGTTTGGAATCAATTATGCAATCTTTTAAAGAATCACCAAAGTAAGATGTATGAACACTGGATATCTTATGTCTTATAATGGATGAGTTCATTGTTTTATTTATTCTGCTTGTCATAAGTAAAGATGTAATGACATTGCTGCTGCAAATAATTTGTTTTCAGCCCCAAGGAACCTTTAGGTAATTCTGAATGGCACAAAGGGTTTATATAGGGTTCATCCATATTTTAAAAATAATATATACCGTATATACTCCCAAGCTGGAACTTAACAGTAATGCTTGGGAGTATGCTACAGAATCGCTTCATTGGTAATGCATCTGCTAAAGAGATTTTGGTATGCCAAGATGAGATATAAGATGGACACTTTGGCCGGGGATGGTGGCTCACACCTATAATCCCAGCACTTTGGGAGGCTGAGGTGGCTGGATCATGAGGTCAGGAGTTCGAGACCAGCCTGGCCAATATGGTGAAACCCCATCTCTACTAAAAATACAAAAATTAGCCGGGCATGGTGGCATGCACCTGTAGTCCCAGCTGAGGCAGAAGAATCACTTGAACCTGGGAGGCAGAGATTGCAGTGAGCCGAGATTGCACTCCAGCCTGGGTGACAGAGTGAGACTCTGTCTCAATTAAAAAAAAAAAAAAAAAGACTCACTTTAAACCACTTCTTACTCCATTGTGAGTATATCTGTGTATATTCATTCATGTAGACTGAGCCTTGCCCTTAATTTCAAAGAATGATTTCAGGTCTTTCATTTCCAACTTGAGTCAGTAAAGTAAGTCCCTACCCAATGGGGTTTGATTTTTCTCTCCTGTTAAGTGATCAAAGCTAAATCATCAAAGCCTGAATGTCTTACAACAGATTCTAATAAGTTCTGAGTTGGCTATTCTTCTTAGTTTTAATCAAAGCAAAGATGGCATTTGCATTTTTGTCATCTCCATTTCAAAGTATTATTAGAGTCAGAATCACCCTGAATGGTTCCACATCAGTAGGATCTGCGTAGCCGTACCCAAAAACTGTCTGTGCCAGAACAGGGGCCCATTTCTACGTAAGTGGCGTAACACCTAAATACATAAACATTGGAATCATATGTCTAGATTACATAGAACCAAGTTGACATGAAAGGAAAATGTGGATAATCTGGAGTTCTTACACAGAATCCTTGACCCATGATAGCATCCCACCACTCCCCTAACTGTTCTTCAGTCCCCTTGACATACCATGGGTTCCCCCATTGCATCCCTCACATCTCCCCCACAGCATTTATACACACACAACCAATAGTCTTTGTGCCAGCTCTGCCTTGTTTTTTGTTTTTGTTTTTGTTTTTGAGACAGAGTTTCACTCCGTCACCCAGGCTGGAATGCAGTGGCGTGATTTTGGCTCACTGCACCCTTCATCTCCCGAGCTCAAGTGATCCTCCCACCTCAGCCCGCAGAGTAGCTGGGATTACAGGCGTGCACCACCACGTCCAGCTAATTTTTTTGTACTTTTGGTAGAGATGCGGTTTTGCCATGTTGGCCAGGCTGGTCCCAAACTCCTGACCTCAGGTGATCCACCCACCTCGGCCTCCCAAAGTACTGGGATTACAGGTGTGAACCACTGCACCCAGCCTCTGCCTTGTTTTCTGTCTTTGTTCTACTTACAGAGTACTTTTCTATTCCTCAGTTAGCCTTATTAACCATGAGGCATGGATGAGAGGGACAGGGAATGGAAGAGCGGGGTGTGTGTGTGTATGTGTGTGTGTGATACATATCTATAAAACCATTACATGGTTACCCAGCCATGGTTACCCTCACACTGAGTATATACTGCTGGTCTTTGAGTGACCTAAACCATCATGCTCTGCTGGGCAGGCCCCTGGAATAAGTATATCATCCACAGCAAATGTGTAGCATTTGGCAAATTTTAGAGTTAAGGCATTTTATTTTTAATAACTCTTTTTTTCATAGAAATGATGAGACTTTGGGCTAGAAAGTTATTCATATGATTTCTAAATATGCAGAAGTTCAGAAAACCTTTAGAAATATTCTCCCCCAATTAATTTGAAAATTAGAAACTAAAAAATTGGAAGGCTGAGCACAGTGGCTCATGCCTGCAATCCCAACACTTTGGGAGGCCAAGGCAGGAGGATCGCTTGAGTCCCGAAGTTTGAGACCAGCCTGGACAAAATAGGGAGACCCTGTCTCTACAAAAAAAAAAAAAAAAATTTAATTAGCTAGGCGTGGTGGCATGTGCCTGTAATCCTAACTACTTCAACTACTTGGGAGGCTGAGATGGGAGGATCACTTGAGCTCAGGAGCTCAAGGCTGCAGTGAGCTGTGATTGCACCACTGCACTCCAGCCTGGAGTACAGAGCGAAACCTTGTCTCAAAAGAAAAAAAAAAAGAAAAGAAAAAATTCAGAGAATGTGCTGAAGAGTATTTGATTTAAAATAAAATCCATACACTTAAAGCACTATATATAGCCAAGATTAAATTTCCATGTTTGCTATAGATCTGTTCTCATTCTTGGGCTTTCATCCAAATGTTTTGTTATTGTTGGCAAGAAAGCAGATTCTGAATCCACCCTCAGTGATTTGTTTTGTTCAGTCTTGGCTTTTGGAACAAAATAATAACCACTTATTATTTTGCCAAAAAATTTATTTCTACTAATATATTTCTTGACAATTGCACAATAATCTTGACTATCATGAAAATTACTTTAAAATGTAAGTATATGAAAAAGTATAAGTATATAAGACACACAGATACGCAACACACACCCCATTATTTATATGTATTTAAGCTAAAAGATGGCTTTATGGCAAAATGTGAAATCCAAATATTTGTATACTTTGAGGGAAAAGATCAAGCCAAGAACATGTGTTTCAATTTGTTTTTCATGGTCAAGAGGTGAGGGATGGGAAATATTGTGAGTAATGGATAATTTACCCTTACCCTCAAATTATCAACTATGTGAATTCTTAGGAGTAACATTTTATAAGTACTGCGTATCTATATTTACACAGGAATGTAACACAGATAACACTAATAGTGAATTTGGGGGGAAAATTTTAAAATTTCCCCCAGCAGATAATCAAGTCTTTTGTTGAATTTTAATTACTGGTTCAATAGAAAAGTGCTATGAGAAGACATTTGTATTTTCTTAGAGCAGAAAGTATAAAAATGACTGTAGAATTTCCTGTTTTAACCAAGAACGAAGGAGAGCTGTGAGCCATTTGCTTCCTGAGTGGCCACATTCCAGCTGTGCAGACTGGTCATAGCACATCTGCCAATCAGAACAGGCCCTGGAGGGAAGCCCTTGGATACTGAGTCTTGTTTACATGCATCGTGACTCTGTTTCTCCCTTCCTCTTGTGTGTTGTACCACTAGGAAGATTAGTGGGGAAATTTGCTATTACATGCCTAAGTAAACTATGTAACTAGGATCACAGCCACAGGAAATGATGTTCTGGACAGAGTTTTAGCTCGGCTTTAGCCACAGGTAAGAGTTGTTGCTTTGTTATATGAGGATAGCTAATCTGTATTCAGTTTCTGGCTTTACTTTGAGACATTATACTTCATTTTTGTAGCGAAGCTAGCAGGCTAAAAACTGGAGAATGATTGAGAGAAATGATTTAAATGTGCCCTGCGTTACTATGACTTTAAAATCTTAATACTCATCAAATGAAAAACATGATATTTTCATTTAAGGGAGGGGTAAAACCAAGTTAAATTAAAACAGAAAAGTTTTAAAAGCTGCAGTAATACTAAGTCACAGTGTAGAAAAATTGGAACCAGAAATGTGCTAACACTATGTGTTTGGAAATCATTATATCTAAGCAGGCATGCTTTATTGTGAATCTTTTTACTTATTAGTCTTTCAGAGAACAGTGTTTTCATGAGTACTAACTCTTTGGCTTTGAAAAACATTTCTTTTTTATTATGAACTCATTCAGAAAGAATTGTTACATACGTTTAACTGTGTAAATCCTATTCCTTTTCTTCCATATTTCTTTCTAGAAGTTTTAGAGTATGTTTCATAATCCTCTTATTCTGTTCTAACAGCAATAAAATTAAGGAAAAACTAAAAGCATTCCTGTCTTAATCTTTACGTTGCCATTAAATTCTATCTTGTTAGCATTAATTCAGAAGATACTATAGAAAACTGTATTTTGATAATATTCCATAGGATTTTTTCTTAACGTCATTGCTTAGGATATATTGTGGTTTGTATATTGCTTCATATTGTTTATTTTTGCATAACACTGCGGCCTTTTACTTCATTTATTTTTAATTCTTAAGCATATAGTGGAGGAAAAATTGTTACTCAGGTTCAAAAAAGACAACCTGTGGGTTTTATGGTTCTCTTGTATATGATAGTCTCAAGGTTGATTAATAGCATGTTACAGCAGTCTAGAGAGTCACTTTTGAAAAGTTCAAGCATCTGTGCTCTTATTTCTTACCCTATAGCAGGGTTTCTCGACCTCTGCACTGCTGACATTTTGGATGAGATAATTCTTTTGGTGAAAGGGACCGCTCTATGCATTGTAGGATCTTTAGCAACATTCCTGCTTTCTACCCATGAGAGTTCCCTTCTTCCCAGTTGTGACGATCAAAAATTTTATATAGAGAGCACATTATATCTAATTACTGGAGAAACATTGAAATCCAACTTCTGAAATGTTCTGGGTGGTAGATAGTTAAGGGTGAAGCTGTATTGGTCTTAGTATTTGCAGATGTTGTAGCTGACTGCTCATTTTTCCCCCTCCCCATTCTGTTAGAAGCTTCTGCCAACCATGATTCATGGAATGATTTTTTTGAGCTGAGTAATCTGTGGCTTTGCAGTTTCCTTGCTTTCTTTCCTTAGCTAAATCTCTTCTAGTGTTAGCAAAGTATTTAGCACAGGAAAGATCTTATAAAATGAAATAATGCATGTAATGATGCATTTTCCAAGTAGATGATTTTAACAAACCGTAAGCTTTTATGCCTGTCCTTCATTGTGTCTTTTCTGCCTCTGTCAGGCGAACTGTGATGAAGAGCCTTATACTTAGGAAGACACAACTACCTTTGAACAGTCCTTTGTGAAATCTAATGGTATGGCAGCTGGTATTTAAAAACTTCTTTCCAGAGCTTTTAAAGAACCTTTTGACACGTAACCATCTTCTTTCTCTACAGATCGCAACGAACGAAATAAACCAGAACATCGTTCTTCAAGGTATGAATTTACAGTATCTAATAATTCTGTATAAAGCTTCTTATTTGAAAAGTATTGTTTGGAAGCAATGTAAGTGTCCTCTTTAGAGTTACTGTCTATTGGAATCTTCTGTAGCATTCAGAGAAGCTTCATAAGGGAAATCTTATTCATTCTCTGAATTAAAATTTCACATAAAACTATTGACTACCTGGAAAACATGTTTTATTTTAGGAATTCCCATCAGTGACAGATATATTTTCGTAAAAATTATTTTACTCTCATTTATTAGTTTTTGTGACTTATTTTCCTCCCCTCCCTTTAACCAGTATTTTTGTAAGTGTGTACTGCTGTTTTCCTAATCATAAAACTAATATAGGCTCACTGTAGAAATTTAAAAGATATTTTAAAAATACAAAGCATGAAAAAAGCAGAACAAAACAAAACCCAGACTGCCTTCCATCAGCCAGAGATGGCTGGCTATTGCTAAAATTTTGGTACATTTCTTTCTAGACTTTTAGATTATATATGTATGTATATATTCAAATGGATTATTTTATGTTTTTGTTAGGTATTTCAAGTGGCCAGGAAGGTTGTATCACTTAAGCTCTCAACCACACTGAGTGTATTTCACTAGAATTCTCCAACACTGAAGAGTACATTAAAAAATCCTTGTCAAACTTATAGGTGAAAAATTGTCTGACTTCTCATAGGCAGGACTGACAGGCTATATTTAATATTTGTAACCCAGTACTATGAAAGATTATAATTTTTCTAATATTAATTTCTTTTTATTCCACATTCTACCACCTTTTTTGATGTTTTATTTTGTGGGAATTGTTAAAGTAATGTACTCATTGGATTGACTGCTCTGGTAAGCCAAATCCTGGTGCTTTTTCAAGAGATCAAACCCTAGAGTGCATTGACCTCAATCAATAAAAATATAAGATCTATAAAAATTTCATTGCTTAGAATAGCAATGCGTTTTGCAGAAATTGTCAATCAAAATAAGTTAGTGAGACCTAATCTGAGAGAAGAATATAGCTGGGTATTTAGAATATTGACTGATTTTTTTTCCAGGTACAATTTACATATGTTAAAATTCATTCTTTTTTGTGTATAATCTTACTAGTTTTGATAGGCATGTACAATTATGTATCTACCACCATAATCATTAAACAGTTCGTAAGATTCTTTTATATTAGATACTTAAAGAAAAATAGCAGCCAGGCATGGTGGTTCACACCTGTAATCGCAGCTACTTGGGAGGCTGAGGCAGGAGGATCGCTTGAGCCCAGGAGTTCAAGACTAGCCTAGGCAACATAGCAAAACACTGTCTCATCTCTGTTAAAAATAAAAATAAGGCAATGTAAGAGAAAGGACTTTGACAGCATGCTTAACTGTGAGTGACATAAAGTTGGAAGAGTCAAAAATACTTAGGATGGTAAAACCAGGATCCCCAAGACCTTTGACATTCTGAAGATTGGACTGAACTGAGCAATATGAATTTTAATAGGCACAAATGGAAACCCTTAGAATGAAACACCAGTGGAACATAAAAAGATAAGGGAGATGTGACTTAGCAATATTTTTGAAAAAGTCTGAAGGATTTAGTTCTTCATAAATTTACCATGAATCAAAAATCTTATGTCATTACATCTACCTTCCCCCAAAAAAGTCTGCACCGATTTGATTACACTGAAAGAAGTTTAATGTTCAGGCTAAAAGTGGTAGCTCTAGATCATACTTTTTTTTTTTCTTTGAGATGGAGTCTCGCCCTGTTTCCCAGGCTGGAGTGCAGTGGCACAATCTCGGCTCACTGCAAGCTCCGCCTCCTGGATTGACGCCATTCTCCTGCCTCAGCCTCCCGAGTAGCTGGGACTACAGGTGCCCGCCACCATGCCTGGCTAATTTTTTGTGTTTTTAGTAGAGACGGGGTTTCACCATGTTAGCCAGGGTGGTCTCGATCTCTTGACCTCGTGATCCACCTGCCTCGGCCTCCCAAGGTGCTGGGATTACAGGCGTGAGCCACCGTGCCCGGCCTAGATCATACTTTTGATATTCTGTTCAATTTGGGGTCCACAAGACCTTGAAAAACTGAAGTATGCAGTGGAGTGACTGTATAGATACCACATGGAGACCTTAAAAAACAAAACAAAACAGAATCCCATGCCCAACCCCAGATATTCTATTTAATAAGTCTCAAATGAATCCTCAAAATCTGTATATTAAACAAGTCCCCCAGTGATTCTGATGCGTAGTCAGGTTGGGGACCACTGGTCTAGAATATAGCAGCTGAGTTGGGACAGGGAAGATGAAAAAAAAGAGTAAGATAAAAGTCAAAGCTAAACCATAGGAAGACTGGTGTGAGGAACTGGGAGAACTTAGCCCAGATGTGAAAGTTTGGGGAAGTGCATGGGATGGAAACGATAACTGGCTTCAAACACCCAGAGGCTGATACGTGGAGGAAACTAGCAGAATTCTTCCTAATAAATGCTGTTCCCTACTAAGAGGAATGCTGGCCACTGGAGGAATGGCGGATTCTGGGTCTGGGCTAAGGGAAAATACAAGATGATCCTGGACATCTAGTTGTGATAGAAAGCTAGGAAGTGCTCAACTAATGGGGTCATGTTGAAAAGACAGATGGTAGCATCAAGGGATTTTCACTGGCCAAATTTTGGGGTAATTTGAGTATCCAAAAAAAATGATGATAATGGATCCCATGTAGGAGAAATGACAGAACTTAGAAAATCATCATTTTGTAATTCTCAAAGTAATAGTTGATGCAGGCAAAGATCATCAGTGGCAGCTAAAACTTCTGTAAAAAGTTGTTGGGAAACATCAAAAGATACCAGCTGCTGTTGAAAAAAAAAAAAAGTTGTTGGGAAAAGTTGTTAAAATATCACCCCACAGATCAGTTTTTAATTGCAAAGGGGGAAAATTTACCATTTCAATGGAGAGACCTAGTGGTCACCATCTAAATCAAGTAGTCAACATGTATATTATCACTAGTGAGATAAGCAGTACACTTATGTAGTAGTCCTAAGGAAAAAAAAAAAAAAAAAAAGGCTGGGAGAATATTCCAGGTAACAAGAGACCAAAGAGGCCGGGCGCGTTGGCTCACACCTGTAATCCCAGCATTTTGGGAGGCCAAGGCAGGTGAATCATTTGAGGTCAGGAGTTCGAGGCCAGACTGGCCAAAATGATGGCCAACTCCATCTCTACTAACAATTAGCTGGGCATGGTGGTGCATGCCTGTAATCCCAGCTACTTGTGAGGCCAAGGCAGGAGAATTACTTGAACCCGGGAGGCAGAGGTTGCAGTGAGCCAAGATCACTCCACTGCGCTCCAGTCTGGGCAACAGAGTGAGACTCCGTCTCAAAAAAAAAAAAAAAAAAAAAAAGAGAGAGAGAGACCAAAGAGATATTAACAACCAAATCTAATATGTGAATTTAAAAAAAAAATCTAGGACTAAAAAATCCCAACTTTAAAAAAGGTTGGGGAGGGGATAATTTAAACATGGATGTTATTTTAAATAATATTTTATTAAACATTACTTTTTAAGGTGTAGAATAGAAATGTTATTATGCAGGAGAATGTGATTCTTAGGAGATATATGCCAAAGTATTAATGTAAGGGTGATATAGTTTTATGTTTGCAAATAAATCTCAATTCAGGGGGAAAAAACCCAGGATGAGCAATAAAGAAGCAGATATTGGAAACTGTTAATAATTGGTGAATAGATGAAAGGCATATAGGTGTTACTTATACTGTTTCTTCAGCTTTTTTGTAGACATGAAAATTTCAAAATAGAAGGACACAGTGGAGAGAACTGTTGTGTGTGTTCCTGGGAGTCCCAGAGGGAGGACAGAATGCACCTCTGTGGGTGGAACTTGGAGGGGGATATATTTCTGCACAAAATGAGGAAGAATTTCCTGACAGAGCTGGTCAAAAATGGAATGGGCTACTCTGTGAAGTAATGCTGTCAAAGAAAAGCTAAATAAGCTAGCGCTGGAAATAAAAATAGAGAAGATTCATGCATGGCTAAGTCATTATTCTAGATGGCTCCAGCTCCTTGCTCACTAATAGCCAATAAATATCTCTTGTGAGTCTCTGTTCTGGCTCAGAATACAATAGAAAATAAGAAAAAGTCTCCAGGTTGAAGGAGGGTCCATTGTTGTGGACTTACACTCCCAATCTCTGAGAATCTATTGACCCTAAAGTGAAGTTCCCAGTCTTTACAGTTATATTTTAGGCAATGCTGTGGTACCTTTGAGGGTATTCGGAAAGTATTCTCAGTATTTTTAATCTCTTATTTATACTGTCAAGTTCTTTAGGACTGTGCTATTGGTCTTGGTAACCCTGACACTTAGTAGATTGCCTGGCCCACAATAAACAATAAATAATTGTTGAATAAATAAATGCCAAAGGTATTTTGAGGAGAGAAAGGGAAATATCAGTATTTTTACCTTACAAATCGGGAAGAACCTGACTCTCAAAAGCTCGCCCACGACTATTATTGGATCTGTGTGTTACAACAGCAAGGAGTGATGCCCTATAAGAAAGGAGAAATGTTTTTTCAGGAAAGGACATCGTTTTCTGTCCAGGGTATCTGCTGACATTGGCGGTGACCTGTTCTCCTGCCATCCTCAGCTGAGCAGGGCTACCCCGCCAGGCCAGCAGTGCATCAAGCAGATTAATACCTGCTGCATCAACAGAGCAGAAAGAAGAAAATATAAACAAAAAGTCATTTAATTTTGGTATGTTTTTCGGTTCTCCTCAGGCCACTTGGCAACAAGAATGATGGGCTCCAAGCCCAACAGGGATAACAGAAATGCATTTCTCTTGTTTGTGTTTTTAGAGGCCAAGCACTCCTATAGCTTTCATAGTAAGAGGTGAATAAATCTGGGACGTCTGCCTGTTCTTTCACCTCAGTGCTAAACTAAGAAGGAAAACATAATTCTTGTCAAGTTAAAGGAAAAGTTTTATCATATGTAGGCCAACACTAAGACCCCAAGCAAAAGGCATCCTGGGTGGTTTTTGATTACTTTGTTTTGATGTTGATTTGCTTGCTGCCGATTGATTGATACACATGTGAGAAATATCTGCGTTGTTCTTGTCTCAACCTTACTAGTTTAAACACACCATTTCCCAAATTGATGTCCCACAGAACTCTCTTCTGTAGATTATTAATCAGTATGTCAAGAAATAAGTGTTAATATGCAGAAAAGTTTATGAAATGGTGAGTTAAACAAAATTAGCCATATTTCTTTACTGTGATGCTCCTCAGAGTCTTTGATACACTCAAGTACATTATAAAACTCCAAGTGAGAGCTATACTACACACTCGTTTAAAAATTTATTTGAATTTATAACTTCTTTTCCCAGACATAGCTATTAATAACATCTAGGAAAAAGTACCATGGAGTGGCAGTTTGGGAAACGAATTAGAGGGAAGTAGGAGCTAAAGATAATAAAGAATGTTAAGCCCTATGGCAGTCAGTGCCACCAATAGAAAATTAAGAGCTCTTTTTACCATCCCACCAGCTCTAAATAATAGATCTTGATGACTTAGGGGTCTGAACTACCAGCTAATTCATCTCAAATGTTTTATCTACTACAAGGAAATATTTTACAGCAGCAAAAAAAGAAGGCGGCAAAACAAAGAACCTTAAATCTATTTCTCAAAAATTGTCATTTGAATCTTGGCCTCCCTAAAGTCTTCTTATAGTGACCTGTCATAATCCCCTTTGATATCCATTCATAAAATTAAATGAAATTTCATTAAAAATCATAGAAGTAAGAAAATGGAAATTCAGCAAAGTGATTCTTAGATGTATAAGGAAGAGCAAGACTAACCAAGGCAACTTTGAAGATCAAAGAGGAGAGGTGAACTCTTTTAAGTAATTAAGACAGTCTTTTGTCAGCAAACCTAGAAATAGGTTGTTGAAGCAGACTAAAGAGCCCACAGACATAGATGAATGCATAGAGTTCTGTGTCATGTGGTATGATAGAGGCAGCATTACGGATCAATGAGGGAAAGCTGGTATGTCAACAGATGGTGCTTGAATAACTGATTATCCATATTTTTAATCTACACGGAATTTGATTTATCTTATGACATGAGATAAAAATCTAAAGAAATGAAGTAAAATGGAAACATTTCAAAGAAATATATAAGAATATCTTTATGAGGTAGTGAGTTCTTAAGGGTCAACAAATACAAACCATGAAGAAAAAGACTGATAAATCTGACTATGTGAAAATTTAAGATTTATGTACATGAATACATCGGAAGCATGTGAAAAGGGAAGTCATGACTGTGCAGTGCACGTAGGTGACAAAGGTTAGTATCCAGGATAAAGAAAAACTACGCATACGGAAGAAAAAGACAAGTAAATACAGGTAGGGAACACATAAAAGATGAAACCTAAGTAACCAGTTAATATATGAAAAGATTCTTCACCTTGCTAGGATTAAGATGTGCACTAACATGGTAATGAGATACCATTTCACTTCCATGGAATTGGCACAGAACTCTCAAAGACTGAAAATACCAAGTACATATGAGAGTATGTAATTTGGTACAACTGTAAGGAAGACTTTATTCAGGACTATCAAGATAGGTATAGGGACAACTGCAATGGGATTTTGCAGTCGGGGAGTTAGGTCGGGCTCAACTCATGGGCAAGTGGGAATTTATAGTAAAAGAGCAGGGCGTGGGGGTCAGTGGATAGAAAATTACTGAGAGGAGACATCGGGGATAAAGGGGATTATAGCTAAGTTGACCTAATAGGATTCTTGCTGAAGTCAGACCAGGGTGATCAGACATCACCAAGAGGATGGCAGGGGATTGAACCTGATCAGATGTTAAGAGTAATCTGATATTGAAGATGAGGATTCTTGCTAAACTGACTTACTGCCAAAACTGGATTTTACAAGGAAGTACACAGATGGGACTAGGAAAAGTTTCAGAATCTTTGTCAGTTCAGAGTAGCCCTGTTTGAATTAAGGATATGTAGTATGTGAGAACATGGATACATCTCAGAAACATAATTTTGGATGACAAAAGCAAGCTGTAGAAGGATAGTTACAGTATAATGCCATTTATATAAAGCAGAAGTCAGCAAATGGGTCAAATCTGGCCTGCCACCATTTTTTAATTAAAATATTACAGGAACTCAGCCATGTCCATTTGCATATCATCTTGGGCTGCTTTCACATTACAACAGGAGAGTTGTACCAACAGGGACCACATGGCAAAACACAAATAATACATTGTTTGTTGTATATTTTTATGACTACGTATAGGTACTAAAAGTATAAAAAGATGTGCGGAAGTCATAAATAGTGAAATTAGGGTATTGATTATCAAATGAATGGGCCAGGAAAGGATCCACAGGGAGCTTCAAGTGTATCTTGACTGTTTTATTTCTTAAGCTAAGAGATAGGATTTGCAATATTATCTATACTTTTTTAAACTCCTGGGAATTAGCTGGGCATGATGACTCATGCCTGTAGTCCTAGCTGCTTGGGAGGCTACGGTGGGAGGATTGCTTGATCCCAGGAGTTTGGTGAACTATGATCACACCACTGTATCCCAGCCTGCATGACAGAGTGAGACCCTGTCTCTTAAAAAAGAAAGAAAAAAAAAAAACTCTGCATAGTTTCATAATTTTTTTTTAAATGGCATCAGGAGACCTTTTTGAATCCTATGGCAATGATAAAGATGTTTTTATAGGACATGAGTATAAAATTGAGTGAATTCTTTTTAAAGAGAAAAATTGAGGAAATAGTCAAGAATGTTCAGAAAAAATTGATTAAACACTTCAGATTTTACCTGTACTTATAGACCTGCTCCCATGTCTCCTTTTACTAGAAGCATCTTGTATTTCTCTGCAAATTTTTCTCTTTTTTGGCACTTAAGAGTTCTACAACTAACACGTGAAAACATGTTTTAATAGTACAGAAACATGTGGTATCTGCCTTTATCCCATAGGTGACTTAAGAGTGGTGGTTCAGTGTCTATCCTAGTCTGCTTTCTATGCATATATATAGCATATATTTAAATAATATTTAGAACAAATGGGGATATATATATGTGTGTGTATGTGTAGTATGTGTGCTTATATGTATGTTTGTATATCTGTATACATATATATGTGTTTCTGTCAATTTGACTTTTTTAACTTATTTAGAAAGTATTACCATGTCAGTTTCCACTTCATTATTTTTTTAACTACTGCATAAAATTTTCCAGTGTAACCTTATTATAATTTATTTAACCAGTCCTTTAGGTTGTTTCCAATTCATTGCAGTTAGAAATGATGTTGCAATAAGCATCTTTATGTTCATATCTTTGTGTATAGATGTGTAGGAAAACCTTTATTGTTCTTCCAAGATAGATTTTTTTTTTGTTTTCATTCACAATTACTTTTAAGTTTTTAAATTTTATGTGCCGTACATGTCTGTTTGCTTCCCAAATCTCAGATAGCTTCCTGGTGTTTGGTACTGTTCCAAGTTCTCTAGAGCCCATTACAACTTCCCTCCCCATAATGTGGCCTGAAATGTCACCCAGCACAGGGAGAGACTGAAACTCAACATGCAGAATATTTGTAGCACATAGTTTAGTACTCTCAGAGTTAATAGTTGGTGATGTTAAAACTCATAGCAATCACTATATCATTACGAATTTAAAAGGGTCTTGGTTCTCTGCATTGGTATCCTTTTGTTGATTTTATGAAGATGTTGAAGATTTTATTTTGACACTTTACCATCATCACATTGTGGTTTAAATAGATTAGCTAAAAGCAAAAGATTTAACTTGTTTTAGCTGTTCTCTTTTCTAAGTATGTCTATCAAAATACCATGCTCTGCTGGGGTTAGTTTAATACTGAAATTCTGTAGCATTTCCCTGACCATATGTTTTGATACCTGTACCTCTATAAACTATAGCTCTGTGTAATTACTTTCTGGCATTATGTTTTCTAAGCAATAAGAGAAACATTACTTTTGCTGCAGCATCTGTAATGCCATAAACAAGGTGAAACATTTAAATATATACAGGTTTTGTGGGCGGGAAATTCTTTTGCAAAGGAAGATGTGAAAGGACTATTAACATTTTTTTGTCATCCTACAGAGAATACACACACACACACACACACACACACACACACACACACACACACACACAGTGTTGTTTTGTTGTGGTTTTCAGAAATGTAACTTTAGCATTTCCCCCTAGTGTGATGGGAATGAAAATGAAGCATGTATATGGTGTAGCAGTTGGGTAATTGAAAAGTTTTATTGGCTGGTCTACCACTGCCATAGTACTTAGTGTGGGGCTTTTCTGAAGTTGTTTCAAATTAAACTATCAGCAGGCAGTTAACTTTGGAACAGCAGCTGGTCTTGTGTTTATTACTTTTTCTCAAGATGGGCTTGTTGGCCACCCATTTCTCAGCAGTCCAGGGCGCATGGAACTCCTGGCCCTTAAATTTTTTTCATCCTAATTCTTTCCTCTCTTTCCCTTGGGTTATATTTTATATTAGTTATTTACCTTTCTGCAGTATAATTTAGAAGTAGTTGTTTATACAGTTCTACAAAATGTTGGTTAAACAGCCTGTAGTCAAGTGAAGTTTGTATACATCTTTGTGGCCCTCAATCTATCCTTAGGTTATGGTTTTACTCCAACTAATAAATATCCTTGGGAAAGTGGACTTTAAATTTTTATTCAAATATTTTCCCTTATTGAACACAGCATACATCACATTCTTCAAATGTATTGATTAGGACTGTACGCCACAGAAGCGTACTAGCTAATTCCTGGAAAAATCTTAGGACAGAATTACTGAACAGTCATTCATTAGCTCAATCACCTCCTGTCTCATTAAAAGTAAACTGCTGTTGATCGGAATTCAGTCTTGTCCTTAAAGGTAACACCCTGGCTGGGCGCGGTGGCTCATGCCTGTAATCCCAGCACTTTGGGAGGCCGAGATGGGCAGATCACGAGGTCAGGAGTTCGAGACCAGCCTGACCAGCATGGTGAAACCCTGTCTCTACTAAAAATACAAAAATTAGCCGGGCATGGTGGCATGCGCCTGTAATCCCAGCTAGCTACTCAGGAGGCTTGAGGCAGGAAAATCACTTGAACCCGGGAGGCAGAGGTTGCAGTGAGCCGAGAGTACGCCACTGCACTCCAGCCTGGGCAACAGAGCAAGACTCCGTCAAAAAAAAAAAAAGGTAAAACCCTTTCCTGAAACCAGAAATCAGGCCTGGTCCCAAGAATTCAATTTCAAGGTTTGAAGTATCTTTGTTGATTAGCAGCTCCTCTGCATAATAAATCAGAGCATTCATTTCTGCCCTCATGATAAGTTTTTGCCACTTCTAATCTCATTTTAGTTGTAGGCCATCTTTCCAGAAATGCAGAGTGAGCAAGCCAGCTCTTTTGCAACACTTCTAAATGCAGCAACATTTAAGGCAGGAATCCTGAAGGACTTGTTTGTGACCTTGCTTCCTTTTGGACAGGAGGATTGAGAATCAGTATCCTTTGTTAATTAAAAAAATGAAAGAATGGAAGGAAAGTATGGATTGTTTGGAGGCTTCAGAGTAACATTGTGTCTACAATACAAACATTCCCTCAACTATAAACCTGTTTCCTCAAGATAATGTTTTCCCTTGGCACACTGCCTTGTGCAGGCAGTTCAGGGATGCTATCAAGGAATGACAGGCGGACTTAAAGTGTATCACTATCTATTGCCCAGTAGTTTCTCTTGGTCATGGATTCTGAAGAGAAACTCTAGGTAGAAGAGGCCTTATAAACTGAAGTACGGTCTTCAGAATATTTTAATGAGGCCGGCTGTGGTGGCTCATGCCTGTATTCGCAACACTTTGGGAGGCCAAGGCAGGAGGATTGCTTGAGGCCAGGAGTTTGAGACCAGCTTGGGCAACATAAAATTTAAAAGTTAGCTAGGAAGTGAGGAGCGTCTCTGCCCGGCCGCCCATCGTCTGAGATGTGGGGAGCGCCTTTGCCCCGCCGCCCCGTCTGGGATGTGAGGAGCGCCTCTGCCCGGTCGCGACCCCGTCTGGGAGGTGAGGAGCGTCTCTGCCCAGCCGCCCCATCTGAGAAGGGAGGAGACCCTCCGCCTGGCAACCGCCCCATCTGAGAAGTGAGGAGCCCCTCCGCCCGGCAGCCACCCCGTCTGGGAAGTGAGGAGCGTCTCTGCCCGGCAGCCGCCCTGTCCAGGAGGGAGGTGGGGGTCAGCCCCCGCCAGGCCAGGCGCTCCGTCCGGGAGGGAGGTGGGGGGGTCAGCCCCCTGCCCGGCCAGCCTCCCCATCCGGGAGGTGAGGGGCGCCTCTGCCCGGCCGCCCCTACTGGGAAGTGAGGAGCCCCTCTGCCCGGCCAGCCGCCCCTTCCGGGAGGGAGGTGGGGGGGGTCAGCCCCCCGCCCGGCCAGCCGCCCCGTCCGGGAGGGAGGTGGGGGGTCAGCCCCCTGCCCGGCCAGCCTCCCCGTCCGGGAGGTGAGGGGCGCCTCTGCCCGGCCGCCCCTACTGGGAAGTGAGGAGCCCCTCTGCCCGGCCAGCCGCCCCGTCCGGGAGGGAGGTGGGGGGTCAGCCCCCCGCCCGGCCAGCAGCCTCGTCCGGGAGGTGAGGGGCGCCTCTGCCCGGCCACCACCCCGTCTGGGAGGTGTGCCCAACAGCCCATTGAGAACGGGCCATGATGACAATGGTGGTTTTGTGGAATAGAAAGCGGGGAAAGGTGGGGAAAAGATTGAGAAATCGGATGGTTGCCGTGTCTGTGTGGAAAGAAGTAGACATGGGAGACTTTTCATTTTGTTCTGTACTAAGAAAGATTCTTCTGCCTTGGGATCCTGTTGATCTGTGACCTTACCCCCCAGCCCTGTGCTCTCTGAAACATGTGCTGTGTCCACTCAGGGTTAAATGGATTAAGGGCGGTGCAAGATGTGCTTTGTTAAACAGATGCTTGAAGGCAGCATGCTCGTTAAGAGTCATCATCACTCCCTAATCTCAAGTACCCAGGGACACAAACACTGCGGAAGGCCTCAGGGTCCTCTGCCTAGGAAAACCAGAGACCTTTGTTCACTTGTTTATCTGCTGACCTTCCCTCCACTATTGTCCTATGACCCTGCCAAATCCCTCTCTGTGAGAAACACCCAAGAATGATCAATAAAAATAAAATTAAAAAAAAAAAAATTTAAAAGTTAGCCAGTCACGGTGGCATGCACCTGTAGTCCCAGCTACTCAGGAGGCTGAGGCAGGAGGATTAGCTAAGCCCTGAGCCTAGGAGTTTGAGGCTACAGTGAGCTAGGATTGTACCACCACACACCTGGGCAACAGAACAAGACCCTGTCAAATAAATAAATAAATTAATTAATTAATTAATTAATTCATATTATTAATTCCTCCCTCCAAGACAGGATCTTGATCTGTCACCCAGGCTGGAATGCTGTGGTGCAGTCACGGCTCACTGCAGCCTTGACCTCCTAGGCTCAAGCAGTTTTCCCACCTCAGCCTCCCAAGTAGCTGGGACTACAGGTGTGTGCCTCCATGCCTGGCTAATTTTTGTATTTTTTTGTAGAGACAGATTGTACCATGTTGCCCAGGCTGGTCTTGAACTCCTGGGCTCAAGTTATCTACCCACCTCTACCTCCCAAAATCCTGGGATTACAGGCATGAACCACCACTCCTGGTCCCAATATCTTAAAATAAGACAGCCATGAAGTTTGCCACATCGATTGACTCTTCCTTTCACAGTTTCTCTGCAGCATGCAATGCTGTTTGATACCATTTTACCTACAGTAGAACTTCTTTCAAAATTGGAGCCAATCCTGTTAAATCCTACCACTGCTTTATCAACTAAATTTATTCTAAATCCTTTGTTGTCGTTTCAACAATGTTTACAGCATCTTCACCAGGAGTAAATTCTACTTTCTTTGCTCATCCAGAAGAAGGAACTCCTCATCCACTGAAGCTTTATCATCAGATACATCAATGTGGTCACATCTTTAGGGTCCACTTCTAATTCTAGTTCTCTTGCTGTTTCCACTATATCTGCAGTTACTTCCTCCACGGGAGTCTTGAACCCCTCAAAGTCATCCATGGGGGTTGGAATCGACTTCTTCCAAACTCCTGTTAATGTTGTTACGTTGCCCTCCTCCCATGAATCACAGATATTCTTAATGGCATCTACAATGGTGAATCCTTTCCAGGTTTTCCATTTACTTTGCCCCAGTTCATCAGAGGAATTACTATCTATGGCAACTATGGCCTTACAAAATGTATTTCTTAAATAATAAGACTTCAAAGTCAAAATAACTCCTTGATCCATGGGTTGCAGATTGGATGTTGTGTCAGCAGACATGAAAACAATATGAATCTCCCTGTACATCTGCATCAGAGCTCTTGGGTGACCAGGTGCATTGTCAATGAGCAGTAATATTTTGAAAGGAATCTTTTTTCCTGAGCAATAGGTCTCAAGAGTGGGCTTAAAATATTTAGTAAACCATGCTGTAAACAGATATGCTGTCATCTAGGCTTTGTTGTTCCACTGGCACTGGCAGAATAGATTTATCATAATTCTTAAGGGCCCTAGGAGTTTCAACATGGTAAATGAGGCCAGGTGCCCCTCACACGTATAATCCCAGCACTTCAGGAAGCCAAGGCAGGAGGATTGCTTGAGGGCAGGAGTTTGAGACCAGCCTGGGCAACATAGCAAGACCCTGTCTCTACAAAAAATAAAAATTAGCCAGGTGTGTTGGCATGTGCCTGTAGTCCCAGGGAGGCTGAGGCAGGAGGATTGCTTGAGCCCAGAAGGTTGAGGCTGTCATGAGCCTTGATCACAGCACTGTACTCTGGCCTAGATGACAGAATGAGAACTTGTTACTAAAAAATAAAAAAATTATTTAATGGTAAATGAGCATTGGCTTCAACTTAAAGTCATCAGCTGCATTAGCCTCTAACAAAAGTCAGCCTGTCCTTTGAAGTTTTAAAGCCAGACATTGACTTTTCTGTCTAGCTAGGAAAGTCCTAGATGGCACCTTCTTCCAATATAATACTACTTCATCTACACTGAAAATCTGCTGTTTAGTGTAGCCACCTTTACCAATCATGTTAGCTAGATCTGCTGGATAACTTGCTGCAGCTTTTCCATCAGCACTTGCAACTTCACCTTGCACTTTTATGTCATGAAGACACCTTCTTCCCTTAAATTGCATGAACCAACCTCTACTAGCTTCCCACTTTTTTGTGCAGTTTGCAGTTTCCTTACTTATCTCAGCCTTCATAGAATTGAAGAGAGTTAGGACCTTGCTTTAGATTAGGTTTTGGCATAAGGGAATGTTGTGGCTGGGTTGATCTTCTATCCAGACCACTAAAACTTTCTTCATATCAGCAACAAGGCTGTTTCACTTTCTTATCATTCATGTGGTCCCTGGGATAGCACATTTAATTTCCTTCAAGAACCTTTTTTTTTTTTTTTAATTAACAGATTTGCTAAATGTGTGGTGGAAGAGGCCTAGCTTCTGGCCTATCTCAGCTTTCGACCTGCCTTCCTCACTAAACTTAACCATTTCTAGCTTTCAGCTTAAAATGAAGGAAGTGCAATTCTTCCTTTCACTTGAACACTTAGAGGCCACTGTAGGATTATGAATTGCCCTAATTTCAGTATTGTTTTAGGGAATAAGGAGACCCAAGGAGAGGGGAAAAGATGGGGGAACTGCCAGTGGAACAGTCAGAACACACACAACATTTATCCATTAAGTTCACTATCTTTTTTTTTTTTTTTTGAGATGGAGTTTTGCTCTTGTTGCCCAGGCTGGAGTGCAATGGCACAATCTTGGCTCACTGCAACTTCTGCCTCCCGGGTTCAAGTGATTCTCCTGCCTCAGCCTCTCGAGTAGCTGGGATTATAGGCATGCACCACCACGCTTGGCTAATTTTGTATTTTTAATACAGATAGTCAGATATCTTATATTTTTACAAGATAGTCAGGTATTTTGTATTTTTAGTAGAGATAGTCAGATATTTGTAGTAGAGACAGTCAGGCTGGTCTCGAACTCCTGACGGCTGAGATGAGATGGGGGTTAAGCCTGGGAGGTTGCAAGGCTGCAGTAAACTATGATCTATACTCCAGCCTGGGTGACAGAGCAAGACCCAATTTCAGAAGAAAAAAACAACAACAAACAATTAAATTTTGTTACTATAAAATAATACGTGCCTATTATAGAAAGTTTGTCAAAATACAAAAAGGAGAAAAAAATAAAATCATTAATAGTCAACAATAATTGCTGTTAGTATATTGGTGGTTCAGTCTTTCTTTTGTGCATACTTGGTGTACTTTAAAAAAAATACTGGGGGGCCAGGCACAGTGGCTCACGCCTGTAATCCCAGCACTTTGGGAAGCCGAGGCAGGCGGATCACAAGGTCAGGAGATCAAGACCATCCTGGCTAACACCTGAAACCCCATCTCTACTAAAAAATACAAAAAATTAGCCAGGTGTGGTGGCAGGTGCCTGTAGTCCCAGCTACTGGGGAGGCTGAGGCAGGAGAATGGCAGGAACCCAGGAGGCGGAGCTTGCAGTAAGCTGAGATTGCGCCACTGCACTCCATCCTGGGTGACAGCGAGACTCTGTCTCAAAAAAAAAAAAAAAAAAAATTGGGATGATATATATAAGTTTCTTTTCATAAAACAATAGTTTATAAACATTTTCCCATAACATGATTTTCATGGCATTTCATCATGTAGTATACCAAACTTTTTCTATTATCAGACATTTAGGTTATTTCAAGATTTTACTATTGTAAATAATCCTGTAATCAGATTCTTATACCTACATTTTTATGGACCATCACTGATTATCTCCTTGTGATAAATTCTTAGCAGTAGAATTAATGGAACAAAAAATATATAAATATTTTAAGACTTTTCATATATACTACCAAATTATCTTCATGAAGGGTTGCATTCTTACCTCTGTAACATTCTTTGAGATTCTTCCCTTTCCCTGTGTTTTTTATGGATGAACCAGAAGAAAATGGTCCTACGCTATTTGGCCATAGCTAATAGAACTCTGTCCTAGAAGGTGTCCAATAAGAATATTGTTTCTTCCAGTTTAACTCATATTTTTATGTTATAATGCTCAGATTTTTTAACCCATTTCTGTTATTTTTATTTCAGGTCCCAAAAGAGCACTTTCCAAAAGGGGTCTTGTACTAATCCACAGCCTCTGGAAATCTGTATGCTCGGAGCTTTTCAGAGGCCTTTCTGAAGCCATTCAGGAGTCAGATCACTTGGATTCAAGGCATAGACACCAGTGCATAACTCTTAAGCCTGTATTTGAAATCTGGACTGTCTGTGCCCAAATTTGGGAAACTTTTAGGGTGATCCAAAGTGAATTTTAAAAATACTCTCAGGTCATGCCCAAGTTTGGAGGCTTTCTAGGGCAATCCAAAATGATTTTTAAGAAATACTTTTTCAGGCTGGGTGCAGTGGCTCACGCCTGTAATCCTAGCACTTTGGGAGGCCGAGGTGGGCAGATCACTTGAGGTCAGGAGTTCGGGACCAGCCTGGCCAACATGGTGAAACCCCATGTCTACTAAAAACACAAAAAATTAGCTGGGCGTGGTGGTGAGCACCTGTAGTCCCAGCTACTCAGGAGGCTGAAGCAGGAGAATTGCTTGAACTCAGGAGGCAGAAGTTGCAGTGAGCCAAGATTGCACCACTGCACTCCAGCTTGGGTGACAGAGTGACGCTTTCTCTTAAAAAAAAAAAAAAATACTTTTTCGATTGTTTAGGTTCTGCCTGTATTGGTAGAACCACTCGAGAAGCTGTGGGATAGTGTGTGAAGTACTTGGGTCCAGGCATCAGGCTGACGGGGTTAGAATCCCAGCTTCACCACTTGGGAGCTGGGTTCCCTGGGAAAGTTTCTTAATCTTTCTTTACCTCAGTTTCCTCATCTATAAATGGAGCTAATTAAAGTACCTATCTCTTGGGGTTATTATAATTATTTAGTTGCTTTATCAGTCAGGGTTCAACCAGAGAAACAGGACCAGTAGGAGATGTATATTAAAGAGATTTACTGGCCGGGCATGGTGGCTCAAGCCTGTAATCCCAGCACTTTGGGAGGCTGAGGCGGGCGGATCACAAGGTCAGGAGATCAAGATCATCCTGGCTAACACGGTGAAACCCCGTCTCTACTAAAAATACAAAAAATTACCCGGGCGTGGTGGTGGGCGCCTGTAGTCCCAGCTACTCGGGAGGCTAAGGCAGGTGAATGGCGTGAACCCAGGAGACGGAGCTTGCAGTGAGCTGAGATCATGCCACTGCACTCCAGCCTGGGTGACAGAGCAAGACTCCATCTCAAAAAAAAAAAAAAGAGATTTCCTGGGGCCGGGCACAGTGGTGCATGCCTGTAATCCCAGCACTTTGGGAGGCCAAGGCAGGTGGATCACCTGAGGCCAGGAGTTGGAGACCAGCCTGACAAACATGGTGAAACCCCATTTCTACTAAATACAAAAAACTAGCCAGGTTTCGTGCCGCATGCCTGTAATCCCAGCTACCTAGGAGGCTGAGGCAGGAGAATCTCTTGAACTCAGGAGGCAGAGGTTGCAGTGAGCCAAGATTGCACCTTTGCACTCCAACCTGGGCAACAAGAGTGAAACTCCATCTTTAAAAAAAAGAGAGAGATAAAGATTTATTGCAGGGAAATATTTATGTGATTGTTGGAGCTGATTTAGGCAAGTCAGAATTTCGTAAGGCAGGCCATCAGGAAGGGCAGGCTGGAACTCTCACCCATGGAGTGAAGCTGCCATCCACAAGTGGAATTTCTTTTCATTATGGAAGCCTCAGCTCTGCTCTTAAGGCTTTTTAACTGATTAAATCAGGCCCACACAGATTTCATAGAATAATCTCCCATACTATACCCTGATAAAGTCCCATCAACTGGTGGACTTTAATCACACTGACATAATGCCTTTATAGTGACGTGTAAATTAATGTTTGATTAAATAACTGGAGACTGTAGCTTAGCCAAGTTGACACATCAAATTGATTATCACAGTTGCTTTGGACCTCAGTTAAGCAGGCTAAACCCACTTGGAAATGATTTTCAGTGTTATCTCTGCTTTTCAAGGTCAGGGCTCTTCAAGTCTCTGTAACCCAGAAGTTCTTTCTGACATATCAGTTTGATGTTTGTTAGTTTTGTCATAAGAAACTACAATTGCATTATTATTGTCCTAAAGAATTCTCTCAACTCAAGCCAGGGTGTGTGGTCATGGTGGGATTCTGTGAAGGAGCATAAGCCAGCATCTGCATAAACACCTTGATCCAGGCGGTATTTGCTCTTATACATTTGTGCTATCCCTTCGTGCTTGGAGAAGCACACTATTGTTACATATGCCTGCTTTGTATGAACTGGTAAAGTCTGGAGTTGATAGGAACTGTTGAGTAGTCCCACAGGCCTCTGTCATAGTGGCAAAATATTACCTTTGGCTACCTGAAGAAAAGATACAGATTTGGTCCTCTCTTTTCACTAGTGCTAATTTTTCCACACAGTGATCAACTTCCTTTAGGGAAGCTCATTGCATTTCTTTGAGCATAACCTAATCTCCTCTCATTCTGAATGCAGGATGTCTTCTTTGCCCTCTAACTCAAAGTAGGAAAAGATAGGCCACTCAGAAGTAAAATAGCTAATGGTAAAAGCATGATAAACTGTTAGGATACTTCCTGGTGGCCTTGGGTTTCAAGCTTTTACCAATCACTCTGGAAACAACTCCTGTAATTGTTCCTCTTGTAGATTCTCTAGGCCTGCATTTCAGTGTTTAGTTTTTTTCCATAGCTTTGAACGATGAGGTGGTGATGCACTGCTACTAAATCTTATCTCATGCATCCCTGAGAACTGCCTCCCAAGCCTCCAGTCTCAGCTGAAAGAAAGGCACCTATGGCCAGGTTTCCACGTGGTCCTACCCCATTTGGCCATAGCTGATAGAACTCTATCCTATAAGGTATGCTAATCAAGTTTTTTCTCATGAAAGTTTAAACTAAAAGACAGAGCTGACAGCCATGGTTTCTGGAGGTTTAAAATTATTTAGATTTGGGCTTGGTAGGATATGCATGCTGATGAACACTGGCCAGGTATGCCAGTGAATGAGCAGGGAGTTCAAGAGAAGACTGCAAAAACTGAAGCGGAGGTGATGTAGTCCCAAAGAGAAAGTGAGGAAGAATGAGAGCATGCACGAGAAGCTGCCTTGTTTCCCAGCACTGCCCAAAGTTCAGCTGCACTTCCTGTTCATACCCATTCCCAGGATACCTTTGTATGCTCATAATAAAAACCCCTTTAATTTAATTCAAGTTTAAAGGGGTTTCAGTTGTTTTAACCTCACAAGTCAATGCAATACCATTAGAGGAAATAATGATAACAATACCGTAATTTAGAAATGAAAGTCACATACCTAACATACTCATGTTGGTTTTAGGACTACCAAAACTATAGCCTTGATTCTAGAATTTATTTCCATATAGATTAGGGTGCCATGAATATATTGAGAAAATAGAGTAGGGTAGTACTTTACAGTATTTATGGAGAAACAAAAGCCATGCCATATAATATGTTGTATGAAGAGGGAAGTGTATTGCTTGTCTTATGAACACTGACATCAGATCTATGCCAGTGAGTAATAGAAGACTTTATTGTTTTGTCTTCTTTCATCAACAAAAGGCAAAACACACACAGACACACACACACAAAAAAAACCTTCTTTAATGTAGGATTTTCTGAAACAACACAAAATACAGCCAGACCTATAAATATCCTATCATTTATTTGTATATACTCCCTGACATGTTATATTTTGTGAATAAATCCCAGGAGTGATAAAAGTCTTAAATCATTTTCTGATACTATTTAAGATTCTGCCCCCTTTCCTCCACCGTTGCTTCTGATTTAACTCTTCCAGCCATGGGATGTTCAGTGAAAGAAGACAGTTCTTAAGGTTCTTTGGTAATTAAATCACAATTCTCACCTAATGTGTTTTGTGTGTGTGTGTGTGTGTTTTCCTCTCAACAGTCAACTGTATGTGAACTTTTTGTGAGATAGTGAAGCACAGTAGCAAAGAACTCTGGCCCTGCCTAGAGTCAGACTGTCCAAGTTCCAGTCCTGACTTCACCATTTACCAGCTATGAGTCCTTTGACATTTAAATTATGTAAACTCTTTTTTCATCTCTAAAACTGGGATGATAACAGTACCTTCTTGTACGGGTGGATGTGTGGATTAAGTGAGTTAAAAGATGTAAAACCATTAGTGTAGGTCAATTAGATTAGCTATTTCTTTATTATTATTGGAATGGATTAAATATCAAGTCCAGCTCCCTTACTGCAGTTGGATTAAGTAATTGATTCTTATTAAATGAATTTAAATTGGAATCTTGGAGTGTTTTAAGTTTCATATTTTAAAAATTTTAGACCTAGTGGGTAGAATAGAGATCATCCAATCCAATAATGTCATGTTACAGATAAGGAAACTGACATGTGATTATACTCATGGAGTGAGTAAAGGCAGAGCTGAAATTGGGCTTGTCAGACCCCCAGACTCCTCACACAGTTCACGCTCTGTCTGACAACCATCAGGGGGATGGTCCTACATTCTCTGTGTCTCCAAGAATTCACTGATAGCCTAAAACAAACAGATGCTTTATGTACAAAGACAGGAATGCCAGCAAACAATCTTCAAGTGTAGCAGAAGATGTGAAGATTGAAGCAGAGATGATGTGGTTTCAGAGAGAAAGGAAGAATGAGAGCTTGCACAAAAAGCCGCCGTGTTTCCCAGCACTGCACAAAGTTCAGCTGTACTTCCTGTTTGTACAAATTCCCAGGATACCTTTGTATGCTCACCTCTTCCCTCTTCTCTTTGGCCTTCTATTTGCGTAAAGAACAGACTTGGCCGGGCACCCTTGGCTCATGCCTGTAATCCCAGTACTTTGGGAGGCTGAGGTGGGTGGATCACCTGAAGTCAGGAGTTCGAGACCAGCCCGGCCAACATGGTGAAACCCTGTCTCTATTAAAAATGTAAAAATTAGCCAGGTGTGGTGGTGCGCACCTGTAATCCCGGCTACTCGAGAGACTGAGGCAGGAGAATCACTTGAACCCAGGAGGCAGAGGTTGCAGTGAGCCGAGATCACACCACTGCACTCCAGCTTGGGTGACAAAGTGAGACTCTGTCTCAAAAAAAGAAAAAAAGAACAGACTTGATCTCAGTATTTAAATAAGGTACTGCTATATTTCTTTAAATAATGATTGTTAAAAATATCACCTTTGAGTTTCCCATAGATTTGTTCTGCTTAAGCCTGAGGCAAAACAACAACTTTAGTTTATGTAGGCCTGATGTTGGAAAGATCATGATTTTAAAAATAACATCTCCATGAAACATTGATGAATCCATATTTGACATCAAATGGCAGATGTACTGGAGTTTCTGCACTATGATATGTTTTGTTTTGAAAGTGAGATTCACTTACATTCAAAAGATATTTATTGTGTGTGAAAAGCATTTTGCTAGACACTGAGGTAGTTTATACTAAATGTAAAGACTTGGAACCCTAAAAAATAAATCTACAGAAATTTTTCTTCACCCTGATTTACTATGTAAACCCTATTAAGAGTTAGCAGTCTTCCTGCCTTCTGCATTTTTCTTCCTTTTACTAGTACTTCTTTGTAAAATACCAACCCAAATATTCTGTCTTTGTATGGAGCTAGTCAAAGTGGTGAGTCCTGTGAATGGGCCTACTTGTCCTCACTCCTCGATTTGGACATGACTTTACCTTAAGAAAATATTTAGGTTTTGACATCATTTTTGCTAACAATACTGTCACTCAGTGTTTACAGTTCAGTGTTATGCTAATTCATGTAGGGTTTTTTTTCTATTACTTTCTATAAACCTCTTACAAATAAAACATGGAGAAGTAGAATTTATACCAGACTAGTTTAAAAACACATTGTGACAAATATATTAATGTAAGATGAGAATAGTAGGGAAAACAGTGTGGGGTATGTGACAACTTTCTTCACAACTATTCTGGAAATCTAAAACTAATTTACAATTAAAAGTTTATTTAAAAAAAATCCTCCCCCAAAAACATACACACAAAATTATTATGATGAAATAAATTGCAGCAATTTAATATTAGCATGGTGACCAGCTTTTATTCTGTTCCCCTAAATAATATAAAATAAAATGATCAAGGCTGAATTATTTCAGTAAGAGAAACGTCATTATTCTTATAGAAAGTCCTAGTTTGAAAACAAACATTTCTAACAGCAGGTTAGAATTAGAAGGGAATACAAGTACAAAGTCTTGGTGTTAAAATTTTAAAACTAGGATTAAAGTTATTATTTGAAACATTTTGATTTCTCAGGGACAAAAACAAACCAAAGACAGTTCCTTGGCATACTTTTATCTAGAGCACAAATGACCTTTATAAGTTGGTGGGGCTGGCATCCCCACCTGAGGGCAGTGGTTCATTTTTTTATCTCCAGCCATGGTCCGTAATCATGAGGTTATCAGTGATCAGTGAGTGTTTCCTGAATTTAGTGGCAAGGAAACATTTTCACTTGAAATAAAAATAACAGAGAATCTGAGGACCTCTAGAAGTTTATTCCTTTTTGAAGCTACTTGCAAAAATAAATAAGCTAAAGAAAACCTTTCTGGTTAGGTTCTGTGCATTGGTGATCTTCACACTGTTGACTTCTCAGGCTGCTGAAAGTCATCCAGTAGCCCCAATCCCCACTGCCAAGGATTGTTCCGTGTCAGCTGACTCTTCCTGGGAAAGGGCTGGTGGCGATGATGGGGTCAGTGGCACCGATGCTGCGATTGCTGGGGGTCCTGTCATGGGAATTCCACCTGTCTTTTTCAGACCTTTGGTGTTAGGACTGTGGCCTGTGGGAATGAGGTGGGATTAGGAGTCAAGCTTGGAAGTGAGTCTTAGATCCTAACCCCACCACCAACAGTCACATTTCTCTTTCCTCGTTTGTCTCCATCTCCTCTCCCCCTTCAATCCCCCAGCATTCTTGAAATTTTAGGCAGCATTCCAAATAGCCTCTGACATAGTTCAACTTAGACCGAAACAGTTGTATAATCTCTCCTGGGAAAATTGAAGCCCCAGTTTTAATGGTCAGAATATTTGTCTGGAAGCAAAATGTCCAACTTTATCACACTAGTTTTGGGTGTTTAGAAGGGCCCTCATGCTCTGTTATTCCATTAATAAAATATAAATACTTGCTACCTAAATAGATGGAACCTAAAGGTAGTGGGATTACTAAAGACTGTATCTTGTGTTTTGAAAGTAAGGTTGTTAAAAAGAAGTCTGTCTGTCTGTCTGCCTACCTACCTGTCCCTCCATCTATCCATTCACACCTTCATTTCGGTTGATTCCTATCATTAGGAATTTTTCCAACAAGAAGGGCCATGACGCAAGAAACAGTTGGCATATCTTACAGACATTCTTATGGTGACATAGATATTGGTTAGAGGTATGAGGAGGATCATCTTTAGTGCAACTAAAAGTTGGAATTAGTACTGGACTGTAGTGCCACACCAGTTCTAAAAATGCCAGCACTGGACTAGCTAGGAGTTTGAGGAGTGACTCTGGCTTTGGCTGCTACAGAAAAGCAGATGTTACTATTCATGTATGCATAGTCTTGCCACTAAGAATCTATTTTATTATTATTTTGAGACGGAGTCTTGCTCTGTCGCCTAGGCTGGCATTCAGTGGCGCGATCTCGGCTCACAGCAACCTCCGCCTCCTGAGTTCAAGCGATTCTCCTGCCTCAGCTTCCCTAGTAGCTAGGACTACAGGTGTGTGCCACCACGCCCGGCTAATTTTTTGTATTTTTAGTAGAGACAGGGTTTCACCGTGTTAACCAGGATGGTCTCGATCTCCTGACCTCGTGATCCACCTGCCTCGGCCTCCTAAAGTGCTGGGATTACAGGCGTGAGCTACCACACTCAGCCTTATTGTTATTATCATTATTTTCTTTCTTTTTTTTTTTTTTGAGATGGAGTTTTGCTCTTACCGCCCAGGCTGGAGTCCAGTGGGGCAATCTCGGCTCACTGTAACCTCTGCCTCCCGAGTTCAAGCAAATCTCCTGTCTCAACCTCTCCATTATCTGAGATTACAGGTAGCCGCCACCATGCCTGGCTAATTTTTGTATTTTTAGTAGAGACAGAGTTTCGCCATGTTGGCCCAGGCTGGTCTCGAACTCCTGACCTCAGGTGATCCACCCGCCTCGGCCTCCCAAAGTGCTGAGATTATAGGCATGAGCCACTGTGCCCGGCCTATTTTATTATTTTTTAGAGTTTGATTATACTTTACCCTCTCCTTTAGTTGTATTTCATTGAAATTGGCATTCATGATTAGTTCTATATTTGTGATACTATTTTTTAAAGACTCCAGATGTTCCTAGGTGGTTCCACATTTTCTAATCTGTATTAAAATCGCCTGTTTAAAAAATTGTTTACTTCTCTGTCTTCTGTACTTAACTGTAATCTCTTTGAATAGAGGGGCTCATCTTGTTTTACTTTTGTCCTCAGCACCTAGGAAAATTTCTGGAACGTAGAAAACACTCGGGAAATAATAGCTAAATTAATGCTTTTAAAATTCTAAATGTTATATGGATTTAATTTGATTAACACCCTGTATTTTTATTTTATGCTGGAGCAATAAGGGGTATGGGAAATACAGAGATTTGAAGTTGTATGCATGCTGTAATTCATTTTTGTTATTCACATCAGGATTCTGGGGGATTTTCAGCCCTGTAATGGCATCTACATGTGACTTTGAACTCAGCCTGCTGTTTCCAGAAAGTGATTGATTGGCTGGTGGTTTGGCTATAATCTTCATTATTTAGAGGTCATGAATTTGACATGAACCAGTGAATTTATTTTGTTTTGTTTGTTTGCTATAGCAATTTTTAAAAATAGCACACAAATTATTAAAGTAATTATAAAGCTTGAAAAATTCAGAGACACAGGTAGATGACAAATCATTCATAATTCTTTACCTCTTAGAATCAACTATTGTTAACATCTGGGGCCTGTGCAGTGGTATGCTGATAAATGTGAGCAACTCGCTCTCTGAGCGTAATTCCAATATGAATGTTGGTTGATATGTTTGTTTATATTAATGAGTAAGATAAACGTGAAACAAAATATGTGTCAAAAACCAAAACCAAAATATATGTCAGAGTTTCTATTCATTTGTCAATTGCATGAGCAACCTCTTTGCTGATTCAGATGATAGTTTTCAAACTGGAAGAATGTTTCCTCAGTTTTTTTGTTCTTGTCGTAATGTAACAGCTCCACATATAACATGCTTTTAGGTTGAACGTGCATTATTACTAACATTTTCTTTGTCACTTTCTTAAGTTTAGACAGTCAATAAAATGATAAAGTAAACCCTAATTTGCCAGTTTTGTGGGATAAATATTCCCACCATGGCCAATTTAAAGCTACCAATATGATACCACTGGTGATAGATTGGGAAGAGATGCACAGTAGCACGTCATTAGCAGTAGTAAAATTTAAGAAAATAATTAGGAAATGATGAACCTTTAATATTAGCTTTACTTTAATTGTAAGTTTGTATAACTTAATTTTTAATAATGGTTATATTTAACAACTGGCTTGCAAAATTTCTGAAAATTCAATTGTCAGCTCACATGAGCTGGCTCCAGCACATCACTGGGTAGATGCGTTCTCACTTTTTTTGTATAAATGTAATTATACAAATATGTGTGTGGGGTGTGTGTGTATGTGTATGTATGTATGTGTGTATGTATGTATGTATGTGTTAGTCCATTCAGGCTGCTATAACAAAATACTGTAGACCAGGTGGCTTATAAATGACAAACAAACAAAAAAATCCACACTTCTCGAGGCTGGGAAGTTCAAGATAAGACACCAGCAGACTCCCTGTCTAATAAGGGCTTGCAGTCTGGTTCATAGACAGTATCTTCTTGCTGTTTCCTCTTATGGCAGAAAGGCAAGGGATCTCTCTGGGGCCTCTTTTATGAGAACATTAATCCCATTCATGAGGGCTCTACCCTTATGACCTAATCACTTCCCAAAGGTCACATCTCCTGGTACCAAAACCTTGGAGATTAGGATTTCAATATATGAATTTGATGGGGATACAAACATTCAGACCATAGCAAAATAAATATATATTTTTTAAAGTAAGATTTTACAAATAACATTGGGATTATACTATTTCGTAGTTTGGGGACTTGTTTTCCTTGTAGACATGGATTCCGGTGTCATTTGGTCATGCATGCTCTTTTGCTTTGGCACGGTCTGCACTTTGGGCCCTTTCACAGTGCGTGCAGCTGGTCACAAGGGGAGGCTAGATGAGAATAGCTGAATAAAATGCTTCCAGTGTGGCAGGAAAGAAGAGGGAATGAATGGGGATGGGGCAGCCTATGCCCCCTGTGCAGCAGGCGAGTTATTTCAAAGTATGCTGCCAAATGAGTTTTATCATTTCCCAGGCAGAGTCCTTACTTTGAGACTATTTGGAACCTTGCTCTGTCCACCCACAATATTATGCCCCATCCTTTGTTCTGCTGAACTCCATACCTGCCATTTTCTACTACATTCTCTGCTGTACCTTCTTGGATCTCTCCTGTCTGCTTCTTTAAACTGAGGCTGATAAAAGGCACATTTCCTCTCTGTGAATCTTTTTAAATATCCTGAAAACAGAACTGTTTGTTTGGGGACAGTTGTACTCAGACTCAGAGTCTGTAGTCCTAATGAACAGTCAGTCATTCCCCTTAAATGATGGTATCCTCAGATACATAATATATTAATAATATCCTAAAACATACTTCTTTGTGGGCTCCCAAATCTAGAAATTTACTGTATCTTTTGGGTAATTTCATGTAACTATTGGTATTTATAATTTTAAATCACTTTAATGTCCTTCGGCTACCAAATATGTTCTTGGTATCTAATGGGAAAGTTCTCCAGTGGCTTTGCAAAAAAAAAAAAAAAAAGATGTTAGCTGGTGGGAAGGCTGCTAGCCCTGCTTGTCTCATGGAGAAATTGTTGAATATTTAGAGTAAAGGTTTCGTGCCTACCCACTGCTGAAGTTTCTGTTGCAATTTCCAGAGAAGAACAAATCTTTGATTGTTAAGAATGAATTCAGCTGTTTCCACGTTGTGTTTATATTCTTGGTTAAAGCCTTCAGCTTTATAACAGTAACTCCTTAAGAGCTGCCTATTTTTGAAAGACTCAGTTAAATGAGTGTTTAAAATGTTTTTTTAATTGGTAATTAAATAATTTATGCATTTTTATGAATTTACATTGTTTTGCCGTTATGTATATATTTGTTGCTTCATTATTTCTCAACCATTGATTGAGTGTATTTTATTTTGGCTTAGACATCACTAGATATTTGGTGAAAAGCTAGAAATGTAATGATGTAGGAGCCTCTAAAGGGTCAAAGGAAGGCTTAGCTAACCTAAAACCTTTGATCAAGTGATACAAAGCTAAGAAATGGGTGGCTAGGGCATTCACATTTGAAAGATACGTATATATTTTTATATATAAAGATAAATATATATTTTTATATATATTTTATATAATATATATTTTATATAATATATAATATATGATATATATTATATATTATATAATTTTTATATAATATAATTTTATATTTTATATAATATATATTTTTATATTATATATATATTTTTTTTTTTTTTGAGACAGAGTCTCGCTGTGTCACCCATGCTGGAGTGCAGTGGTGTGATCTCAGCTCACTGCAACCTCCACCTCTCGGGTTCAAGTGATTCTTCTGCCTCAGCCTCCTGAGTAGCTGGGACTACAGGCATGTGCCACCACGCCTGGCTTATTTTTTGTATTTTTTGTAGAGATGAGGTTTCACCATGTTAGCCAGGATTGTCTCGATCTGCTAACCTCGTTATTCGCCCGCCTCAGCCTCCCAAAGTGCTGGGATTACAGGCATGAGCCACCGCACCTGGCCTGAAAGATACATTTTTTAAAGTTATCTGATGTGGAAAAAATCTTACAGTGTCACAACAATTTAAATAATTTATGTATTTTATTAATAACATTCAAATTTTGCTTTTTAAAAAAAGTATCTGCCTCACTATTTCACATAAAGCCTTGGCTTCAAACTGACCTAATTTCTAGGTTTTTAGAAATGTCATTTAATTAATATTTTGATCATTTTCAGATGCTTAAAATATGTATTTGTTTTTACTTTTAAAATGACCACTATTATCCCTTATTAGTTTTATTTTAATCGCATAAAGAATGGAGAGAGACAAAATCATGTTTCTCACCTTTTTTCTTTCCCTTCTGCTGTCTAAACACACTGATTTTTCGTATGTTTTAGAATTAATAGTAGGGTTTTATTTTTCACAGGAGAATATTGCAGTGGTTAATTGAGATGAATATGCTCTCGTTTGAAAATATCACATGTTGAGGTTAAGGCTCTTCCCAAATAGTCACGTGCATGCACACACCCCCTTGTTTGTAACATTTGTTGCTAACCCAGTTCCAAATATTAGCTGCTTCTGGAACATTTGAATTTTTGTGCTGATTTTGATTGCCACATCATCAGTAGATATTAGACACCCATGCCGTGCAACTATCCCTTCTGACGAATTCAAAGTAAATTAGAAGGCTGGGTGTGGTGAATTGTGCTGCTATAAATATGCATGTGCAAGTATCTTTTCGGTATAATGACTTATTTTACCCTAAGGTGCCCAGCACAATGCCCGGAATAGCATAGGCATTAGATGTCTTGGTTGAAAATTAAGATTAACTCTTTTTTTTTTGAGATCGTCTTGCTCTGTCACCCAGGCTGGAGTGCAGTGTGTGATACCTAGGTAGATACCCAGGAGTGGGATTGCTGGATCAAATGGTGGTTCTACTTTTAGTTCTTTAAGGAATCTCCACACTGTTTTCCATAGTGGCTGTACTAGTTTACATTCCCACTAGCAGTGTCAAAGTGTTCCCTTTTCACTGCATCCATACCAACATCTATTAATATTTTTTGATTTTTTTATTATGGCCATTCTTGCAGGAGTAGAGGGGTATCACATTGTGGTTTTGATTTGCATTTCTCTGATAATTAATGATGTCGGGCATTTTTCATATGTTTGTTAGCCATTTATATATCTTCCTTTGAGAATTGTCTATTCATGCCCTTAGCCTAATTTTTGATGGGATTGTTTGTTTTTTACTTGCTGACTTGTTTGAGTTCCTTGTAAATTCTGGATATTAGTCCTTTGTTGGATGTATAGATTGTGAAGATTTTCTCCCACTCTGTGGGTTGTTTACTCTGCTGATTATTTGTTTTGCTGTGCAGAAGCTTTTTAGTTTAATTAAGTCCCATCAAGAAAAATAGATTATATGTTCTGATGAGAACCAGCATACTGGAGTATTCAGTATATGTTTAGTTAAAAAAAAAAAACTAATACTATAAATAGCAGATTTTTCTAGGTAGTGATAAGCTAATATCTTTTCCTCTTCCCTTTTCTCCCTGAGAATTTTTTCATCTCTGGACAGAGGGCTTTTTCTTGGTGTTTTATGTTTTGTTTGTTTGTTTTTGAGACAGGGTCTTTCTCTGTTGCCCAGGCTGGGCTGTGGTGGTGCCATCCTGGCCCACTGCAGCCTCGAATTCCCAGGCTCAAGCCATCCCCCTGCCTCAGCCTCCCAAGTAACTGGAACTACAGGCAGGCACGCACCACCACATCCAGTTAATTTTTTTTATTTTTTGTAGAGATAAGGGTCTCACTATGTTGCCCAGATTTGTTTCTTATTATATGTATAGACTCTAAATATGGACCTTGATGGGCCTGCCTTTGATGTTCCGTTTTTGATATGACCAAATGATTCCTGTTTGAATTTCCACCCAGCTTCCTCTGTCCTACTTTCTCTTGCCAGGCAGTGTCCCCTGCCAGTCTCATGTCTGTGGCAGCAGCTTATACCAGGTTTTCCCCAAACGTTCATAAGGAAGTGTCCGAAGGGATGTGTCACCCCTTTGCATATATATAGTTTTTGAAACCAGGATGACCGGTTTGAGAAAATTCTTTTTTCTTTTTTTTTTTTTTTTAAGAACTTCTCTTACATCTTTTAAAGTCATTGTTAAGTAGGGTGTAACTGGATGAGTCAGTTGTTTTTCAGAAACTTTTTCTTTACGTATGATCTAAAGTATTTTATGGCATGGAATCTGAGCATGTCAAGAGGACTTCTTAAATTGCCTTAATTTTTTAAAATTTGCTGTAATTATTTTTTTAATTTAGGATTTATGTGCAACATCATTCCAACATGTCCAACATGTATATGGCCTGAGAAGGAGATTATATTCTAATAGAGGAACTAATATGTAAAAACACCTCTCTGATAAAAGATTAAAAAAATATATAAATGTTCTAATTTTAAGAAAAGCAGAAATTCAAATCATAAGCTCTTTTCTTATCCACAGGCTTCTCACTAGACCATGAGCACCTATGAGCACCTATGGGCAGGGGCCATGTCCTAGTTAATCTTCTTTCTTTGGTGCCCAGCACAATGCCTGGAATAACATAGGCATTAGGTTTCTTGCTTGAAAATTAAGGTTAACTCTTTTTTTCTTTTTCTTTTTTTTTTTTTTTTTTTTTTTTTTGAGACAGAGTCTCACTCTGTCCACCAGGCTGGAGTGCAGTGGGGCGATCTGGGCTCACTGCACGCTCCGCCTGCTGGGTTCACACCATTCTCCTGCCTCAGCCTCCCGAGTAGCTGGGACTACAGGCACCCGCCATCATGCCCGGCTAATTTTTTTCGTATTTTTAATAGAGACGAGGTTTCACCATGTTAGCCAGGATGGTCTCGATCTCCTGACCTCGTGATCCACCCACCTCAGCCTCCCAAAGCACTGGGAATATAGGCATGAGCCACCGCGCCCAACCTTTTTTTTTTTTTTTTTAAGATGGTCTTCCTTTGTCGCCTAGGCTGGAGTGCAGTGCACGATCTTGGCTCACTGCAACCTCTGCCTCTCAGGTTCAAGTGATTCTCATGCCTCAGCCTACCGGGTAGCTGGGATTACAGGCAGGTGCCACCACACCTGGCTAATTTTTGTATTTTTTGTTTCACCACATTGGCTAGGCTGGTCTCGAACTCCTGACCTGTGGCGATCCACCTGCCTCAGCCTCCCAAAGTGCTGGGATTAAAGGTGTGAGCCTCCATGCCCAGCTGAAAATTAAGGTTAACTCTTAACAGTTAGATGCACATTAATCGTTTGACGAAAAATGAAGAAATCATCAGCTAATAGGACAAAAGTTTAGCCAGGCACGGTGGCTCATGCCTGTGATCCCAGCACTTTGGGAGGCTGAGGTAGGCAGATCACCTGAGGTCAGGAGTTCGAGACCAGCCTGGCCAACATGGTGAAACTTCATCTCCACTAAATTTACAAAAAATTAGCTGGGCGTTGTGGCGGGCACCTGTAATCCCAGCTACTCGGGAGGCTGAGGCAGGAGAATTGAAAAAGACAAAAGTTTGAAAAATCAGTCTGTAGTTGTTGTGGATGCTTGAAACTGAAACTACCATATATTTGTCTATATTTTATCGCTTATTTTTTTCCTGGCATTTAATAGACACCTCTTTAGACCTATGCTATCCTTTTTATGCCTTTTACCAACAAATAACTCCTAATCATAAAAATTAATCCTACTGGCTGGGGGCGGTGGCTCATGCCTGTAATCCCAGCACTTTGGGAGGCCGTGGTGGGTGGATCACTTGAGGTCAAGAGTGTAAGACCAGCCTGGCCAACTGGTGAGACCCCATCTCTACTAAAAATACAAAAAAACTAGCTGGGCGTGGTGGCGGGCACCTGTAATCCAAGCTACTTGGGAGGCTGAGGCAGGAGTATCGCTAAAACCCAGGAGGCAGAGGTTGCAGTAAGCCGAGATCATGCCACTGCACTCCAGCCTGGGTGACAGAGCTGAGTGACCAAAAAAAAAAAAAAAAAAAAAAAAAAAAAAATTAATCCTACTATACTGCTACACATCTAGAAAAGAGAGGATTAGATTTTAGCCCTTTTTGTCTTTTTAGGTTTTCTATATAAACTCTTTCTATAGATCACTTAGGTTGACTGTGAAGGAAAGATATAACCCCAGAAAAGTTTTATTCTGGTTATTAATTCCTTGGTTCCTTCAATAGGTGTCCATTGAACACAATTATACATCAGACCCACAGTTCTTAATCTTTCTGTGTTCACATTTGAAGGGGTTAGATTCTGAGCTCATATGTTGCAGTAAATGCTACATTTCTTAGGTGCTGGGTTGACATGCACCATACCTCTTCCCAAACCAAGTTGTATCTGTTCCATGTCATGTAACCTAACCCATTCAGACAAGTTCCATCTTAGTAAAGTCACTGTGTGTCACTGTGTGTTACTGTATATTACACATGGTTTCAAATTTAGCGGCATACCAGTGAAGACTTTGTGCTGCTTGTTGCTTAGGAACTACCAGAGTCTTAACTTACGAAGAGACAGGTTCTAAAGAAAGTGTATAATGAGAAAACCAAATATGCAGAATTACTTCCAAAATTCTGTTAATTGATACTAAAAGTACAGTATTTATTGCCAATTTCAAGTGCCATGTTGAAGTCTACCGTACCATCTCTAAATAAGGTCAACCTGGCTAGTTTTCCATTAGAAGTGAGTGCTGTTCTTTAGTGAACACCAAATGCTCATCAAGATGACTTTTTATATTTAAAAAAAAAAACAAACCTATTTTAAACATTAGACCAGACACTTTTGATAAGATGTGCATACAGTGAGATGTAACTGGCAACTGAGTCCAACTAAACAAAACCAGCAGCAAAATTATCCCTGGGGATTTGCTTATTAAGTGGATTATAGGTGGAATAACTAGTACTATTTAAATTACAATATTTCTTTCTCTCTATGAGTAGAATTGAGTTCACATTAGTCCAGTAGTGGGCACATGTTACATGACACATTCTTTCTCCTTGAGAAGCTTGCAGTCTAGTTAGAGAGTCAAGACAGGAATGTGTGATTAAAAAAAAAAAAAAGAAGAATTGGAAAGGACAAGGCAACATATTCTGATTTTTAAACTGGCTGTAGTTATAAAGAACATAATTGAAAGTCTTTTCCAAGATCTTTGAACTTTTTTGTGGGATTTGTTTTTTAATAGAGTTAAATATGAAACTAAATATACATAGCTACTTGATCAGCATGCCCATTTCTTGGGAAACATCCTGAGAAGGATGACCTAAAGGAACAGAGGTCTGTGTTTTCAATGGGGGAAATACAGCGTTCACAAAGGCTTGTAGGTTTGTTTTGTTCTCTTGGTTTTGTTATTGCTTTGGCTTCATAGGAGATTGGGTATATGAGAAGTATGTGTTGTGAAACTCAGAATGATTGTAAATGGTAAATAATAATTTCAGCAGAAATGCAAATCATTTAAATTTATAAGGTAGGGTTATAATAACTATAGGTTAACCCACTGGTGATGGCAGGATAGTCCCAAAAATTTCAGCCATATATATTGTGAACAACAGAAATGTTTATATTGGAAAATGGGTAGGAAATTTAACATATCTTGAGACTCTGATACGTGCCCAGTACTATGATATATATTTCACAGAGTTTTCTTATTCAGTCTTAGCAACAAGCCAAAAGATAGGCACTAGTATCCTCATATTACAGATAAGGAAACAATTCCAGCAAGTAAGTAAATTGGCCAGCTCACACAAATAAGAAAACACCTCTAGCTGACTACAGATTCTGTACTCTTGCCGGGCGCGGTGGCTCACGCCTGTAATCCCAGCACTTTGCGAGGCCGAGGCAGGCGGATCACGAGGTCAGGAGATCGAGACCATCCTGGCTAACATGGTGAAACCCCATCTCTACTAAAAATACAAAAAAATTAGCTGGTCGTGGCACCTGTAGTCCCAGCTGTGGGGAGGCTGAAGCAGGAGAATGGCGTGAACCCAGGAGGCGGAGCTTGCAGTGAGCCAAGATCATGCCACTGCACTCCAGCCTGGTGACAGAGCAAGACTCTGTATCAAAAAAAAAAAAAAAAAAGGGCTGGGTGTGGTGGCTCACGCCTGTAATCCCAGCACTTTGGGAGGCCGAGGTGGGAAGATCATGAGGTCAGGAGATCAAGACCATCCTGGCTAACATGATGAAACCCCATCTCTACTAAAAATACAAAAATTTAGCTGGGCATGATGGCGATCATCTGTAGTCCCAGCTACTCGGGAAGCTGAGGCAGGAGAATGGCATGAACCTGGGAGGTGAAGCTTGCAGTGAGCCGAGATTGCGCCACTGCACTCCAGCCTAGGTGACAGAGCAAGACTCCATCTCAAAAGAAAAAAAAAAGAACAGATTCTGTACTCTTCTGACAGTCATGCTGCCCCAGTGGGTATATCATGCTTTCTACTTACATGCCTTGTACAGGGGAACACCTCCTTTTAAAACCATCAGATCTTCCAGACTTATTCACTATCATGAGAACAGCACAGGAAAGACCCACCCCCATAACTCAATCACCTCCCACCAGGTTCCTCCCATGACACATGAGAATTGTGGAAGTTAAAATTCAAGATGAGATTTGGGTGGGGACACAGCCAAACCATGTCATTTCACCCCTGGCCCCTCCCAAATGTCATGTCCTCACATTTTAAAACCAATCATGCCTTCGTAAGAGTCCCCCAAAGTCTTAATTCATTTCAGTATTAACTCAAAAGTTCACAGTCCAATGTCTCATCTGAGACAAGGCATGTCCCTTCCGCCTATGAACCAGTAAAATCAAAAGCAAGTTAGTTACTTCCTAGATACAATGGGCGTACAGGCATTGGGTAAATACAGCCATTCCAAATGGGAGAAATTGGCCAAAACAAAGGGGCTACAGTCCCCATGCAAGTCTGAAATCCAGCAGGGCAGGTCAAATCTTAAAGCTCCAAAACGATCTACTTTGACGCCAGGTCCAAAACGATCCAGGTCATGCTGATGCAAGAGGTGGGTTCCCATGGTCTTGGGCAGCTCCACCCCTGTGGTTTTGCAGGGTATAGCCTCCCCACCAGCTGCTTTCACGGCTGGCGTTGAGTGTCTGCGGCTTTTCCAGGAGCACAGTGCAAGCTGTCAGTGGATCTACTGTTCTGGGGTCTGGAGGACAGTGGCCCTATTCTCCCAGCTCCACTAGGCGATGCCCCAGTAGGGACTCTGTGTTGGGGCTCCGACCCCACATTTCCCTTCTGCACTGCCCTATCAGAGGTTCTCCTTGAGAGCCCCACCCCTGCAGCAAACTTCTGCCTGGACATCCAGGTGTTTCCATAAATCCCCTGAAATCTAGGTGGAGGTTCCCAAACCTCAATTCTTGACTTCTGTGCACTTGCACGCTCAACACCACATGGAAGCTGCCAAGTCTTGGGGCTTGCACCCTCTGAAGCCACGGCCCAAGCTCTACGTTGTCCCCTTTCAGCCACAGCTGGAGTGGCTGGGAGGCAGGGCACCAAGTCCCTAGAGTGCACACAGCAGAGGGACCCTGGGCCTAACCCATGAAACCATTTTTTTCTCCTAGGTCTCAGGGCCTGTGATGGGAGGAGCCGCCAAGAAGACCTGTGACATGCCCTGGAGACATTCTCCCCATAGTGTCTTGGGGATTAACATTTGGCCCCTTGTTACTTATGCAAGTTTCTGCAGCCATTTTGAATTTCTCCTCAGCAAATGGGATTTTCTCTTTTATCACATTGTCAGGCTGCAAATTTCCCCAACTTTTATGCTCTGCTTCCCTTATAAAATTGAATGCCTTTAAAAGAACCCAAGTGACTTTTTGAATGCTTTGCTGCTTAGAAATTTCTTCTGCCAGAGGCCCTAAATCATCTCTCTCAAGTTCAGAGTTCCACAAATCTCTAGGGCAGATGCAAAATGCCACCAGTCTCTTTGCTAAAACATAACAAGAGTCACCTTTGCTCAAGTTCCCAACAAGTTCCTCATCTCCATCTGAGAACACCTCAGCCTGGTTTTCATTATCCATATCATTATCAGCATTTTGGGCAAAGCCATTCAGCAAGTCTCTAGGAAGTTCCAAACTGTCCCACATTTTCCTGTCTTCTTCTGAACCCTCCAAACTATTCCAACCCCTGCCTGTTACCCAGTTCCAAAGTCGCTTCCACATTTTGGGGTATCTACAGCAGCACCCACTCTACTAGTACCAATTTACTGTATTAGCCTGTTTTCACACTGCTGATAAAGACATACCTGAGACTGGGCAGTTTACAAAAGAAAGTTTTGTAAACTTTCTTTTTGGACTCACAGTTCCACATGGCTGGAGAGGCCTCACAATCATAGCAGAAGGTGAAAAGCACATCTCACAAGGCGGCAGACAAGAGAATAGTGTTTGTGCAAGGGAATGCCTCTTTTTAAAACCATCAGATCTCATAAGACTTATTCACTGTCGTGAGAACTACACAGGAAAAACCTGCCCCCATAATTCAATCACCTCCAACCAGGTTCATCCCACGACACGGAATTGTGGGAGTTACAATTCACGATGAAATTTGGGTGGGGACACAGCCAAACCATATCACTGAGTGACTTAAAACAACAGAAACTTGGCCGGGCATGGTGGCTCACACCTGTAATCCCAGCACTTTGGGAGGCCGAGGCGGGCAGATCACAAGGTCAGGAGATCGAGACCATCCTGGCTAGCACAGTGAAACCCTGTCTCTACTAAAAATACAAAAAATCAGCTGGGCATGGTGGTGGGTGCCTGTAGTCCCAGCTGCTTGGGAGGCTGAGGCAGGAGAATGGTGTGAACCCGGGAGGCAGAGCTGGCAGTGAGCCGAGATCACACCACTGCACTCCACCCTGGGCGACAGAGCGAGACTCTGTCTAAAAATTAAAAAAACAAAAAACAAAAACAAAAACAGAAACTTACTGTCTCACAGTCTTGGAAGCTGGAAGTCTGAAATCAAGGTGTCAGCAGGGCTATGCCCCCTCTGAAACTCATAGGTGATTTCTTCCTTGCCTATTAGCTTATGGAGGTTGACCAGCAGTCTTTGGTGTACCTTGGTTTGGCTCTTCAGATGGCCATCTTCTAAGAAACCAGTTATGTTGGATTGGGGCCCATCCAACTCCAGTGTGACCTTATCTTAACTAATTACATCTGTATGGACTCTATTTTCAAGTAAGATCACATTCTGAAGTCCTACTGGTAAGGACATCAACATTTCTTTTTGAGGGAGGATATGCTTCAACCTGTAACACCTTCCGTGTTCCACCCCAATCAATACATCTTCCTTCTCAACAAAAGAGACAAAGGATGTTTTAAATTCATAATATCATCCCTGCCAAATCAGTGGTAGTGAGCAAGGAGATTGTGATGTATTCACTAAGAGGGCTGTTACCCCTTCCATATTAAGATTGAGTATCCCTAATCCGAAATCCAGAATGCTTCAAAATTTGAAATTTTTTGAGCAGTAGTAACATAATGTTCAAAGGAAATGCTCATTATATCATTTCAGATTTCAGATTTTTGGATTAGGGATACTTAACTGGTAAGTATATAATGCAAATATTCCAAAATAAAAAGAAATCCTAAATAATTCTGGTCCCAGGCATTTTGGATGAGGGACATTCCGCCTCTACCTTATATTAATTCTTTTTTCATGTAGCTGTTTTACAGAAAGCCTTTAAGCACTCTTTAAAAAATCAGTATTACTGTAAACAGTTGTATCTTTATATTACAGTCCTCGCTTTAAGGTATCAGAGACCTCCTAGAGCTTAATCTTTCCCTCTGTATAACACAATAGTATTGTCTTAGTCAATTTTTTGCTCCTATAATACCACAAAATGGGTAATTTATAATGAACAGAAATTTATTGGCTCATGGGTATGGAGGCTGGGAAATCCAAGATTGAGAGGCTGGTATCTGGAGAGGGTCTTCTTGTTGCCGTGTCATCCCATGGTGAAAGGCAGAAGAGCAAGAGAGGAAGCAGGGTGTTGGGTAGGAGGGGAGAAAGGGAGAGAAAGAAGGGGGAGAGAGAGACAGGGAGTCTGGGAGGGAGAGGGGAAAGTCTCACAAGATTATTTTATTTTTAGGTGGTGATGTTTTAAATTCTAATCTTAAGAAGAAATGCTGTTGTTCCTTAGGTCAAATTGACTATATAGATTATGTACTTTGATGTGATATATGAAGATAGGAATTTCAGTGTCAAACACAAAAGAGCCATAAGGAATAAAGTTCTTTTGAGCGCCATGTAATGCTGTCTAATTACGAGTGGTATCCAGATTTTCACTGGAAGATACAGTATGTAAGTAGCTATGAAAGCAATTTTAAGGCAAAATTTTACTTACACTGCAAATATATTTCCCATAAAACAAATTAAAGTCAAGTTTTAAAAATTTCTTTAATTTTTGATTTTTAAAGAGGATAGGCCAGTAAATAATGTATCAAACTTGTGGCTTAGCACCATATTGAATCCCAGAAATGACTTGGCCTTATGAATGGCTCTTTTCAAAAAGGATTAATGAATGTATAATAAGTTTTCTTTCTTTTTCTAGCCAAGGACCCTTGTCATCCATTAGAGCGGTAATCAAGAGATGTAAGTTTGTTTTTTCCTTCTCTGTATTTTCCTCTGTAATAATTTTAAGTGATGATTTAGATTTCCAGCAGGTGATTGTATTTGACGAATCTACAAAGAACCCAAGAGTAGCTTCTCCTAAGAGGTATTAAAGCATTTCAGACAAACAGCTACTTTTCAGCCTATATTTATTGATAAGCCGGTTTCTCAGAACTGTGTTTTTCTCTTGCAGAACAAAGCTGGGGTTTTTTTTCCTTAATCCCAAATGTGATACTATAAAGCTGTTTGTTTTTTTTTTTTAATTTGCCTCTCTAGTTAGTTTCTGTGATCTAATATAAATTTTATGTAGCGGCCGGGTGCAGTGGCTCATGCCTGTAATCCCAGCACTTTGGGAGGCCAAGGCAGGCGGATCACGAGGTCAGGAGATCAAGACCATCCTGGCTAACACAGTGAAACCCTGACTCTACTAAAAATACCAAAAATTAGCCGGGCGTAGTGGCAGGCACCTGTAGTCCCAGCTACTTGGGAGGCTGAGGCAGGAGAATGGCGTGAACCCGGGAGGCAGAGGTTGCAGTGAGCCGAGATCGCGCCACTGCACTCCAGCCTGGGCGACAGAGCGAGACTCCATCTCAAAAAAAAAAAAAAAAAATTATGTAACCATTTTCTAGAGTTAGAGATATCTAACAGGTTTAAGAAATATTAAGTCCTGGCAGGCACGGTGGCTCATGCCTGTAATCCCAGCACTTTTTTGGGGGCTGAGGCAGGTGGATCACCTGAGGTCAGGAGTTCCAAGACCAGCCCAACCAACATGGTGAAACCTCGTCTCTACTAAAAATACAAAAATTAGCTGGGCGTGGTGGCAGGCACCTGTAATCCCAGCTACTTGGGAGGCTGAGGCAGGAGAATGGCTTGAACCCAGGAGGTGGAGGTTGCAGTGAGCCAAGATTGTGCCACTGCACTCCAGCCTGGGCAACAAGAGCAAAACTCTGTCTCAAAGAAAAGAAAAAAGAAGTATTAAATCCTGTTCCTTTTGGTTCATTTGTTTCTACAGGTACTTTTCACAATATATTTTTTAACTGTATAAGTGCCTATAAAGACGGGCTTATACTACCATATCAAGATAGAAGTGCTAAGAGTAGAATTCCCATCAGAAAGGAACATTTCTATTTTCTGTCCTTATCTCTTGGTCAAAACTTCAAAACTTGCTATTAGTGTGGTATTTTAACACTTTTTTAAATAAAAGGCTCTGGAAAGATCTCTTTAAAAATAGAACATGGATTGCCTGTGTTAGAAAAGGATAAAGATAGGATTTTAGATGTTCTTTGCATTATCTGAGCTGAGGTTACCACCCCGAGGAGAATGTGCCCTATTTTTAGAAACATAACTTGGTTGTTTTTCCCCCCCGATACATGGTCTCTCACTGTCGCCCAGGCTGGACTGCAGTGGCGCGATCTTGTCTCGTTGCTACCTCCACCTCCTAGGCTCAAGCAATTCTCCTGCCTCAGCCTCTTGAGTAGCTGGGATTACAGGCACCCACCACCATGCCCGGCTAATTTTTGTATTTTTAGTAGAGATGGGATTTCACCACATTGGTCAGGCTGGTCTCCTGACCTCAAGTGATTTGCCCGCCTTGGTCTCCCAAAGTGCTAGGATTACAGGTGTGAGCCACCATGCCCATTATGAATTTAGGATATTCACAGGTCATGAAGAATATGCATTTGAACAATTCCAGTGAAAATTTTACAAGCTGACAATACAGAAAAATATGCCATGTTTCCCCACTCCATTTTTTTTCTTTATTGGTGAACTATAAATATGTGGGAATGCTATGGTATGAGATGAAGAGAATTCAGATATAAAAATGAAAACTTCTTGATAGCCTTTCATGCCTTATAACCCTTGGGTTGTGGGTGGCAGGCGATGACGGGCAGAGAGATAATTTAAATACAAAATTAGGATCTAGAACTTAGGCAAGAATTTATTGGCTGGAGATATAACTTAGAGTAATCACTGTTATAAGCAAAATCCTGGAAGTAGCCAAACATGTAGGGAGAAAGTACACAGGATAGGAAAGATGAGAAGGGATAGAATCTTGGAGACGCTGACGTCTGAGGACAAGCTATGCCTTCAAGAGGCATAAGGCAAAAATGCATGACCCAATGAACCCAGCCCTGCTGTGAAAGGCCTCCTTTCACTGAGTCATATCTGTGGGCTCCTGCACTTTGTTCCCTGGCTTCTTGCCTTAATTCCCTTGGATTTCAGGACTTTTTTGTTAGGGAATCACAATCTGTGCCTGACTTCCCATGGATCCCCCAAGATAGATCTTGCTCAGCGAAGACATGGGCAATAAAAGCTTAAAAGGAATGGTCAGAGTTAAAAAAAAAAAAAAAAAAAAAAAAAAAACAGGACACAGCTGTGTTTTAGAGGTCAAAGGAGAAGATTTTAAAAGGAACAGGTGAATCACCAATAGCTCTTAATACTAAACCAGGCCAAGCAAAAGGTGCTGAGAACAGGTTATTGTGTCTGGCACTTAGGAGGTCAATTGAGACCCACGAGAGAGCAGTTTCAGTAAATATTGAAGTTGGAAGCCACACTTCAATTTCAACAATGAATAGAATATGTGGAAGTTGGGGCGGCTAGGGTAGCCTACTCTTCTATGAAATTTGGTGGTGAACAGGAGAGATATGGACTGTAATTTGAGAAGGAGGCAGAGTTAAGGAAAGAGGAGATCTGACTATGCTTAGGATGAGGAAGCATGAAGACATTTGTAGGCAGCAGGGAAGCAATCAGTGGAGGGATCAGACTGGAGCCATGAAAGAAGAGAAAACGGTGAAACAGGGCCCTAGCAGAGAGAGGAAGGAGGATATGAAACAAAGGGAAAAACCTTGCTTTGAGGTAGCTGGTGTTTTTTTGGTTTTTAACTCAGTTGTCTTTTAATTCTTCTGTCAGTCGCTTTGTAAACACTAAAGAAATACTTGTATTCCTGATGTTTAGGCAAGAAGGCCAAACAGATCCTTTCATGATAACATATAAATACAGAATGAGTAACAATTGTGCCATTCCCTTTTGTTTTCTTCTTTTTGCCTATTCTATAAGAAAAAGCTGTAAATAATTTTTATCTTAGCCAGCCCATTAAAATGTGTGTGTTACTATCCCATACTCAGTCATCTAACCCTGGCAAGCGGAAAGACTTTATCCCATTGTTAAAGTGATATTCTTTAACTGGTTGTAGTTCAACTTATTTCATAATGATTCCGGTTCCAGTCAAGCCTTGGGGTCCTTTTCTTTGCATGTATTCTTGTGAATCCTGAGTATTTTTGGTAAAGTGTTTTGATGTATCCTAATTGGATACATCTAGAATTTTATGTTCTTCCTTTCATTAACTTTTTAAGAGAAAATTATTTTCTGAAATTCAGACTTAGTTAATATTGTTTACCTACCATGAGTCAGGAACTGTTTCCATACATTATAAAATAACACTGTGCGTGGTAGGTGTTGACCCATTTTACATGTGGTAGTGAAACTGAGTCCCAGAAAGGTTAAGTGGCTTCACAAGGTAGAGCCAAGATATGAACCTTGTTTCCTGACTTCAAGGCCATTGAGCTTTCCACTCCACAGACGTTCTTGTTATCATGTCAAATGCATCTAACTCTTATACCCTGTCCCAAACAAATGTAGTCAGTAAGTTTCTTATATTATTGTGATTTTCATTGATCTTTCATTCTTAGTTCATTGATCATTCATTCATAGTTCTATAGCAAGGGTATTTATAATTAATAATCCTTCTATGTGTTTATTTCTTCTGACATCATTTTATTGATAATTTTGAATTATTTAGATCAAGACTAGCTAGCATCCCACTCTCCTGGCTCCACACAGAGTTAAACTGCTTCAAGAAACAAACTGCTCCTAGCCTTGCTCCTAAAGGGCTGTTGGACCTGGGGTAATTCATTTAACCCCTCTGTATCTCAGTCTTCTCCTCTGTGAAGTTTGAGTAGGACGATCGCTGAGGGTCTTTCCAGGCTTGTGATCCTGCTGGAATTCGAGAAGATTCTTTATTGGTGGTAATACTGCACATCTACATCTCAACTTTAACATGAATATGTTTTGTATTTAGAATTTAACCACTTGAACTCGAAAAGTTTGAAAATAGGCCAGGCACTGTGGCTCACACCTATAATCCCAGCACTTTGGGAGGCTGAGGCGGGCGGATCACCTGAGGTCAGGAATTCGACACCAGCCTGACCAACATGGTGAAACCCCATCTCTACTAAAAATACAAAAATTAACCCGGCGCAGTGGTGGGCACCTGTAATCCCAGCTACTAGGAAGGATGAGGCAGGAGAATCGCTTGAACCTGGAAGGCAGAGGTTCCAGTGAGCCAAGGTCGTGCCACTGCACTCCAGCCTGGGCGACAGAGAGAGACCCCAGCTCAAAAAGAAAAAAAAAAAGAAAAAGTTTGAAAATAATTCTGTAAAATGATAGGATAACTCTAACTGAAAATACTGCCTTTATTCTGTGGCATTAACCCAAAACGTACCAGACTAGCAGCTTGTGGCAGAGAGGTAAAATGGGACATGCTTGTCTATATGGCAATCTGGCAAATTCGATTTTCCTGGCAACTACAGCAAATTTGTTTAATCTGGGAAAGTGAGAATGAAATGTATAAGCAGATAGTTGAGAAATTAGCACAAAGAGCATGAGACAACACATGAAAATCTGCAGTGAAAACCAAAAGTGTTTGTAGCTATTAATCTTGTTCAGCACTGACAGAAGGTGTCAGTTTTTCCAGAAGGATCAAGAGAGAAAAGAAAGATTTCATAGATAAGTGAATGTGAAAAAAGCCAGACAAGGAGAGGGGAAAGCAGTGATTCTTGAAGGTTGTGCAGAAGGACATCTGTACGTACGACTGCAAGACCCCTCCATGTTCTTCAGCGGCAGTGCCACTCTGCTGCCTGGGGGCCTGCTGTGAATGACCTCTGGTGTGAACGGGCAGAATCAAGTTAAAATTGCTGATTTTAAACAATGTAGATCGACTACTGAATTACCTTTTAAGTACTATTCATACTTTAAAATCAATGCTTATTGAAGTAGCAAATTGATTTTGCAAAATAGTTTTTAGATTTTTTAAAACCGTTGTTAAAAACTGCAGACAGGCCAGGCATAGTGGCTCATGCCTGTAATCCTAGCACTTTAGGAGGCCAAGGTGGGCGGATCACTTGAGGTCAGGAAGTCGAGACCAGTCTGGGCAGCATAGCAAAACCCCGTTTCTACAAAAGATACGAAAAGGAGCCAGGTGTGGTCGTGCATGCCTGTAGTCCCAGCTACTCAGGGGGCTGAGGCAGGAAGATCGCTTGAGCCAGGGAAGTCGAGGCTGCAGTGAGCCAATATTGTGCCACCGCACTCCAGCCTGGGTGACAGAGCAAGACCTTGTCTCAAAAAAATAAAAAAAAAAAAACCCTACAAGCGGGTTTTTCAACTGGTTATGTGTGTGGATATCCTGGTCTGCACAGACAAATCTTTGCGGCAGTATTTCTTTACTCTCTGAATCTGTGGATCATCAACTTTGCTTTTCCATTTAAGTGTGCATAGCAGGGAAAAACAGTGGTATGGCAAGACAGTCATGCTCCTGAATTCCTTTTAAAGCTTAGGCAACTAGGTTCACTCTTTTCTCTTCCTTTCCTCTTCTATAACCCCTTCTTTTTTTCCCTTAGCACTCATGAATAGTACACAGCAAAAATGCCCCGTGGAAGAGGTATGTTTGTGATGATAACATGAAGTCTTTTAAAAGTGTTATCCCTGCTGATTTCAGCATTAGTGATGGTGGTGATGTGATTGTAGCAAACTTGAATGGGCCTCTGACTTAATGAAACCATTCTTACAAATCAGACACACCATGCAGAGCTCTAGCCTCCCTGTCAGCTTGGTTTAGCTCTTGATAAAAATGTTAATAGTCAGTCAAACCAGTTGATGATATGAATATGAGGACATCCTCCAAGTAGAAACCCAGGGGTTTGGTTTCAGATCTTAGAGGTTTGCTTTGCCAACCCAGCAGAGGTTCACCTGTTACGGCTCCAATCCAGCCTAAACTTCATTCCCACCTTCCACTTCCACCCCTGCCTCCCCTAGTTTTGACAGCCTCCTTGTTCAGAGAGAAGCAGAAGTTAATAGGGGGGAAAGATCTATGCTTCCAATCTTTTCAAATAGGAAGAATTGAACAAGTTGAGTATTACTGAGATATGAAAGCAACTGGTTAAAATAGTTTATATCTGAAACAAATTTCCTTTGTGCACAGATCTTTACACTATAGTATTAGAAGATTTTTTTCCCCAAAGAGATCTTTAGAATATGTTCCATGAAAAATAGAGGTAGGCCGGGCGTGGTGGCTCATGCCTGTAATCCCAGCACTTTGGGAGGCCGAGGTGGGAGGATCACGAGGTCAGGAGATCAAGACCATCCTGGCTAACACGGTGAAACCCCATCTCTACTAAAAATACAAAAAAAAAAAAAAAAATAGCCGGGCATGGTGGCAGGCACCTGTACTCCCAGCTACTCGGGAGGCTGAGGCAGGAGAATGGCATGAACCCGGGAGGCGGAGCTTGCAGTGAGCCGAGATGGCGCCACTGCACTCCAGCCTGGGCGACAGAGCGAGACCCCATCTCAGAAAAAAAAAAGAAATAAAGAAAAATAGAGGTAATAGTCTCTATTACATAAAAATTGAAAAATTGACCCCATATGTGTCGGGCGCAGTGGCTCACACCTGTAAAGCCAGCACTTTGGGAGGCCAAGGCGGGTGGATCACAAGGTCGGGAGATCGAGACCATCCTGGCTAACACGGTGAAACCCCGTATCTACTAAAAATATAAAAAATTAGCCAGGCATGGTCGCGGGCGCCTGTAGTCCCAGCTACTCTGGAAGATGAGGCAAGAGAATGGTGTGAACCCAGGAGGCAGAGCTTGCAGTGAGCCAAGATCGCGCCACTGCACTCCAGCCTGGGCGACAGAGCGAGACTGTCTCAAAAAAAAAAAAAAAGAAAAAAAAATGACCCCATATGTGATATGTTCTAGATTATCCGATTAAAACTTAGTTTACTTTATAAAATAAAATTTGGGAAAAAATTTAAACTATCAAGCTTAAGGACTTGAGTTTGAGACTTAAGGAAAAAGTCAGTGCTGCATATACAATAATATGTGCTATAAACAAGTTTATAAAAGTGATTTGAACACCTTTTACATTAATTATTATATCTTAGTTTAAGTAATAAAAGGCTGGGCATAGTGGCTCATGCCTGTAATCCCAGCACTTTGGGAAGCCCAGGCAGGAGGATCGCTTGAACCCAGGAGCTTGAGACCAGCAACATGGCGAAACCTCATCTCTGCGAAACATACAAAAAATTACCAAGGCATGGTGTCATGTGCCTGTAGTCCCAGCTACTTGGGAGGCTGAGGCAGGAGGATCACTTGAGCCTGGGAACTTGAGGCTGCATTGAGCCCTGAACATCATGTCACTGCTCTCCAGCCTGAGCAACAGGGTGAGACCCTGTCTCAAAATAAATAATAAAACAACTTAAAGGTTATAAAATGTCAGATAAGTTAGACAAAAGATGAAAATTTGACCAGTTTCATTCTACAATAGATTTATAAACAAACATCACAAAAGCATAGTCATATAGATTGGAATCGATATTTAAAATTTTTTCTGCCCATTGTTACTTCATGTCATCATCTTAATACTCCAGCCATGCAATTTATATTTAATAGCTGTCTTCTTTTCTCTGTTCATTCTTCAAACTATTTTCACAACTACAGAATGTTCTTTGGGGAGTTTTTGAAATCTATGTATTATGCAATCTCTAATATATAACCATAATTAACTTTATGCTAATAAAATGATTGTTTTGATTTACTTTTTTTTAAGGATATTAAAATTCATACATTCTATATGATGTCAAGTATAAGCTTTTTCCAATTGTGTACTTTGTAAAAATTTAAACCCTTACCAAACATACTAATTTTGTACTATACCAGTTTATTCCTTCTTCAACAGCTTCTCGGACTTCTATTCAGAGTGAACTTCATCGAGATAGAAGGTATGGTTATATTTATAATGGAGGACATATATTAGACTAATAATTGAGTAAAAGTGTGTTATCAGGTAGCAAATTAAATGTTTCACTTTCATAAGCAATGTATTCTTGTATTCTGCTTCATCAATATATCTCCTGAATTAACTTATAAGTTTGAAAGATGATTTTGCTTGAGAGAAGGAGTGATACAGGCTTGAAAATGTTCTTTTGAGTATAGTTATTTATTGAAGTTGATTTTTTAAATGTTTATTAAACAGCTGTTACATGTAAAGCATTGTAACTGCTTCAGAGAAATGCTTTGTACCTCATGCTACTTAGTACATGTTGCCTAACCAAATGGATGGATGACAGGATAGAAAATTGAATGGAAGGATAAAGAAAGGAAAAGAGGAGGTAGGCACAATGAATAAAGCCTGGATGGCTTTTTGGAAAAAGGAAGGGAAAAGAGAAGGGAGGAAAGATAATATTTGGGTAGATAGAAGGAAGGACCAGTGGACAGATGGACAATAGAATGGACAGAAGGATGGATGGACAAATGGCTAAATGGATGGATAGATTTTTTTTTTACATTACATCATGACATTCAATCAGATAGAGAGGTTTTCATAAGTCATGGTCCCTGCTGTCAAATTGCTTACAGTATAGTATAGAATAATGAAGGACTTCAGAGTCAGAACCAAATTCAAATCCTGACCGCCACTTTCCTACCATGTGACCTTGGATGACAAGCTGCTTAATCTCTCTAGCTTCTTTATCCCAGCTTTAAAATGGTGCTAATCATACCTACATCACAAGGTTGTCATAAGAATTAATATACATATGATGCTTAACGTTTATTAACTAATAACTCTTACTATTTAGTTAGACAAAAGCTATAAGCAAAGGTTCTTAGGAAGTACAGTTCAAATTTTATCAATGATCAGGTTCTACTGTTTCACAATGTAGCATGAGTATGTGTGTAATGCATAATTTTGAGAATGACAGTGCTTTTTTGTTTTTATTTTCCATAGAGTGCTAGAGAAAGGCAGAGCAGGTATTATCATCCATGTATGTTCCATGAGAAAACTGAGTTTTCCAATCAAAACTTGATTGATTTGTTCAGGGTCACACAGTTGCTGTTTGTTAGGAAATCAGGTTTAAGAGAAAATTTAAACATGCTCCAGGCACAGTGCCTTACACCTTTAATCCCAACACTTTGGAAGGATTGCTTGAGGCTGGGAGTTCGAAACCTGCCTGAGCAAGATAGTGAGCCCTTGTCTCTACAAAAAATTTTAAAAATCAGCCAGGCATGGTGGCATGTGCCTGTAGTCCCAGCTACTCAGGAAGCTGAGGGGCGGGGAGCTCGAGGCTGCAGTGAGCTATGATTGTGCCACTGCACTCCAGCCTGGGCAACAGAGTGAGGCCCTGTCTCTACAAAATCAATTAATTACTTTAAACATGAGAATGTAGAATCAGATTAAGAAAAAGATAAAAGGAGTCATGCCTAAATCACTATAGCTCTCCAGTATTAAAGATTAATCATCAAATCATATACAAACCTGATCACGAACCCAGAGACACATATCAAAGTCTAGAAGTGAACATATAAACCCAAAACACTTAAACATAACTGTGAATTGAAACAGAGATGAAGTAAGGCAGAAGAGGATATTCTTTTTAAATGGTAATTTTGCATTTCAGAGTATGCACTTTATAATAACAGAAAACCAAGCTGGGTGCAGTGGCTCACGCCTCTAATCCCAGCACTTTGGGAGGCTGAGGTGGGCAGATTGCTTGTGGTCAGGAGTTCGAGATCAGCCTGACCAATATGGTGAAACCCCATCTCTACTAAAAATACAAAAATTAGCTGGGTATGGTGGCACATGCCTGTAATCCCAGCTGCTCGGGAGGCTGAGGTGTCAGAATTGCTTGAACCTGAGAGGCGGAGGTTGCAGGGAGCCAAGATTGAGATCGCGTCACCACTGCACTCCAGCCTGGGCAACAGAGTGAGACTCTGTCTCAGATAATAATAATAATAACAGAAAAACAATTCCATTTGACTAATGGGCTTTTATACCTTACACTGTATGTTTGCCCTAAGGCTAGATAGCCCTGGAATGAAGAGATTGTATAGGCCTTACTTAGTTCTTATCCTTATCAACCAAGGCAGAGCCAAGTGTGCCCAGGGTCCAACTCTAACTTTTTGAGGCCAAAGTCATAGAGGATGATTGTCATTTGCTCTCTTGAAGCCTGTCTGGGTGTACTGTCAGAGACAGCCCAGGCCTGACAGGTCATTTCTGTGACTGTGTTAGTTCTTACAACTTTTTTGGTTGATGGTGGTTTTCATGAATCTTTGAACATTTATAGATAGACAATAGCTTGTTACCATTCTGCAAAACCTCACTGAGGCTTCTGTCCACTAGGCGCCCAGAGATCACCATTGTGGCAGCTGAGCCACTGAGGCCAGCCTCGTGGTTTCCAGGAACCCCACCCCCAGGACTGGGATTTCCTACATCATCTGCAGCAGGCTCTTGGAGGCCTAATGAGCTGGTTCCTGCTGAGGTGAATAAACATTACATTATCTCTTTGCATTTTATTTTTTAAATGAAATTGGAAGATAAGAACAGTGAGACTGTCAACACCTTAGCTATTGCCCTTAGATGTCTAAAATCTTCATTCTTTACTTTTCAGCTCCCACCATCTTATGAACAAGTTATAAAAGAAATCAACCAAGTTCAAGTTAATACTACAAATAATAATAATGCTGCTGCTACTCCAAGGCACACTATTACTTCTGCAACTCAGACTGACTTTTCAGAAGAAATAGACAACGATCTGCCTCAAAGTAATGCAAGTAATTTGTCTTCCCTAATTCTGACCTAGTTCTAGGGAAGTAATCCGTAGGCTTCCAGCCTTTAAAATAATTTGCAATTTGTGCATAATTCATTGAGCTCTGCTGCCCAGTCAGTGTGATCACTGTGTGCTTGCTTTATTTGGGTGTGCAGTGATGATTATAATAGATCATTCTTACAAACTGCAGCCCCAATCTCTTGAGCTTACCCTAGTTTATATCACAAAAACATTATCCGTATAATTCATGGTGGGTATTACCATTGATTCCCTTTATTCCCTCTGAGAAGGATCTTATATTTAGCAACTTATACTTGATAGGATGCTAAGGGTGGTTGTCCTGTTAGGCTTTTTTAAAGTGTTGCACTGTGGCTTATGCCTTTAATCCCAACGCTTTAGGAGACTAAGGCGGGTGGATTGCTTGAGCACAGGAGTTTGAGACCAGCCTGGGCAACATGGTGAAATCCCATCTCTGCAAAAAAATGGAAAAATTCGCTGAGTGTGGTGGTATGTGTCTGTAGTCCCAGCTACTCAGGAAGCTGAAGTGAGAGGATCGCTTGAGCACTGGAGGGTGAGGCTGCAGTGAGCCGTGTTAGAGCCACTGTACACCAGCCAGGGCAACAGAGCAAGACCCTGTCTCAAAAAAAAAAAAGTGTTATATGAAGAGCACTCCTACAGGAAACAGAATAAACATTTCCATTTTTGAATCACTTTTTACTAATTAAAAGAAACCAAAATCTCTTGATATTCCATGTATGTAGTTTTAAATCTGTGTATCTTCTATTTTTTTCCTTATACATTGTTAACGTTATGGCTTGTTTTTATTTGTTTTGGTTTTGTTTTGGTCTCGTCAGCACTACAGGCACCTCTCAAGCCTCTTCAGCCTTTCTCAGCAGTCTCGTCTGGCAATCTTCCAACAAATGTGGCACCTTTAATCGTCTTTGATATTTCTGAAGAACCGAATTGTCCAGAAAACCCCAGTGCTACAAGATGTCCAGTGCCAAAACCAAGATCAAAAAGCAACCTCAGACCAATACCCAGAGATTCTCACATTAAAGAGCAAAGTCAACAGAAAATCAGCCCAGCAGCCGTAGGAGAGGAGTCATCCCCAGGCCGGCCCCAGTCTCTGCTGGACAACGCTAGCACCTCAGACAGTCAGGCAGTGATGAACATTATGAACACAGAACAAAGCCAAAATAGTATTGTTTCCAGAATTAAAGTGTTTGAGGGTCAGACAAACATAGAAACCTCAGGACTGCCCAAGAAACCAGAAATTACTCCACGTTCACTTCCTCCAAAGCCTACTGTTTCCTCAGGGAAACCTTCTGTAGCTCCCAAACCAGCTGCTAACAGAGCTTCTGGAGAGTGGGACTCTGGGACTGAGAACAGACTCAAGGTGACCTCCAAGGAAGGACTCACCCCATACCCTCCCCTGCAAGAAGCGGGAAGCATCCCAGTAACCAAACCTGAATTGCCAAAGAAACCAAACCCTGGCCTTATACGAAGTGTTAATCCTGAGATTCCGGGAAGAGGGCCCCTGGCTGAGAGCTCTGATAGTGGGAAGAAAGTGCCAACTCCTGCCCCGCGGCCTTTGCTGCTGAAGAAATCTGTTTCCTCAGAAAACCCCACCTACCCTTCAGCTCCACTGAAACCTGTCACTGTTCCTCCCCGACTCGCAGGGGCATCACAAGCCAAAGCATACAAGTCACTGGGAGAAGGGCCCCCAGCCAACCCCCCAGTTCCAGTTCTGCAGAGCAAGCCCTTGGTGGACATCGATCTCATCAGCTTTGATGATGATGTTTTGCCCACCCCATCGGGGAACCTGGCTGAAGAATCTGTTGGTTCAGAGATGGTTCTAGGTGAGTGAAAAATCAGCAGTGGAGGGGAATCTAAACTCATGATAGGGTATTTTAAATGGCACTTGCTGTTTTAGTTTCTGGTACATAAGTTATTGAGGTGTGTGTATACAAGTATGTGCACATGCATGTGTGTGTATAGAAACAGAGGAATGAACAGACAGATCAAGAAACATGGGAGCTATGTGGGGAATGGAGACAGGGAGGGAAGGGAAAATATGGGATGGGGGTAATGGAGTCAGAAATGGGGAGACACATGCATCGATTACTATTATATGAGCCAGAAGTAAGCAGACTGGGGCTAGGAGCTAAACTATAATAGGTTGTGGGGCTGGCTCCCCTTACTCTTGGCAGATAGAAGTTCAGACTTCACATTGAAAGGATCCAGGGAGGTTATGGAACATGTAGAAGGATGCAGAGGAAGCTTCTCTTAGATGGGAAGTCATGCAGTGGCCCCAGAGGGGCTCCTCAGATGAAATGGGCCTCAGCTGGGAGTGCTGGGAGAGGGGCCAGCTCCAGGGGAGGACTCGAAAATGTACGGAATGAGGACCCAGCCACATGTTGCAAAGTTGTTCCTTTAATCTTCACAGAACATCTTCCCTTGAGAGTGAAAAGTTTTGTAAATAAAATACAACAGATACAAGTTAGCTGCCAAGATCAGTACAATTAAATATCCCAGAAGGCAGAGAGTATGTTTTCTTTCCTCTAACTGTTCCGTTGGAGAGTGTGATGGTAAAGCTTATCTTTGATTTGTCAAACTAAGCTGCTCTACTTGTCATTGATAAGATTTCTTTTACTGCTGTTGACTTATTTGGGTGGAATTTGTGAACATATAAACTTAATAGAATTTTCAAAAGCTTAACTGTCACTGTATAAATGTTTAACATGCATCAAAATAGTACAGGCTCTGTGATTTCACAGCCACATTCTGCATAGCACAGGTGTGTTTAAAATGAAAACAAACATACACATTATTAAATATTCATCATGCACAGAACATTGTAACTGACACACAACATTTTAGCGTATAAACTAAAAGACATACATGGCTTTTGTCCATAAAGGGTGGAAGGAAAAACATTTGAATATATTAAGCTTCTGCAGTGTACCTAATGCTCTGCTAAATACTGAGACATACATTATTTTATTTAATAATTGCAACAACCGTCTGTGAGTTATCATTGGCCTAAGTTTGCAAATGAAGACAGTGAGACTGAGAGAGATCTATGGATCACTTGCCCAGTGTCATAAAACAATTGTTCAAGTCAGGATTCAAACTTAGTGTTTTTATTCTAAGCCTAGTTTATTTTTCACTGTATAATGTTGCTACCCAATATTTTCATGAATCCTTAACCAGGCAACACTTTAAAAACTTTTCAAGTCTTTGATAATACCATTTTCTTATATAAACCTTTTTGGTATTAACAAGATTCAGAGAAGGACAGGGATAGATAAACCCAACAGCAGCAAGCTAAAGAAATATTACCTTTTGTAGAACTTGCTAGTTTCTATGGGGATGGCAACTCAACTAATAATTGCTGAGAATTTATTTTGTATCATCTAGCAGATAATTATAGTCATCTTCAAAAAGGAAGGTCAACAATATACTTTAAGCATGAATACAGTCTCATGCTTCATACTCAGCCTTTTCCATTTCTTGATTTCTACCACTTCATTGAACAACATTTAATTATTGGGGCGTCTTTTAGCAAAGTGTGTAATTTGCTTGTGCTATCTGACTTTAACCATTGCTCTGGACTATGGGGTTATACTGAGCTGAATACTATCTTCTTTCTAAATCTTCTTTCTTCCTATATTTTGCAACTCACTATTGACACCATCACACACACACCAGCCTTTCCTGGAGAAACCCAGAGATCATCCTTGAGTCTTCTCACCGTGTCACACAGTGGCTAGCTGTTCAGATTTGGAGTCTGCCAGGGTCTACCATATTTGTTACATGACCTTGGGCAATTTTCTTAACCTCACAGTGCCTCTGTTTCCTCATTTGTTTAGACGTAATACTACTCCTCACCTAGGGTATTGCAAGGGTTAAATGTGATTATGCAGGAAAGCCCTATGATCATTAATTAGTAGTTATTATTGTTACTTCTCTGCCTTCACATCTAATTAGTTACCAACTCCTGCTGGTTTTACCTTCCAAATAGTTCTTGACTCTGCCTCTCCTTTTCATCCTTCCCTCTTCTGCCCCACTTTAGGCCTTTACACTCTGATGACTGCAGTGGCCTCCCAAATTGAGCCCACTCAGACAATCCTATCACAATCCATACTGTGGCTACCTAGGGGGAGTTTCTAGAATGCACACTGGTGCTTTTTGCCTCCCTACTTATGCCCTCCAAAGGCCTTCAGGATCACCTCTGAATGCCTTGACCTGTGGAGGGATTTTTGTTTGCTTTTTGATTTGGGGCTTTGTGACTTTTTGGTGGTATTTTGGTAGCATTGTCATTGTAAATAAAGGTTTATGGTCCTGGGAAACCTTGCCTAATCATCCAGACACCAGGCAGAAACTGGGAGAGGAACACAGGAGAAAGAAGAGAAACTTACAAATAACTCTTCCCTTCCGTTTCTCTTACCTCAAAAATAAAGAAAATCTAATAAAATAGCATTCATAAAATGAAGTTGCCATATTAATCTCAGGAAATAGAGATCTGAAAATACTGAAGCTATGAAAACATTGTAAAGATTAGAAAAATTATTAAATAAAAACTCATAAAACAGGCAATTTAATATTGGATTCATTTCTTGGGTAGAATGCCTTCCAGGTTAATGTAATGGAGCCCAGAAGTATTAGCAATTCTTCTTCACACCTTTACAAATCATACCCAGTTGTCAAAAGAAGCAGAATGTTTCTGCCATCAGCCCCATTACACAGACCAGAATAATAGTTTAGCAGCCAATTTCTGCTATTAACAGAACTCAAGGGAAAGAAATGACAGAAAAGCAAGCCAGGGATGGTGAAACTAATTGTGATGACAAGCATATTATTAGAGACAGGTAATGGGCGGAAAACTACTTCATCATCAGTGTTTTTCTCAATCCAGTAATGAAGACCATGCGGATATAGGTGTAAAGAGGCCTCTGCTTGTTCACCAGCAGGTGTGGAATAATTGGTGCTGGTGTGAGGGGGTAGAGGGAAGACAGAATAAACATTGCAAATACAAGTAGACAAAAATGCCATCACTGCAAATAAAAGTAGACAAAAATGCCATTTTCTTGTCTTAGATTCAGATAGGAGATTCTTCTTAAGATGCTCCGTGTTTTTTGTTTTTTGTTTTTCTGTAGAAGCAAGAGCAGTCTGTGATAGAATTATGGCAGCAAGTTCTTAACCCTTTCCAGATTACCAAACTCTGAGAATCTGACATAGCCTGAGAGTCTTTTCTCTCCCTTGAAAATAGCCATTAATTCAGTGACTGTTTGGAGCTGTGAGGAAAAAAAAAAAAAGAAAATAGCCATTAGCTCATGTGTACACAATTCAAGGTACAATATCCAGAGCTTAGAGGGCCCATTTTGGGCTCTAGATTAAGGACTTCTACTACAGAATATTGGAAATAAATGTCAATGGACTGCTTAAATAAATTATAGTACATCCATAACAATGGAGTATTGTGTGATAATTAAAAGGGAGGGAGACCTATTATCCCCTACTTTGGACCAACCTCCAAGATATTATTAGGTGAAAAATGCAAGATACAGGATACTTTTTATGTTATTTTAGCTATTGTTTGTGTTAAATGTCAAATGCAATGTACAGTAATGTATGAAAAGGTGGTACAAAGTGTGTCTTTTATGAAGGAACTGGATAGGAGAGAACAGGGAACCTGGTTTTCACTGTATGCATTTTGCTCCCTTTTGAATTTCAGACCATGTGGAGGCATTACCTTTAACAAGAGAGTTAATCAATAATCTTTTTAAAAGAGCTGAACATAAGCATAATTAGGCTGAAAGAAACTGGGAGAATTATCTCTTGTCGTCTTTGCCACTTCTGAAGAACTGCTTCCCCCAATGACCCTCAGATTCTGATAAGTAAAAATTTTTAAAATAATAAAATAGTGATTTATCTAAATGGTTATATTATTCAAGGTTACAAATAGAAGCTACTTGTTATGAACTAAATATGCCTAAATTAGATAAATTCAAAATTTTATATCTGCATTATTTCCTTTTAAATTGAACCCCAGAAAAAGAGTTTTTATTTTTCTAGTTACTTTATGGAAAATTTTATGGCCATTATTGCCTTGAAAAAGCAACAAAAGAAACCAGAAGTTTCTTTTGTTCTCTTATTTTTAAGTGGTTTTGTTCTGGTTTGTTTGGCAGAGGTGTTAACTCAGCTTAATCTTGTAACTTTTTCCTTATGATTGAATTTATTTTATTGGATTTGTTTCTGTTAGAAAAGTAAAATATATTCGTTGTAACAAGTCAAACAATTCAGAGATTTTGGATTAAAAAAAAATGTAAACTCCCCACGGTAACCAATGTGAACAAAGTATGCAGCCTTCTGTGCCTTTGGGCATGCCAAACCAAAGCTTACACATATACACATAATGGACTTTTTCCAGAAATTTTTACCATACGATACCTGTTACTCAGCAGAGTGCTTTAAAAAACAATGACATTTATGACTTCTCTTCAGGATAATAGGTCTAATTCTAATTCATTTTCTCCTACTATGAGGTATCCTGCCTGATACCTCATAGTATATCATAGCTGGTTCAGTATTTCCCCTGTTGATGGACATTCAGGTTGTTTTGTTTGTTTTATTTAGTGGGGCAGGGGGATGTTGTTTTGTTTTGTTCCTTGTTGGTTTTTGCCACTACAAAAAATGCTGCAGTAAATACCCTCATAAGCATGTTCACTTCTGCTGATGCTTTTATTTCTGAAGAATAAATTTCTGAACGTGGGACTACTAGTCAAAGGTTATGATCTTTAAACATTTTAACTAGTACTAATGATCCAGTTTCTTACCTGGTGGTGTCTGGAGTACCCCAATATGAGGTGCCAGCCTTGCTTTATATGTTGCCCACTTATAACTTATGTTGGAAAAAATAGCCCTCTTAGGAAAAGACATAAAAAGTGAACTTACGTTGCTAGAGAGAAGCTTGCACACCATCATAAGATAAAAAACAGGCCTCTGGCTCCACCGTCTCATTGAAGTGATGCTGTTTATCCTCCCCACTAATCTGCACTCCTCACATGGATCACAGCCCAGACAACATGCAGACAGAGAGGCAGATGCAGAGCTCACTGACTCAGTGAGCACAGCTGGGGGAGATCATTAAACAGACCACTCCTGCCAAACAGCCTGCGGTGGTGGAACACGAAGACTTCCTTGCCTCGCCACATGGAGAAAGAATTTTTTTTTCCCGGAGACATGTATAGTAGAATAATTATACACTATCTGAGTGCCAGTTATTAAAAAACAGCTAACGGTATTAAAAATTAAAAAAATGAGAGAGTGAGTAAGCTAGGACACTTTGAATACTTCATAAGTTATACCTATGCTACTTCAATTTAAATCCTTCAGGTTAAAACAAAAAATGATTGGACCCTTTAACAGAATAGGTGAGATCTGCCCACACTGTGTGCAGGATTTGGGTCAGGATTTCCTGAGGCCATTCTTCCCACAGCAAGCACGTTTTGGATGCCCCCTATGTTCAGCCCCTCAGGGGTGCTGATTGTCCTCTTTTCTCCTTTCCCTGCCTGCCCCTACCCCCATCCATGCCCTCACTTGTGAAATGTGAGTGTGTAGGTCTTATACTGGCCCAGAATTTAATTTGATTTGGGAAACAATTTAAGTCATTACATGCTCAAGATTTTCTTCCCCCTTCACACCCACCCAAAAAGCATCATTGACTAAAATTTTAAACTAATAACCAACAGGGTATTGATACCAAAAGCAGCTGTTAAAGAAATAGCACTTCAGGCCAGGCACAGTGGCTCACACCTATAATCCCAGCACTTTGAGAGGCCAAGGTGGGAGGATCACTTGAGCCCAAGAGGTCAAGACCAGCCTGGACAACACAGTGAAACCTCATCTCTACAAAAAATAAAAATTAGCCAGGCATGGTGGCACATTCCTGTAGTACCAGATACTCAGGAGGCTGAGGTGGGAGGATTGCTTGAGCCCAGGAGGTTGAGGCTGCAATGAGTCGTGATTGCACCACTGCGCTCCAGCCTGGGTGGAATGACAGAGTGACACCGTGAGACAGAGGGAGTGGGTGAGAGTGAGACCGTGTCTCAAAAAAAAAAAAAAAAGAAATGCTACTCGAAAGATAAGACACCGTGAATGATTATTGGAAGAACTATTCAAATATGTAAAATCCAGTTTTTGGAAAGACAATGTCACCTGCCTCACCTGCTGCACTCATGTTTCCTTCTGCAACCTGCTTCCCTTCTGCCCACAACTGAAGTTCCTCACCTTGTTCTGCTTTTTCATTTTTCAATATACTTCTCACCTTTTTCAATATACTTCTCACCTTCTAATAAACCTCGTGAATTGCTTATCTGTTACATGTATTGTTTCTTGTCTCGATCTTCCTGCTGGAATGCAAGCTCCATGAAGGCAGAGTTCTGTGCTTTGTTCACTGCTATATTCCCAGCACCTAAAATAGTGTTTTGTTTTGTTTTGTTTTTTTAACTAAAAAGTAAAGTTTAATGTTGAAAATGCAAACTTGGGGAAGACAGAAAAGATCACACACAAGGCTGTCACTTCACACTTGGAAGGTTGCACAGCGGCCGGGCAGAGGCGCGCCTCACTTCCCAGACGGGGCAGCCGGTAAGAGGCGCTCCTCACTTCCCAGACGGTGGGGCGGCCTGGCAGAGGCGCTCCTTACTTCCCAGATGGGGCGGCAGCCAGGCAGAGGCGCTCCTCACTTCCCAGACGGGGTGGCCAGTAAGAGGCGCTCCTCACTTCCCAGACGGTGGGGCGGCCGGGCAGAGGCGCTCCTCACTTCCCAGATGGGGCGGCGGTCGGGCAGAGACACTCCTCACGTCCCAGACAGGGCGGAAGCCGTAAAATAGTGTTTAATGCATAGCAGGCACCCAGTCAATATTGAATGAACAAAACTGCTACAAAGAAATTGATATAAAAGTGCTAAGAAATTGATATAAAACTACAAAGAAATTGATATAAAATGATCCTGGGTTTGTTTTTCAAAATATTTATATAATAATAATACATGTAATATTTATAGAAAATACATGGACAGATATACCAAATTTTAGACAATAATTAATTTTAGAGAGATGAGATTACAAGAGGTTTTCTTTTTCTATTTTATATAATTCTTAATGTTTCTCACTTTTACAACAAATATTTCTGTGAAGTAAAAAAAGTACTATTATACTTGTTATATATTTGTTATAATAAATTAAAGAATTAAGGAATTTGGTTAAATCTAAAAACAGGAGCTTTGTTTTATGGGTGACATAGGTCACAGTGGAAAAAAGTTATATTATTAATATAGTAGTTTTTTTTTGAGTTTGATGACATTCTTTTGATAATCTTGAGTTGGTTTTTTTAACGTAAGACTAGCCTCACTCACTGTGAGCTGGTAAGATTCCACAGAGGAGTCATCTATTTTTTTTTTCCTCAGTAGCATAATAATAATTTTAGCTAGCTTGCCATCTGGGGACCCTTCCTAAGTGGTAGATAAGAAACTTAAAATAGGATTGTACTTTACCATCATATTTCCCCACCCAGCACTGTTACTGGCATAAATATGTGAGCAAGTGACTGGTGAGAGAGTGATGCCTTTGGCAGGGTATCTGATGGTGAGATCGACTGAGAACTGAGTGGAAGAGAAGGCGAAGTATCAGATTGCCAAAAGGGCTTTTATTCTTAGCTCAGCCCTTCACGTATCCTGCAAAGAGCTGCTCAGCAAAAGGTGCTTATTGAATTACACCTCATAACAGGCAGAATTTGAATGCTGTTCATCACAGGAGCTATGGAGTGCATAGTTTTATAGAGAGTATCTCCCCGCAGGCAAGATACATAGAACAGGTGCAGAATTACAGCATATACTCATTTCGCCTCTTGTTAAATAAAAGCAAAGACAGTCTCATGCGATCCTGTGTGCTGAGTAGAATATCCATTATAGAGCATTTTCTTTTATTTTTGTTAATATTTTTACTTGTAGATTTCCCATTAAAAAAAAAAAAGTATAGTCATTTTTCCAAACCACTAAAAAGGACACTTATATTAAAAACTGTTTCAGTAAAAAGGTTTACAGCCATGCTTTTGTTTAAAGTATTTCTCCTAAGTATATACTGTCCATTTAAAATATTGGGTTGGCGCATTACTTTCAATGACAACCACTGCAATTACTTAATAAATCGGTTAAGATGGAGGAATGCCGAGTCATATATCCTTCCCCCAAAATTAAATATTTGAAGGGATATGTCTTATTTTATTTCTGGGATAGAATGTTTTTCATTTTCATGTTACTGAAGTGTAGTTTTACTAAACTACTAAATCGGAGACTGCTAAGCACCTTCCCTGTGCCAGGCACAGCACTGGGTAGGGTGAGGGCCCTGGGAGTAAATATTCTGGGACAGGCACAGGGGGTGTACAGGGAAAGAGTCTTTCCTCTCTGTGGCATCTGGGAGGCTTTAGGATGTGGGAAAGATGGTCTCCTCATCTCAGTTGCCCCTCATTTTCAGGCAGACACGTATGAAATGATTACACTCCCCTGAAAGATCAGCTTCTACATAATTCAAGATCATCCTCAATCTCTCTCATCAGAGAGGAAGAAAAGCCGCATGAATTATTTACAGAACACTAAGTTATTTCCTTTTATGAGCTCCAACTTTGTTTTTGTCTCTGCAAACTGAGATTTTGTTTATCCATGAATAGTTTCCCCAGGGGCATGAAAAATATGACTCTTAAATTATGAATGAGGTTTTTTGTTTCAGTCCATGTTAACTAAAACATGCAAAATAAACTATGTTTTTCATTAGATCCCTTTCAGCTCCCTGCAAAAACAGAACCAATAAAAGAACGAGCAGTTCAACCAGCACCCACCAGGAAGCCCACTGTAATTCGAATTCCAGCCAAACCAGGAAAATGTAAGCACTTCTCTGCTTTCTTTATTAGCTTCTTCAAGAGGCTGGGAGAAATATATGCTAATTTATCAATGTCTGCTTTTGAAATTATGTATAATCTGCCATTCATAGTCAAAGCTATTTAAAAGCAAATTGTTTTTTCACAATTCTTCGAAGAATTAGTTCAGTAAATTTGGATTTCCCTTTCCCCTTCGCTTCCCTTTCCCTTTCCCCTTCGCTTCCCTTTCCCTTCCCTTCCTTTTCCTCTTTTTTTTGGGAGTCACGCTCTCTCACCCAGGCTGGAGTGCAGTGGCACAATCTCAGCTCACTGCACCCTCTGCCTCCCGGATTCAAGCAATTCTCCTGTCTTAGCCTCCTGAGTAGCTGGGACTACAGGCACACGCCACCACACCTGGCTAATTTTTGTATTTTTAGTAGAGATGGGGTTTCACCACATTGGTCAGGCTGGGGATTTCATTTTTCTTTAATGTTGTCTTTAGACAGAGAATAGAGGGAAACTGAAATTTAGAACAATTGTTATATCCCATGTTAACACCTCTGGTACAGATTTGGTGGGAAAGTAATCTAAACTAATAGCAAATAAAGGTGTATATGTCTATCAGTCAGGAGTATATTATTGCAATCAGCATAATCTCAAATATGGCTATGTGTGAATTCGGTGAAGAGCAGTAACCAAAGCTTTAAATAATAGTTTATAAAAATACTTCTTAAATTGGCCAGGTGCAGTGGTTGATGCCGGTAATCCCAGCACTTTGGGAGGCCAAGGCAGGTGGATCACGAGGTCAAGAGATCAGGACTATCCTGGCCAACATGGTGAAACTCTGTCTCTACTAAAAATACAAAAATTAGCTGGGTGTGGTGCTGCGCGCCTGTAGTCCCAACTACTTGGGAGGCTGAGGCAGGAGAATCACTTGAACCTGGGAGGCGGAGCTTGCAGTGAGCCGAGATCGTGCCACTGCATTACAGCCTGGGTGACAGAGCGAGACTCCATCTCAAAAAAAAAAAAAAAATTAGTGTAACGTTACATTTTGGTTTACTTCCTTACTTGATTTTTTCCTTACTTGATTTTTTAATAGTATAACAAATGAAATTCTATAGGAGCTTTAATAAGTACTTCAAAAAGAAATCTGATATTTATTATAATGGGAAAGCCACAAGGGCCAGAATTATTTATTTTAGGCACCAGATTATTAAAAACTGTGATTAAAAGGGTGTTTGTGTATGTGTACACACACACACAGTGGGTTCCAGAGCAGTTCATGGCACTGCTTGGAGTGATCACACAGCTTTCTCTGCGGGCATCTGATTTCATTTATGCCTGCAATGCCTTTATATCATAGCCCGCATGCATTCTTTCCTTTGTCTAACAAGAGATTCTGCCCACTTCATTCCTCCTAAAGCAGAACAAGCATTCCACTCTTTCACCTGTAGCACCCAGGATTGTATGCAGGCATATTCCCTTTATTTTAGGAGTTTGGTTTCTCTATAAAGCACTACCCAGAAGGATCATCTTGGTTTCAGTTTTTTGATGATTCTGTTACTAACTGATGGCTCTCAGCCAAGTAGCAAGAAAATTGAATTGAGTTGCTATGAAGAATGTGGAGGAGAAAAAAATCTAAGGTATCAAATTCTGGTTCTAGTTTCTTAGGAAGTTATATTTTATTTTTTTAGAGGTAATATTTTAATGTTAGATTTAAAAACCAGTGGTAGGCCAGCCATGGTGGCTCACACCTGTAATCCCTGCACTTTGGGAAGCTGAGGTGGGCAGATCACTTGAGGTCAGGAGTTCGAGACCAGCCTGGCCAACATGGTGAAACCCCGTCTCTATCAAAAATACAAAAAAGTTAGCCAAGCATGGTGGCACACACCTGTAATCCCAGCTACTTGGGAGGCTAAGGCACAAGAATTGCTTGAACCCAGGAGGTGGAGGTTGCAGTGAGCGAAGATCATGCCGCTGCACTCCAACCTGGGCAATAGAATGAGACTCCATCTCAAAAAAAAAAAAGAAAGAAAGAAAGAAAAAACTGGCAGTATATTTCTTTTGACAATATTATATAGCCCACAAATCAGTAAAACGATAGCTCATTGGGTTGTTTGCCTGTTTGCTATTACTTTGTTAAATGTATTCTGGATTTTAACAAGTATAGTAACATATAATAATAAGAAATTTTGCCTGGGTTTTAAGTAATACAACTTTTACAGAAATTAGTAATAAATACAAATTTTTAAATTTATTCATCTGTTGTGTCATTGTCCCCAAGACCACCCCCAGGTTTGATGATTCACTAGGAGGACTCACAGGACTCAACAGATAGTTGTATGTATGGCTATTATTTATTATAGCAAAAGTATATGAGGCACAATCAGCAAAGAGAAAAGGCAAATGTGGTGAAGTCTGGAGGAAACCAGATGCAAGCTTCCAAGAGTCTTCTACTGGTGGAGTCAGAGGACATATGTAACTCCTCCAGCAATGAGTTGTGATGACAAGTGTGAAATGTCAACCAGAGAAGCTCACTACTGATTCAGTGCCCAGGGTTTTTATTGGGGGCTGGTCAGGTAGGCACTCCTAGAAATTTTGGCACTTACCAAAATTCCAGATTCCCAGAAGGAAAGCAGATGTTCAGCATAAACCATATATTCTGTTTTATCAGTTTTGAGGATGGCGAGAACTGTCCCAAAGTCCAAGTTCCTATATGCCAGTCAAAGACCAATCCTGTGGCTGGGTGTGGTGGCTCATGCCTATAATTCCAGCACTTTGGGAGGCAGAGGCAAGTGGATCACGTGAGGTCAGGAGTTCAAGATCAGCCTGGCCAACATAGTGAAACCCCATCTCTACTAGAAATACAAAAATAAGCCGGGCATGGTGGCATGCGCTTGGCTGATGCAGGAGAATCGCCTAAACCCAGGATTTGGAGGTTGTGTTGAGCTGAGATCACGCCATTGCCCTCCAGCTTGGGCAACAAGAGCGAAACTCAAAAAAAAAAAAAAAAAAAGGGACCAATCTTGTAAGTAGGACTTTCTAGGGATAAAGTTTCAGACCTGCTATGTTTACTTTTTCTGCACACTTGTAAACTGCATTAATAAGCTTTGAAATCCTGAAAAGGATATGCTGAGGAAGCAGCTTTAATTATTATCCTGACAAAGCTCCAAGAACTAGTAGAAAATTGAATTCTAGGAGTTCGAGACCAGCCTGGCCAACATGGTGAAACCCTGTCTCTTCTAAAAATATAAAAATTAGCCGGGCTGCAGCCATAAAAAAGAATGAGTTCATGTCCTTTGCAGGGACGTGGATGAAGCTGGAAGCCATCATTCTCAGCATGCTAACACAGGAACAGAACTAAACACTGCATGTTCTCACTCATAAGTGGGAGTTGAACAGTGAGAACACGTGGACACAGGGAGGAGAATATCACACACCGGGGCCTGTTGGGGAGTTGGGGGCAAGGGGAGGGAGAGCATTAGGACAAATACCTAATGCATGCGGGGCTTAAAACCTGGATGACGGGTTGATAGGTGAAGCAAACCATCATGGCACATATATACCTATATAACAAACTTGGGTGTTCAGCACATGTATCCCAGAACTTAAAGTAAAATTTTAAAAATATTCTTTTAAAAAATGAATACATAAAAATAAAGGCTCAATTAAAAAAAAAGAATTTAGCCAGGCATGGTGGCACACACCTGTAATCCCAGCTACTTGGGAGGCTGAGGCAGGAAAATCACTTGAACCCAGGAGGCAGACGTTGCAGTGAGCCGAGATCATGCCACCACATTCCAGCCTGGGTGACAAAGCGAGACCTCATCTAAAAAAAAAAAAAAAAAAAGAGGTATGAATTGAACAGTGAGAACACTTTGGCCACAGGAGCACACCAACATGGCACATATATACATATGTAACAAACCTGCACGTTGTGCACATGTACCCTAGAACTTAAAGTATAATTAAAATATATATATATATATATATATGTATAAAAGACAAAAACAAAGTGAGGAGGACTTTCTGCTTTAAATGGCAGGTAATTTATACCCAAAGAGGGTATTTTAATTCATCATTAAGCTCCTCTTCAAAGAAAAAAAGTAAGTTGAATTCTATACTGCCAAATGTAGGAGAACTGAAATGACAGAATGATTTCTAGAGAGTTATTTCTATTTATACCAAAAATCAATTCCTCAGAATTTTATTAATATAATAATGCATATATTCTGTGGAGGAAAAAGAATGAAACTTTGGTGTCTGAAGAATTTGGAATGGTCAAGGGAAAAAGGGGATAGCTTCGTGGTGCAAATGTCCTTGATCTTATTTGAACCTGTCAGCTCCTTTCCCCGGGGCCTGTTTCTTCTGACCAGGTTGTCCTTTTCCCAGATGTCTGCAAGGCTCCCTCCCTCACCAATCCTTCAGGTCTTTGCTCATTGCCACTTTTTCTCAGAGACCTTCCCTGACTACATTATTTAAAATTGGAAATCTCCTACCTCCACATCCCACACATACTCACACCAGATACTCCCTGTGTTTCTCCTTCCAGTAAGCTATCTCCTTTCTACTTTCATATTACTGGCTTATACTCTTAAATATTTGTCACGACAGTATTATACTCTATATGATTAACTATTTCCTTGTAAGAATAAGGAAACCACAGCACAGAAAATATCTTCAAGATGGTGACTGAGTTGGATGTTTTTATTATATATGTCTTAATTCCCAGAGCCACTGCACGCCTCTCACTAAGAATGTTTGCCTCGCTCTAAATCATTGTTTTCCTAGTTGCTGGCCTGGGTATTTTCCTCCCTTTGAGAATGTTGTCCTGTCTGCGGATAAAACAGGAACCTGACAAATCATCTTCTTGTTATAGGTTTTTCACTTGAAATGGAAGAAGAGAGTGTACATTTGAAAAAAAAAAAAAGAGAGAGAAAGAGACAGAGTGCTCATCTGCTCATCTCCTTTTAATGTCTAAACCAAACAGTGTAAAAGGTGGCTTTAGCGTCCTTCAGTATGTTACAGTCATTCACTCTCCCAATTGTTTTTGCACACTCATTTTAATTAGCTGTCACTAATTTGGTCATCTTGGTTTTCTTCTTTTTAAAATAAGTTGGGGCTACATTATCACTGATGTGGGTGTGGTTTGGATGTAAAGGTATTGTTTGTTTAATTGAGGGCAATTATGTTCATTATTCAGAAGCTACTGAATTAGAAAACACATTGGGCGGATGCAGTGGCTTACGCCTGTAATCCCAGCACTTTGGGAGGCTGAGGCGGGCGGATCACGAGGTCAGGAGATCGAGACCATCCTGGCTAACACGGTGAAACCCCGTCTCTACTAAAAATACAAAAAAATTAGGCAGGCGTGGTGGCGGGTGCCTGTAGTCCCAGCTACTCCGGAAGCTGAGGCAGGAGAATGGCGTGAACTCAGGAGGCGGAGCTTACAGTGAGCCGAGATTGCACCACTGCACTGCAGCCTGGGTGACAGAGCGAGACTCCATCTCAAAAAAAAAAAAAAAAAGAAATAAAACACATTGAATTATTTTTGGATGAGGGAGTGTTGGATACACCACCTATTAAGAAGCAGCATGCCTTATCAAAATGAACATGGACTTTTAGGTTCAAAACAATGGATCTGACAATTACTAGCAATAAGACCTTGGGTAGTGCATTTATTTTCTTCTTAGCTTCAGTTTCTTCATCTGTAAAACAGGTAGGATATTATCTAGTGTAGCACTGTGCGATAGAACTTTCTACAAAGATAGAAATGTTCTTTAACTGTGCTGGTAGCCACTAGTCACAGTGGCTAGTAATTTGAAATGTGGCTAGTGCAACTGAGGAACTGAAATTTTAATTTAATTTAATTTTAATTAATTAAGATTTAAGACTAAATCATCAGATGTAGCTACTAGCTAGTGGACTGGACAAATCTAGCACATAGATCTTGGTTGGAGAAATGTATGTAAATATAGAGCCTAACTTAATTCCTGGCACATAAAAGGTTCTCAACAATGCTGGCTGCTGTTGAATTGTTTAGTATTATTTTCACTCTCTATAAAAACATATAGTAAAATTAACTGATGTTGACTAACACATCAATTTTCTGAAGTTTGCTGGGAGCTCTTTCTCATTTGCTTAACTATTTGTGTGTATCTTTTATGATAGCCATTTTTCTAATAAACTAAGCAGCAATCATTTCATTCTTTGGAATCCCAGAAACTAGAAATTATTGATGAATTACTGCTACTTTTTCCAGGTTTACATGAGGATCCACAAAGTCCACCTCCTCTCCCTGCTGAAAAACCTATTGGAAACACTTTCAGTACAGTATCTGGAAAGCTCAGTAATGTTGAGAGAACTAGAAACTTGGTAAGTGGTCATTATAGATTGTACTAGATTGAAGACGTAGCTATGCATTAATTTTGAATAGTCAGCTAATATCTAAATTATTTTATTACTGGTCAGATTAAAAACAAGAACCCTCTATTAGAGACCAGTCTCTAAGCCCCATGTACTTATATAATATAGTGTTCAATATGTTAAAAGTCCCTATAGAGAGATTAGGCCAATTCATTGTACTTCACTATAAAATAATTTGTATACCAACTTAATGGCATTGTCTTTTAAATGAAACTAATAAGGAGAAGGTTATTAAAATGTCTAAAAACCTTTAATATTCAGGGAAATAACTTTATTCAAGTTGTTGGTTTTTATTTAAAATACCCAACTAGTGACCAAAATTTAAGATAATTAACATAAGAATTTTTAAATCTGAAATTTAAGAAAAATGTATTTTTTTTATTTAAAAAATAGTGTTTTACTGTGCATTTGTTAAGATGGAGGTCAAAGAGATTTTTTAAAGTACATATATATATTTTTCATTTCAACTTCAATATCCTCAATACTTTTATTTATTTTTTTTTTTTGGTCTTCCAACTTTTGTGGTTTCTTGGGGAAACAGACATGCAGCAAGTAATTAGAGAAGTGGTTTAAGAAAAAGAATAAAGGTGGCTGGACACAATGGCTCACACCTGTAATCCCAGCACTTTGGGAGGCCAAGGCGGGTGGATTACCTGAGGTCAGGAGTTCGAGACGAGCCTGGTTAACATGGTGAAACCTCGTTTCTACTAAAAATACAAAAATTAGCCGGACGTGGTGTCGTGTGCCTGTAATCCCAGCTACTCCAGAGGCTGAAGCAGGAGAATCGCTTGAACCCGGGAGACAGAGGTTGCAGTGAGCCAAGATCACGCCACTGCACTCCAGCCTGGGGCGACAGAGTGAGACTCCATCTCAAAAAATAAATAAATAAATAAATAAAGAATAAAGACTTTCAGAGGACTTTATGGGAAGCCCATGACAAAGCTCCTGATTATTTCCTCTGTTTTAAATTTAAATAATAATTGTACATATTCTTGGGGTACATAGTGATGTTTCAGTACATATACTATATAGGGATCAGATCAGGGTAGTAAGCATATCTGTCATCTCAAACATTTTTCACCAATTCTGTTTGGAATATTCAATATCTTCCTTCCAGCTATTTGAAGCTATATATTATTGTTAACTATAGTCATCCTGCAGTGGTATAGAACACTAGAATTTATTCCTCCTGTCTAGCTCTAATTTTGTATTATTTAACAAAGCTCCCTATCTCTCCCTTCTTTCTACCCTTCCCAGCCTCTAGTATCCTCCGTTCTACTTTTTATTTCTATGAGATCAACTTATTTTTAGCTTCCATGTATGAATGAGAAGATGCAGTGTTTAACTTTCTGTTCCTGGCTTATTTCACTTAACATAATATCCTCCAGTTCCATTTATGTTGCCACAAATGACAGGATTCCATTCTTTTTTATGGCTGTATAGTATTCCATGGTGTATACATGCCACATTTTCTGTATCCATTTATCTGTTGTTGGACACCTAGGTTGATTCCGTATCTTGGCTATTGTGAGTAGTGCTGCAGTAAACATGGATGTGCAGATGTCTCTTCAATGTAATTTCCTTTCCTTTGAATAAATTCCCAGTAGTGGGCTTGCTGGATCATATGGTAGTTCTATTTGTAGTTTTTTGAGGAGCTTCCATCCTGTTCTCTACAGTGATTGTACTAGGTTACATCCCCACTAACAGTGTATAAGAGTTCACCCTTCTCTGCATTCTTGCCAGCATTTGTTTTTTTTTTTTATCTTTTAGATAATAGCCATCCCAACTGGGGTGAGATGATACCTCATTGCCATTTTGATGTGAATTTCCCTGATGATTAGTGAGGTTGAGCATTTTTTAATGTATTTGTTGGCCATTTGTGTGTCTTCTTTTGAGAAATACCCAGATCATTTGCCGTTTTTTTTTTTTCTTTTTTTGAGATAGGGTCTTACTCTGTCTCCTGGGCTGGAGTGCAGTTGTGTGATCACAGCTCACTGCAGCCTTGACCTCCTGGGCTCAGGTGATCCTCCCACCTCAGCCTCCTGAGTAGCTGGAACTATAGGCGCATGCCACCACACTCAGCTAATTTTTTGTATTTTTTGTAGAGACAGGTTTTGCCACATTGCCCAGGCTGTTCTTGAACTCCTGGATTCAAGCAGTTGTCTGGCCTCCGCCTCCCAAAGTTTATTTGCCCATTTTAAAATCAGATTGTTTGGGGTTTTTGCTGTTACGATGTTTGAGTTTCTTTTGTATTCTGGATACTAATCCCCTATCAGATGAGTAGTTTGCAAATATTTCCTGCCATTCTGTAGGTTGTCTTTTCACTCTGTTGGTTGTTTCCTTTACTGTGCAAAAGATTTTTGGTTGATATAAGCCCATTTGTTTATTTTTACTTTTGTTGCCTGTGCTTTTGAGGTGTTATTCATAAAATCTTTTTTAAGACCAATGTCCTGAGGTCTTTTCCCTGCTTTCTTCTAGTAGTTTTATTGTTTCAGGTCTTAGATTTAGGTCTTTGAGTTGAGTCTTATAAAGAGTGAGTGGGAGGGTTTAGTTTCATTCGTCTGCATATGGATATCTAGTTTTCCCCAGCGCCATTTATTGAAGAGACTGTGCTTTCCCCAATGACTGTTCTTGGCACTTTTGTCAAAAATCGATTGGCTGTAGATATGTGGATTAATTTTTGGATTCTCTATTCTGTTCCATTGGCCTGTGTGTCTGTTATTATGCTAGGTCCATGCTGTTTTTGCTACTACATCTTTGTGTAGTGTATTTTAAAGTTGGTAGGTGATGCCTCCACCTTTGTTCTTTTGGCTCAGGATTGTTTTGACTATTCGGGGCCTTTTGCGGTTCCGTACAAGTTTTAGGATTTTTTTTTCTTTGTTTGTAAAGAATGTCATTTGTATTTTGATAGGGATTGCATTGAATCTGTAGATTTCTTTGGGTAATATTCTCATTTTAACAATATTAATTCTTCTAATCCATGAATATAGAATGTCTGTTTGTTTGTATCCTTTGTATCTTCTTCCATTTTTCCATCGGTATTTTGTAGTTTTCCTTGTAGAGGTCTTTCACTTCCTCAGTTAAATTTATTACAAGGTATTTCTTTTTGTAGCTATCGTAAATAGGATTGCCTTCTCAATTTCTTTTTTTAGCTAGTTCTTTGTCATGTATAGAAATGTTACTGATATTTGTATATTAATTTTGTATCCTGCAACTTTACTGAATTCATTTATCAATTCTAAGAGGGTTTTTTTGGTAGAGTCTTTAGGTTTTTCTAGATATGAGATCACTTCTTTTTTTGAGACAGAGTCTCGCTCTGTCGCCCAGGTTGGAGTGCAGTGGCACGATTTCGGCTCACTGCAACCTCTACCTCCTGGGTTCAAGCAGTTCTCCTGCCTCAGCCTCCCAAGTAGCTGGGACTACAGGTGCGCACCACCATGTCCAGCTAATTTTTTTTGTATTTTTAGTAGAGACAGGGTTTTATCATGTTGGCCAGGCTGGTCTTGAACTCCTGACCTCAAATGGTCCATCCGCCTCGGCCTCTCAGAGTGCCAGGATTACAGGCATGAGCAACCACGCCAGACCCCAGTCGTTTTTTTTAAATGTCCATATGGCATATGATCTTTAAGGCTTGTTTTAAGAGAAATTAACTTTTAAGTCTTTGAACCAAATTTTCAGTTCAAATTTCATCATGATTTTACATTGTGCATTAACTATGCTTATTATACAGGCAAGCCCACCTAATCATCTGGAGAAGAAAAATTTCTTTGAAGGAGACATTAAATTAAATTAGCCAATATCAAGTTAATGAGATTTTCCTGAAGAATGAATTAAAATTTAGTGATCACTTGTGATTTTCAAAGTAGCTGGTAATAAACTTTTATTAAATCTGGGCCAAGAAAGCCCAAAAGAGGATAGTAGGGTTCCTACCTTACTAACGTTAAACTGGAAAATCCCAAATTCCCTTGGAGGAAAAGTTGCTTGAGAAGGTTGGCTTCTACTCTGAAATGGTTATAAAAAGGAGTGAGAGGGTGATGAGTAAGTAAAACATCATTTGTTAATGTCCATTATATGTAATGTCCATCATATGTAATGGACTTTGTAAACTATAAAGCTTTATTGAAATAGTATTGGGGTGCACTGTGGCTCACACCTGTAATCCCAGCACTTTGGGAGGCCAAGGCGGGCAAATCACTTGAGATCAGGAGTTTGAGATCAGTCTGGCCAACATGGTGAAACCTCATCTGTGCTAAAAATACAAAAATTAGCCAGGCATGGTGATGCGTGCCTGTAATCCCATCTACTTGGGAGGCTGAGGCAGGAGAATCGCCTGAACTCAGGAAGTGGAGGTTGCAGTGAGCCAAGATTGTACCACTGCACTCTAGCCTGGGCAACAGAGCAAGACTCGTCTCCAGAAGAAAAAAAGAAATAGTATTATACAAAAATGAGCCAGGTGTGGTGGCACACACCTGTAGTCCCAGCTGCTCAGGAGGCTGAGGCACGAAAATTGCTTGAACCCGGGAGGCAGAGGTTGCAGTTAGCTGAGATCGCACCACTGCACTCCAGCTTGGGCAACAGAGCAAGCCTCTGTCTCAAAAAAAAAGAAAAGAGGCCGGGTGTGGTGGCTCACACCTGTAATCCAGCACTTTGGGAGGCCAAGGCGGGTGGATCACTTGAGGTGAGGAGTTCAAGACCAGCCTGGCCAACATGGTGAAACCCCATCTCTACTAAAAATACAAAAATTAGCCAGGTGTGGGCCGGGCGCAATGGTTCAAGCCTGTAATCCCAGCACTTTGGGAGGCCAAGGCGGGCGGATCGCCTGAGGTCGGGAGTTCAAGACCAGCCTGACCAACATGGAGAAACCCCATCTCTACTAAAAATCCAAAAAATTAGCTGGGTGTGGTGGTGCATGCCTGTAATCCCAGCTACTCGGGAGGCTGAGGCAGGAGAATCGCTTGAACCTGGGAAGCGGAGGTTGTGGTGAGCCAAGATCACACCATTGCACTCCAGCCTGGGCAACAAGAATGAAACTCCATCTCACAAAAAAAAAAAAAAAAAAATCAGCCGGGTGTGGTGTCATGCGCCTATAATCCCAGCTACTTGGGAGGCTGAGGCAGGAGAATTGCATAAACCCAGGAGGAAGAGGTTGCAGTGAGCCGAGATCGCGCCACTGCACTCCAGCCTGTGCGACAGAGTGAGACTCCATCTCAGAAAAAAAGAAAAGAAAAGAAATAGTATTATTATGTTTAGTGCTAAGCAGTCCGGAAGCAACTTCCACATTTTAGAAAAACAAAAAAAAGGAAGTTATAATAAATTAAACCATCTGGAGAGATACCATATTCATAATTGTGTTTGTTCCTCACATGACAACATGAGGAAAATCCTGTCCTGCACTGTTTATAAAGGGAGTCAGAACATTCAGTACTGTACTATAATAAATGCATACCATAATAAACACACTGAATCTGAAGGAAGAAGAGATGAAGAATCAGACTACAAGTTAAATGATTTGCCTGAATTCACGCATATAGATTTCTGGGACCTGAAAGTCAATCTGTGCCTAAGAAATCCCTTTTTTTTTAAAAAAAATTACAATTACTGAATGAATTTTGAAACAGAGGCCATAAAGACTTAAAGGTGTGGGCCAGGCACGGTGGCTCATGCCTGTATTCACAGCACTTTGGGAGGCTGAGGCAGGTGGATCACCTGAGGTCAGGAGTTCGAGACCAGCCTGACCAACATGGTGAAACCCCCATCTCTACTAAAAATACAAAATTAGCCAGGTGTGGTGGAGCACGCCTGTAATCCTAGCTACTTGGGAGGCTGACGCAGGAGAATCGCTTGAACCCAGAGGTGGAGGTTGCAGTGAGCCGAGATCGCGCCACTGTACTCCAGCCTGGACAACAAAGCGAGACCCTGTCTCTAAAAAATAAAAAAAGAAGTAGTGCTAATTCTTGGAGAAAAAAGATAAGAAACATATGGAGGCCACTCAGTAATTCCAGCAGACAAGAGTGTGGTCTTGGGAGAAATACCTGTTTTTTTAAAAAAATATAGCAGCTGGGCATGGTGGTTCATGCCTGTAATCCCAGTACTTTGGGAGGCCGAGGTGGATGGATCATGAGGTCAGGAGTTTGAGACCAGCCTGACCAAAATGGTGAAACCCCATCTCTACTAAAAATACAAAAATTAGCCGGGTGTGGTGGCACGTGCCTGTAATCCCAGCTACTCAAGAGGCTGAGGCAAGAGAATTGCTTGAACCCAGGAGGCGGAGGTTGCAGTGAGCCAAGATCGTGCCACTACACTCTAGCTTGGGTGACAGAACAAGACTACGTCTCAAATATATATATATGTACATATATATGTAGCAAAAGTCTAGGCACAGTGGCTCACCTCTGTAATCCCAGCACTTTGGGAGTCCGAGGCAGGTGGATCAGTTGAGGTCAGGAGTTCCAGAACAGCATGGCCAACATGGTGAAACCCCGTCTCTACTAAAAATACAAAAATTAGCCAGGCATGGTGGCGCATGCCTGTAATCCCAGCTACTCGGCAGGCTGAGGTGGGAGAATTGCTTGGACCCGGGAGGCGGAGGTTTGGTGAGCTGAGAGCATGCCACTGCACTCCAGCCTGGGCAACAGAGTGAGACTCCATCTCAGAAAAAAAAAAAAAAAAAAAGAGAGAGAGAGAATAGCAAAAAACTGGGGAATTATTTTTAAATTGGAATATTATTCCAGTGCAGATGAACAAAAAGATGGAATCTGCAGAGACAATATAAGCAGGAAAACCAACTTCACCAGAAACTAAAATGCTTGTCCAAACACATTAAAAGCCAGAGTTCAGGGATATCAGAGCTAGAGAAAAACTGTCAAAAAGCAAATGCAGAGAGCCTTGAGGTTATGTGTGGAATACCCACGAGGAGGAAGTCCCTAATCAGTTATCTTGCAAAGACTCAGCAGAACCTGGGCATAAACCCAGACTTGAGCAAACACTAAGACAATGGCTCCTGCAAGAACTGTCTCCTCTCAATATTTGGAGTATGTCAGATACAGCAGTGCCTTTCAGAATGTGCCTAACATCCCTAAAGAATTTGAATATGCCACTCTTTTTTTCTGATTTAAAATTTTCTTACTGTTGCAAATTAAGAAATTAAAAAGATGTTTAAGATTTTCCATAAAAATACCACCCCCCAGGAAAAACTATAGCTAATATTTGGTACAAAATTAGGGTCATATGCTGTGCATTTATTACAGTACATCATCTGCATCTTTCCATGTCAAATTTATATATCTATTTTTTAAATTTTCTTTATCAAGGTATCTAACAATTACAGTTTTGAGAAAAGCAATTAAAATTTCTTCCTATCTGCTAGAGTTTGTTTTAATTTTAAAGGTAGCCAAAGAAATAAATGCATTTTTCAAGCATCATGGCAATATTTGTCAGGAAAAATATAGGCAGCAGTGTAATTATAAGGCAAGGATTATATTCTGGAATATTGCAGGGTTTATGAGCTGGTTACTTGCTTCACTACATTAACTGAACTCATTAGTGAAACCAAGTTTTAAGGGCAAGCTTAATTTGTTTTTTAAAATGGGATTTTATAATATTGAAACATGTTTAAATGATCACAGTTATTGGCAATTAATCATTTGGTATTTAAGGAAAAGGTTATAAATATTCAGTATAATTTAAAAATCATAAAAGTGAGTTTTGGCTCATTTATAAGAAGGAGAAAAACAGTCTGAAGTAGCCCAAAGATTTCCAAGCTTTAATTAAACATCCTTTACAAAAAAAAAAAGCAATGTAATTTAAAGAGTCAGCATTTTTTTTCTTATGAAGTTTTGGGGAAATATTATTTCCTGAGTGTGTTGGGGACTTAGAAAGTAGGAAAAGTGGAAAACAAAAAAACACAGAATTAGAAGAATTTATTGAGGGACTGGGTGTGGTGGCTCACGCGTGTAATCCCAGCACTTTGGGAGGCCAAGGCGGGTGGATCACTTGAGGTCAGGAGTTTGAGACCATCCTGGCCAACATGGTGAAACGTCGTCTCTACTGAAAATACGAAAATTAGCCAGGTGGGGTGGCACACGCCTGTAGTCTCAGCCACTCGGGAAGCTGAGGCAGGAGAATCACTTGAACCTGGGAGGCAGAGGTTGCATTGAGCTGAGATTGCATCATTGCACTCCAGCCTGGGGGACAGAGTGAGACTCTGTCTCCAAAAAAAAAAAAAAAAAAAGAATTTTGTGAGGGCTTTTTCCCCCTCCAAAAAACAGAAATTTTGGCTTTGAGATCCTTTGGCTTCCCACTCAACAGAAGATCTGAAAATATTCTCCACGTATTACCTTCATTTCCCAATCCTTGGGCTATAACATGTTCAGAAAACCTGTTTAAATGGAACAGTTTGACCCTTCCCCTACAGAAATCTTCCTATTAATCTCCACACTTCCAGTTTCTCTCATCTACCATTAGGATAAAACATTCCAACTGTGACTGTCTTTTATTGTTCATATTATTCTCCTTCACTCTTTTCCTCTTTTCTACGAAACTCTTTTTTAGCCCATCCAGCCCTTTTGCTAGAGTGGTACCAGCACACTGCTTTCTTGGACCTTAACTATTTCTCCTTACATGCCTTCCTCTCAGACCATCCTGCAAGTTTCTTTTACGTTCCCACCTCCTTCTAGTTCAAAACCCACTGCAAATTGTTGAAACCAAACAGTGATGAGATAAGATCTGCCTATTCAAAGCAAAACCAACTAATAACCATCCCTCTTACTATGTGTTTAAATTTAGGAGCAGTGTGTTTCTTATGTGTGATCACGGAATGAATAAAGAGCATGTATATATATATATGTGTGTGTATATATATATATATGTATATATATATGTGTGTGTATATATATATGTATATATATGTGTGTGTATATATATGTATATATATGTGTGTATATATATATATGTGTGTGTGTATATATATATATATATATATATTTTTTTTTTTTTTTTTTTTTTTGAGATGGAGTCTTGCTCTGTTGCCCAGGCTAGAGTGCAGTGGCATGATCTCGGCTCACTGCAACCTCTGCCTCCTGGGTTCACGCCATTCTCCTGCCTCAGCCTCCCAAGTAGCTGGAACTACAGGTGTCCGCCACCATGCCCAGCTAATTTTTTGTATTTTTAGTAGAGATGGGGTTTCACTGTGTTAGCCAGGATGGTCTCTATCTCCTGACCTCGTGATCCACCCGCCTCAGCCTCCCAAAGTGCTGGGATTACAGGCGTGAGCCACCGTGCCCGGCCAAGAGCATACATTTTTAAATTCTCTTCAGGGCCTGCTTAAATTTTCCCTCAATATCTCATGAATCCACTGAGTGCATGACCATGCAGTGCAGTTGCTCAGGCTGTGGTCCACAACAGGAGACTGGTTTCTTCCTGTCAGTGTTTTCACTTGTTATTAGGACATGAATAATTTAGGCAGAAATAGGTTAATATTGTTTAAGGCTGAAAACTCTTTTAAGCTACTTTCTATAATTCAACTGCATTTCTACTTGTAGATCCAGCCAAAAGGTTGCCTAGAATTTCTCTTGACAAGTTCTTGTTTCAGATTAACCTTAACTAAAAAGCATTCTCTGCTACTTGCAGGAATCCAACCACCCAGGTCAAACAGGAGGTTTTGTGCGAGTACCCCCAAGGTTGCCACCGAGGTAAGTAAATGTGGGAAAAGTTAGAGAAAAATTAATGACTCAGAGACCCAACTCTTTTTTATCACCAAGATTGAGTGTTGTTGGCCTTGAATCTTTTTTTAGAGATAAAATAATCTCACCGATTTCACGCAGGCCCCTAATCCACTGTCTGCTCCTAATGGTAGGTTGTGGGAATCTCTGCTCCCTTTTTAACACAGTTCAACTCATAGAGCATTTATTTCCTCAAATAAATGAACAAGACTCATTTCTGAACTTAAAACAGCTCCACTTCTAGAATATACGTATACATGCACACAAACACCCTCCTGGTTAAGAAACTGGTTTTTGGCATTTCCGAAGGAGACTGGCTTTGTGAGCTCAGAGGTGACTGCCTTCTGAGTTCCGGAGCTATTCAAATAAAGGGCTGTAATGCTATCAGAAGACATTATTACTATGTTGAAATTTATTTATTTATTTTTTTTTTGAGATGGAGTCTCCCTCTGTCACCAGGCTGGAGTACAGTGGCGCGATCTCAGCTCACTGCAACCTCCGCCTCCCGGGTTCAAGCGATTCTCCTGCCTCAGCCTCCCAAGTAGCTGGGACTTCAGGCATGAGCCACCATGCCCAGCTAATTTTTGTATTTTTAATAGAGATGGGGTTTCACCATGTTGGCCAGGATGTTCTCGATCTCATGACCTCATGATCCGTCCATCTGGGCCTCCCAAAGTGCTGGGATTACAGGCATGAGCCACCACTCCCAGCCGAAAATTATTTCTATCGTAGGGATTAAGGAAAGGCTTTCAAAGTAATAGTTGTCCTATCCTTTCAGAACTAGCTTTCTTTGTATTAATCTAAATTAGACTTTTAATAGTAACACCTATAACATGAATATTAGGGGATTTTGATGTTCCTTTTCTAATCATGTACAAGACCCCAGCACACATACATCGTATCTTATTATAAGCTTTTCATCTCAGACTTTGGTAGAAAGTACTTAGTTTCCAGAAATAGTCATGATGTGTTTAAGAGCAAATGGGACCTTAGAGAGCCCGTGATAGTAAATGCTTGTTTGTCTTGAACTAATGAATCTCTAGCGCAAGATAAGAGGAAACTGGAACATCATGGCATTTCCTCTAATAATGTAATGTTTAATGCAGCAGTCGTTTGCTCAAAAATAGCATACCCTGCATGTTTCAGTAAACTGTATTCCACTAGCAGAAAGCTGTGTCTCTGTGTGTGTGTGTGTGTGTGTGTGTGTGTGTGTGTAAGACAGGACAGGACAGAATTTAATACTGATCAAAACACTGACTCATGGCTACTACATTGACTTTCAGACCTGTGAATGGAAAAACCATTCCAACTCAACAGCCTCCAACCAAGGTGCCCCCTGAGAGACCACCTCCCCCAAAGCTTTCTGCAACCAGAAGATCTAATAAGAAACTGCCTTTTAATCGATCCTCTTCTGACATGGATCTTCAGAAAAAACAAAGTAACTTGGCAACTGGACTCTCAAAAGCCAAGAGTCAAGTTTTTAAAAATCAAGATCCGGTGCTACCCCCTCGTCCCAAACCAGGACACCCTCTCTACAGTAAATACATGGTAAATTTAGCTTTTAAAAATGTTTGTGGTCAAGAGGTGTGCCCTAAAGTATATATACGATTCATCATTCCTTAGAAAAAGATGATGGAACAAATGTGGAATTGTCCCTTGACGCCAAGAGTGCTTTAGATGAGTAGGCCATAATAAATTCTAGGTCTTGGTTGGGCACAGTGGCTCACACCTATAATCCCAGCACTTCGGGAAGCTGAGGCTGGTGGATCAGCTTGAGGCCAAAAGTTTGAGACCAGCTGGCCAATGTGGTGAAACTCTGTCTCTACTAAAATTACAAAAAATTACCCAGGCGTGATGGCACAATCCTGTAATCCTAGCTACTCAGGAGGCTGAGGCATGAGAATTGCTTGAGCCTGGGAGGCAGAGGTTGCAGTGAGCCAAGATTGCACCACTGCACTCCAGCCTGGGCAACAGAGCAAGACTGTCTCAAAGCAAACAAACAAAACACCTAGGTCTTTAAAGCAGGGTTTCATTATTAGGAGAAATGTAGGGAAAGAGGAGAGAAAGCAGGGCAGGCCGCTTGTAACTTGCTGCCTGGCTGGACCAAACAGAAATTCTGAAAAACCTGACCCAGTGGGTTATACTAATGGGAGTAACTCTGACAGATACTATAGTTTATATCTTTTGTTTTTCCTTTCATTTAAGAGATGGAGTGTCATTCTATCACCCAGACTCGAGTGCAGTGATGCAATCATAGTGCACTGCTGCAATCATAGTGTACTGCAGTCTCGACCTCCAGAGCTCAGGGATCCTCCTGCTTCACACTTCTGAGTAGCTGGGGTTATGGGAACATGCCTCCACTCCTGGCTTATAGTTTATATCATGATATAGTTTATATCTAATAACTCCTTTTCCCCTTGAGTAAATTTTAAAATGAAGTAGAAAGTTCTTACTAAGATGGATGGTTTTTCCCTCATTTTCCCCTTTTGTAAGCCCAATAATTATCGTGGTCCATTTAATAGTTACCAGTTAGAAGTTTTCATCAATAGTTGAGATATTGATTTTGTTCTCTTTTAATGTTTTTCTCATCAAATGACCTAAACCTTTGCCTGCATTTCCCACAGTTAAAAAACAGAGTTGCTGGGTGGTGGCTCATGCCTGTAATCCCAGCACTTTGGGAGGCCGAGGCGGGTGGATCACTTGAGATTGGGAGTTTGAGACCAGCCAGGCCAACGTGGTGAAACCTCTGTCTCTACTAAAAATACAAAAATTAGCTGGGCGTGTTGGCACATGCCTGTAATCCCAGCTACTCCAGAGGCTGAGGCAGGAGAATTGCTTGAACCCGGGAGGCAGAGGTTGCAGTGAGCCGAGATTGTGCCACTGCACTCCAGCCTGGGCAACAGTGAGACTCCATCTCAAAAAAACAAAACAACAACAACAACAACAAAAACAGTTGATGTGTTCTCTACTTTGATCAGGTTAACCTGAAAAATGTAAAACAAATAAAAATGATAAGGAGGCCAGGTGCAGTGGCTCACACCTGTAATCCCAGCACTTTGGGAAGCCAACTGCTTGAACCCAGGAGATGGAGGTTTCAGTGAGCCAAGAGCATGCCACTGCACTCCAGCCTGGGTGACAGAATGAGACTCTTTTTTAAAAAAAAAAATAAAATAAAAATGATCAGGAGAGCAGGACTGCTTACTCTTTTTAACAATTGAACGACAGAGTAGCTTGTAACAAGAACAGCAATTAATAATTCTATGTTGTGTTACATTTCCATCATTGAGCCAGTAATTATTTTTTCTTTAAGCTGTTCAGGGTTTTTCAAAAATCCTCTTTAGAGAAGGGTAAAGACAAATAAGAAGGAGGCAGTATATTCATATATATTAATATTCACTTAAACTGATAAAACTTTAATTTCTAAAACCCAGGGGTGTTCTTTGGGATAGATTACTTAATTAATAAATAACAGTAGTTGATGTATATTGAGTACTAATTATGAGCCAGGCGCTGTTTGAAGCACTTTATGTATGTATTAAATAACTCATTTATTCCTCATACCAACCTTGTGAGGTAGATATTATTATCCTCCTTTAACAAGTGAGGAAAATAAGAAACAGAGACATAAAGTAACATGCCCAGGGTTGCGAATCCAGTTAATGGTGGAGCAAGATTTGAGAACAGGTCAGCTGGCTCTGACACCTGCTCCTAACCATTACGCCAATCGTAGCCTCTACTTGATTTGGCCATTCTGTTAAGAGCCCTTTCTCAAGGGGAACCAGATTTCACATTTGGTTCTTGTCACGCACGTCTGTGTGAAGAGACCACCAAACAGGCTTTGTGAGAGCAACAAGGCTGTTTATTTCACCTGGGTGCAGGCGGGCTCATTCCAAAAAAGGAGTCAGCAAAGGGAGACAGGAGTGGGGCAGTTTTAAAGGATTTGGGTAGGTAGTGGAAAATTGCAGTTAAAGGGGGTTGTTCTCTTGCGGGCAGGGGCGGGGGTCACAAGGTGCAGGGTAGGGAGATCAGGAGACTCATTGTCCTGGGGAGGAACATAACAAGGTCGATTGATTAGTTGGGGTGGGGCAAGAACAAATCACAATGGTGGAATGTCATCTTTTGTGGTTCTTCAGCTGCTTCAGGCCATCCAGATGTATACGTGCAGGTCACAGTGGCTTAGCTTGGGCTCAGAGGCCTGACAGTTCTTAGCATAGTCGTATAATGTCAATAAAGCATTTTTTAAAACTCAATACATTCAAAATGATGGTATATATAGAGCTGTATGTCTCATTACAAAATAATTCTTCAAATCTTTCATTTATTGCATGCCTACAGTACCATTAAATTGCTAGCCAGGAATCTGGGTACATTGGAAGCCCTAGGAATCTGACAAAGATGTTGGGAAATGGCACCACCAAGCCAGCTGTACAGGGCCACATCCTTGCACTGTGGATCTTTGCTCCTGGGTGATCCAAGGCCCAGGCAGCCTTCTTCCCATGTTGGATGTGAGCTTGTGTGATTGCATTTCCTGGGTATGCCTTTTATATAGTACAGACCGTCTGATGTGCACTCATCAGCTAAAATTTTCCAAAGCAGGGAACAGAGCCTCCTGGACAAGGTCCAGTACAGATGTAAAAACCATTCTAAGATCAGACAGAGCTGAGTGGACCAGGAAGTGGCTGGGATCAGGCCATGAAATGGATTTAAGTAGACACTTGGTATCAGAGAGACTCTAGGAGAAGAGCTTCAAGGTCTATGGAAACAGGCAGGCAGTACACGGAGGGCTCCAATCACTGATCAGCCTTCAGAGGCCACCATTGTAAGAACCCTGAATTAAAGAACTGGCTGTGAGGTCAAGTGCTGGGTGTTTCTCCTTCAAACCCCCAGGGGACTTGGCGGATCTTGTCCTGTAGAACAGAACTTCCTGGTTATGGTCATTAAGGGAATGTTAGGCCATGTTTAGCTCTTGTGGTTCTATGGGCCTAACTCCAACTCCCAAGAGCCTCTTAACATCCATGAGAAATGGCAGGCTCCATTGATCTAGAGCGCGATGAAGCCAGGTGAGTTTAGCTGCTGGAGAAGGTGCACTTTAGGCACACACATGCCAAATTCCTAAATGATCAGCAACTTAAGAGGAGGTTATTTGATTGTGAATAAGCCTTTTATTGGTTTACGTTTAAGCTGTCTGTGCCTCATGGAATTGCCAATGAAGATATTGTCTCTCAAAACCCCGGAGAACTCTCTTGTAAGGTAAAGTAGAGCTCTTTCCTTACTGGTTAATGTAAAAAAAAAATTACTGGCCTCTGTTACTACCATTACACATTATTAAATGCTTTAGGCTCCAAAGATTAAAATGTGAAAAAGTAATAATGTTTTATTAAATAATAATTGCTTCAGAGAGTGGTATTGTACCTTGCAGCGTGGGGATGTACTTGTGATGCTGAAGCAGACGGAAAATAATTACTTGGAGTGCCAAAAGGGAGAAGACACTGGCAGAGTTCACCTGTCTCAAATGAAGATTATCACTCCACTTGATGAACATCTTAGAAGCAGACCAAACGTAAGGAATTAATATTGTTACAGCCCTCATATCACACATAGCAGCACATTTCATGGAACTATTAATTATATCTCATCTTCAGGTTTTTATTAGCACATTTATTTTAACCAGAGTAAAAATTACAGTAGCATTTATTCTACTTTTAGAATAAATTACTACTAAGAGACTTGCCACTGCCATACTAATCACTTCGATACAGAGTGACTACCCTGTGTTTTGTTTTCTTCACTGCACTCCAGCCTGGGCCATAGAGCGAGATTATGTCTTGGAAAAAAAAAACAAATAAAAAAATAAAGTAAATATGAAAAATAATAGTGATCAAGTAAAATACTTGGTTTGCCGTTTATCCTAGTTTTCATAATCTTTTCCCATTTTTTCTTCTTAGAAGGCAGTTTATCTTTTGAAGTTTGCTAAGAAACTAAAAAATTGTATTTGGAGAGCAGAGGAGATATGTGTTAAGGTAGCTTCTGCTGGCATATGAAAATCCTTACTTTAGCTCCCACGGGGCAAGTTCTCCACTGACTCATTTTCTCTGTTTTGGTACGGCATTATCCATCTGTCATAGCTGTCCTTCCTCTTTCAGAACACACTTATGGCAACAGTGGAAGTTATACTGCCAAAAAGCTTTCCTTTGTGAAAAATAGAAGCTAAAAAAAATTAGAATTTTTTTTTTTTTTTTTGAGATAAGGTCTCACTCTGTTGCCCAGGCTGAAGTGCAGTGGTATGATCACTACAGCCTTGACCTTCCCGGCTCAAGCAATCCTCCCACCTCAGCCTCCTGAGTAGCTGGGACTACAGGCGTGCACCACCATGCCTGGCAATTTTTAAAATTTTTTGTAGAGACAGGGTCTCACTATGTTGCCAGGGCTGGTCTGAAACTCCTGGGCTAAGCCATCTGCCTGCATGGGCCTCCCAAAGTGTTCAGATTACAGGTATGGGTCACCATGCCCAGCCAAAAGTTAGTCTTTTATAACAGTGCAAAGTTCTTTCCACCTTAAATACCACCTTCTCATCTTTTACTATAGACTTGCAGAGAGTTGGCCTCTGATGGGCAGCTATTGGTGATAATGAAATGAATCCTCCTTTATGCTTCTGGGTTCATGGCTATTGTTACATTTTTTTTTTAAATAAAACTTACCTATTTGAAAGCCTAGTTTTAAGGTAAATATCTCTACGAATATGTTGTACTTTGCCCTAACTTGGCAAACAGAAAATATTGAATGAACATGACCAGTTGTGGTTGAATCAGACAGATCATGGGAAAAGTGGAAGGTTGTTGCCTGGTACATGGTTGAGACCCCAGACCTGGGTTTCAGGGAAGTGGAATTTGGTTCCCCTTCCACCTTCTTCGGTGGTTATTTAACTTCTCTAAACTTTATTTTTTTAATGTGTGAGATAACTGCCCACAGAGTTGTCTTCAGAGTTGACAGATTATATGATGTTATTTGTGTAAAAGTCCAGAATAGATAAATCCATAGAGACAGAAAGTAGACTACTGGTTGCCTGGGGCTGAGGGGAGGGTAACTGGGGTGTGACACCTAATTAGTAGGAGGTTTCTTTGGGGAGTGATAAAAGTGTTCTGCACTTGGGTTATGGTGATGGTTGGATAATTCTATGAATATGCTACAGCCATGTTCACTTTCAGTAGGTAAATTTTATTGTATGTGGGTTATATCTCAAAGATGTTTAACAAATTCATTGAGCTAATGCATATAAGGTATTTAACACAGTGACTAGCACATGGTGAATGAGCAGTAAATATTAGCTATTCTTAATATTACAAAACCATTTGCATTAGCAGTTATAGTCATATTAGAAAGACCTTTGCATTATGTTATATTTACCTACCAGATACCTACCCCAGTGGTATGGTCTGAATTGTATGGACCACTTGTTGGCAACCCTGTCTAGCCTGTTCCTCTTGCCCTTCACCTGCTAGGCTGGGTTGATGAGCAGCATTGCCAGTGATATCCATACACTGAAGGCAGAGAAGGGAAAATGTGTGACTGGGAGGCACAAATTATCCCCTCCCTCCAAGGACTGGTTTATGTTTAGGCCTCTGGTCCATTTGGAGATTTCATGTTTGTGTTTGGTGTGTGGTAGGTCTCTGACATCATTTTTTCCAAATGGATAGGCATCTAGCCTAATAACACTTATTGAATAGTAATTCCTTTTTCTCCACAGATGTAAATCAGAAAAAAATGAAAATCACACATGCACATGTATAACACATTATATAAATAATAATTAATTTGTTTAACTTTTTTTGGAGAGAGTCACTCAGTCATCCAAGTCAGAGTATAGTGGCACAATCATAGCTCACTGCAGCCTCGAGTTCCTGGGCTCAAGAGATCCTCACACCTCTGCATCCCTAATAGCTGGGACCACAGGGGTGTATCACCATGCCAGGCTAATTTTTTATTTTTTTGTAGATATGGCATTTCTTATGTTGTCCATGCTGAATAATTATGAAAAGCCACTCCAGGCTGGGCACGGTGGCTCACTCCTGTAATCCCAGCACTTTGGGAGGCCAAGATGGGTGGATCACCTGAGCCCAGGAATTTGAGACCAGCCTGGGCAACGTGGCGAGACCCAATCTCTACAAAAAATACAAAAATTAGCCAGGCATGGTAGTGCTTGTCTGTAGTCCCAGCTACTTTGGGGACTGAAGTGGGAGGATAACTTAACCCCTGGAGGTCAAGGCTGCAGTGAGCTGTGATTGTGCCACTACACCACAGCCTAGGTGACAGAGCAAGACCCTGTGTCAAAGAAAAAAAAGCCATGTCAGACCTAAAATATCTCAGAATTCATGAAATTTCCATATTGTTCATTTATTTAGAGAAAAGCATTAAGCAGTCCATGAAAAAATGTTAGGGTCTTCTTAGTAAGCTAATATAGTAAGCTACATTAGCCATTAGAGTCTTAAGTTATATTTCAGTTTACCTAACTTGAGAGAATGAAAGTTTTGTTTCTGCAGGTGCATTTTGGTTGAAAGAGCAGCTGAGATTTAGAAAAGATCTCAGCAAAGGTGCTGCAGGGTTGAAATGGAGAAAGTGGACCATCATTCACAGTGCGCTGCAATCAGCCTGGTGCATCATGGCCAGGGGAAGGGCAGAGGTATAGATGTGTCAGGACGTCTCTAAGGGGACAAGAGTTATTAGAGGAGGTGAAGAGACAAGAAAGGGCACAAAAATCTGCCTTTATTTATTTCACAGGCTTGCCAGTGTTGAAGAGTGTTAAGTTATAACTCCAAATAATATCCTTCAGTGGGATTTGATGATGATGAGGATAAGCCTGTCTCTTGATATAAAGAAACTAAGAATAACAATTGCTAGTCAATAAGAAGAGGTCGCTCTTCAGCTTTGCCTTATCCTCTGGCCAATCTCGGCATTTGGCTAGATGGATAGAGAATGTTAGATTCTTTTTGCTAATTTATTTAGAACTACTGTTGAATAAACCATTCAGATTAAATACAAAATGCAGACCAGGCATGGGAGGTAGCATTGCTTTCAAATTAGAAAAAGCACTTAGTTAAGTGGTAATAAATGAAATGGATTTTACTTTTTGTGAATTATACTTCTGTTGAAAGTCATTAGCTCCTTTCATTACAAAAGGCAAGAGCATAAATCATAGAACTTTCTTCTTTTCCCATCCTAATAAAGACACAACTTTTAAGACTCTGTCTTGATCACAGTTTTAAGGAAAAAGCTATCCTTGAAAGGGAAAGAGGTCAAAAACCACTACTTTGGGGTAGAATAGATACTGTTTCAAAATAAATAAACAGTTCCCTTTTGTTTTACTCTCTCAGCTTAAAAAAGCAAAAAGAAAACATACTGGGGGATATTTTAATTGAGATTTTCATCCTCCCTTAGCAAGGACACATTCTTCTTCAACTTGATAATAATTCCCTTGTTTGGCTCAACTGTGTGGTTTGCATCATGTACTCATAATGTAATTGTGTCAAGAGGACTCTAATGAGAAAAAAAAAATTGGTCTCAGAGTGAATAATAAATCCACCATCTATCCTGCACACTTCATTCACAGCCCTTTTCTCCCCCTAAGGATCCAAGCCACGCTCAGAAGCCTGTTGACAGTGGTGCTCCTCATGCTGTCGTTCTTCATGATTTCCCAGCAGGTAAGGATGTAAATAATGCAGTGGGAGAACCACAGGATCCAGGAGTAAGTCTTTTTCCCTGCCGGGGGTTAGCCTCTCAAGGACATCCTTCTTCATTTTTCTGTGCCTATAGAGTCCGAGACTGGAGAGGTCATCTTATCCAGGACTCCACTTCAAGAAGGGTTGATTGTACCAGCCATTCCAGAAAGCTTAGTTGTATACCCTTGCCTTTGAAGCTCCCTGAGAAAGAGAAAGAGAGAGAGAGAGACTTTCCCTTACAAATGAACATTGCAAATTGCCTACCAGTCACAAACTTTTTAACTCTTTCAAAATAGTGGGTACTAGGCCGGGCGCAGTGGCTCACGCCTGTAATCCCAGCACTTTGGGAGGCCGAGGCAGGCGGATCACGAGGTCAGGAGATTGAGACCATCCTGGCTAACATGGTGAAACCCCGTCTCTACTAAAAATACAAAAAATTAGCCGGGCGTAGTGGCGGGCGCCTGTAGTCCAGCTATTCGGGAGGCTGAGGCAGGAGAATGGCGTGAACCCGCGAGGCTGAGGTTGCAGTGAGCTGAGATCGCGCCACTGCACTCCGGCCCGAGGGACAGAGCGAGACTCCGTCTCAAAAAAGAAAAAAAAAAATAGTGGGTACTAATTAACAATTGTAATATGGCTGGGCACAGTGGCTTACACCTGTAATCCCAGCACTTTGTGAGGCCGAGGCGGATGGATCACCTGAGGTCAGGAGTCCAGACCAGTCTGACCAACATGTTGAAACCCCGTCTCTATAAATACAAAAAAGTAGCCGGGCATGGTGACGCATGCCTGTAATCCCAGCTACTTGGGAGGCTGAGTCAGGAGAATCACTTGAACCTGGGAGGCAGAGGTTGCAATGAGCTAAGATTGTGCCGTTGCACCCTGGGCAACAAGAGCAAAACCCCGTCTCAAAAAACAACAACAACAAAAAAATTGTAATAAAGTTAATCCTAACTTAATAACTGAAGTTCTTTTGTCTTCAAAGTTGTCTCAGCTGCTTACTTACCTATGAGATCAAAGTAATTTGTGTGTGTGTGTGTGTGTGTGTGTGTGTGTGTGTGTGTGTGTGTGTGAGACAAGATCTTGCTCTGTCGCCTAGGCTTGAGTGCAGTGGTGCAATCACTATAACCTTGAACTCCTGGACTCAAGTGATCCTCCTCCCTCAGCTTCCCCAGTAGCTAGGACTACAGGGGTGCCACTACACCTGGCTAATTTTTTTTTTTCCTAGGGACATGGTCTCGCTATGTTGCCCAGGCTGGTCTTGAACTCCTGGCCTCAAGTGATCCTCCCACCTTAGCTTCTTAAAGTGCTGAGATAACAGGCATGAGCCACCCATGCCCACGCACAATATAAGTACTTTTGTAATAATTTTTAAAATGCCCTTCATATCCAAGGCTACAAATAAACTCCTGATTTACTTACAATCTCTTTTTATCCACTTGATAGGCTGATTTTTGTTTTGGTATGGGTAAACTTATTTGCTAAAGAGTTGTAGTACTCCCTTAGTTAATATTTGAAATTAAAATGATTTTTAAGCATAATTGAGAATAATAATATTATACCATGTCTATAAACTTTTTTCATTGTTCAGTGTGTATTCAGCACGGCTTTATATTGGCACAGTAGGAAACATTTGCTAACACAATAGTGTTTTTTTCAACCATTTCCCATCAATCAAAGCATGGTAAATGTGTCTAATTTGGTCTTTAAAAAGGGAGCTCATAACAATGTCCAAAAAAAGAATAGCATTTTTTAAGTCAATTTGATTAGTATAATCTGTTCTCAGAATCAGTGGAACATAACTGCCTCAGTGGACACAACTAAATGCTACTTTGTGCTTTTATCAAATCTGCAACCAGGATGATTCATCATACATAACTATAATTTTATATTACAGAGCAAGTTGATGATTTGAACCTCACTTCTGGAGAAATTGTTTATCTTCTGGAGAAGATAGATACAGATTGGTACAGAGGGAACTGTAGAAACCAGATTGGCATATTTCCTGCCAACTATGTCAAAGTGATTGTAAGTGGGTTGTGTTTGTTTTAATTTGGTCATATACTCAGTGGGTTCTATGTGACTTGTAGGTTGGAAAAAATAACTAGAAACCCAGATTCTAGTTCTCTTTCATTGATTCATTTGGCATTTGGAAAATTCAAAAATAAAGATTTGGTCAACTAGGTGATGGTTAATTATTATATTATGGAGTGTTAGAACTTAATGCCTAAATGCTGTCTGAAATCCTAAAGTGAAAGACCACCACAGGTCAACTGGTGAATCAGCTGTTCTTGGAGAGTTGTTAAGCACTTAAGGATATATGGTAATTCTTTGAGACATTTAGTGAACATGAATTCAGTGATACTAGCTTATCCTGTAGAGATGTTCTCTGAGGTTATGGTACCACTTCTTTTCTTTGGAGTACATTTTGGTTTGAGTTTCTTTCATCTTTTCCATTCTTATTTATCTCCATCTTTAAAAAAAAATTTATTTGGGAATACAGAAGTATTTATATTGGAGATAGTGGTTCATTAATGGTTGTACCCACAAAATAATTTCTAATCTGATTAGGAAAATTATATTAAAGCACCAGAATTTTTATACCCTCACGGCCTAACTTGTGAAAGCATTCCTATGTGTGAGAGCTGTGTGTAAGCCCAGATGGCTGTGTGAAACATGGGGATAAAATCAGACTGCCCTCACACATTTGTATCAATTGGAATAGGATGACTCGGTCCCTGATATAACTTACTGATACTGTGAAATATCAATAAATTTAGCTTAACAGCATTAACAGCTTATTTGGAAGGAAAAAGTAAATAAATTCCATTACATCAGAATATTAGAAAACAAGACTAACAGAAAATCTGAATTCTTCAAATAGAAATGAATTTGAGTCTCTTGGATTATGAAGGGTAGGCATTAAACATTGTCCAGTGTATCTATGCCTTGATTCTTTGGAGAAATTCAACCACATTCTGTAAATTAATATTAAGAATAATGTTTGTTTTAGCACTCTTCCTCATTTTTCTTCTGCCCAATGTAGCAGTACTTTAAAAAGCACAATTACCACACTGAAATCAATCACACAGAATCTGCCACATTATTGGTATAAGTGTTATTTCTAAGCCCACAAGTTTAAAAAATTGTTTTAAAACTTCAAAACTTTAAAATTCAAGAAGGCACTGATTTAATATAAACCTCGAGCTTTAAGTAGTTTTAAATTGCATGCATTATAGCCAAATATTTTATTGCAACCCAGCCCTCCTCTACTGAGCCTTGTAAATGAGATATTATATTAAGTGCTTGGCTGGGCACAGTGGCTCATGCCTGTAATCCCAACACTTTGGGAGGCTGAGGCAGTAGGTAGGATCACTTGAGCTCAGGAGTTCAAGACCAGCCTGGGCAACATAGTGAGACCCTGTCCCCACAAAAAATTGAAAAATTAACTTGGCATGGTGTTACGCGTGTGTAGTCCCAGCTACTTGGGAGGCTGAAGTGGGAGGATGGTGTGAGCATGGGAGGGCAAGGCTGCAGTGAGCCATGATCACGCCACTGCACTCCAGCCTGGGCAACAGAGTGAGACCCTGTCTCAAAAAATAAATAAATAAAATAAAACAAAGTGTTGCCACTTAGTTTGCTAAATACAGATTCCTTTCTTCCCTATTCATGTTGAAGGGGGAAAATATTTCAGTTATAAATGTGAAGAGAATCCACAAGTTGTTTTTGTTTTGTTTTGTTTTGTTTTGTTTTGTTTTGTTTTGTTTTGTTTTTGAGACAGTCTCGCTGTTGTCACCCGGGCCGGACTAGTCTCGAACTCCTGATCCTCCCAGAGTGCTGGAATTACAGGCGTGAGCCACTGTGCTCAGCCCGAGAATCCAAAGTTTTATTGAAATGTTTTATCTTGGGGTCAGAGAAGCATTGCAGGATTCTACCAACACTTGGAGTAGGTGTGGCAGGGCTAATGCCTGATTTCTATGTTAAGTCCTTCTCAGCTGCAGTTTTCAACCTGGAAAATATGGTATAGAGCTGGCAGGGTGCGGCAGCTCACACCTATAATACCAGCACTTTGGGAGGCTAAGGCAGGCAGATTGCTTGAGTCCAAGAGTTCAAGACCAGCCCAGGCAACAATGGTGAAACCCTGTCTCTACTAAAAATACAAAAATTTGCCGGGTGTGGTGGTGCACACCGGTAGTCCCAGCTACTTGTGGGGCTAAAGCAAGAGGATCACTTGAGGCTGGGAGGTCAAGGCTGCAGTGAGTTCTGATTGTGCCGCTGCACTCCAGCCTGGGTGACAGAGTAAGATCCTGTCTCAAAAAAAAAAAAAAAAAAAAAAAATGAGATAGAGAAAATTCAGTCAGAATTAGAGTGATATTAATGTGGTTATTCCAGTAAATAAGAGAATTGATTGGCTACTCAAGGAAGGCTACTTCACAAGTTACACTTTTTTTTTAATCCAAATTCAGGATTTGTTTTACCATTTAGCACCTGTAGTTCCTCTTAATCAGATTAACACCTAGCTAAACCGATCGATTTCAGTCATGTACTTTCTAATTACTTAACCTTAAATTTATCTTATGAAAATCTGAAAAAAATATAATTGTTGCCTTGATTTTATCTTTGCTAGATTGATATCCCAGAAGGAGGAAATGGGAAAAGAGAATGTGTTTCATCTCATTGTGTTAAGTAAGTTTTATTTGTGTTCTTTTACACAAAATACAAAGGAGATAACCATCTATATCATGAAGAATTATCAAGCTTAAAACACTCCAAGGCCAGGCATGGTGGCTCAGACCTGTATCCCAGTACTTTGGGAGGCTGAGGTGGGAGGATTGCTTGATGCCAGGAGTTCAAGACTAACCTGGGCCACATAGCAAGAACCCATCTCTATTATTTATTTATTCTTTATTTTAAAAGAAAACACTTCATATGGTGATAATTCAGATTCTCATCGTGTCTTTTTAATTACAAAGAAAACTTGTTTAAAAGGTGACAATGGGTTAAAATTCTGATGAAAATACATCATGAACCTGCTGATAGAAGCTTACCTAAGCAACTCTCCAACATCAGTGCAGGACATAAAGAAAGCAGCAAAGACAGTCTATGCCAGTGCTTCCTGCAGCCTGGTCTCAGCATGAGCAGAGATAGTTTCATCATTTACTGCATTTTATTTTGGCCATCTGGTGTTCACCCAGTTTTTAGAAGGTTCAAGTATTTTTGTCATGAGAAATAATTAAATCCTATAGAAATATGAATCCTACAATAACTGCTAGACATTTTGTATGTTTTTGTTTTTAAGAGGAACTAGAAGAAAGTGAAGGAAGAGTTAAGTTGAAGGGGTTTTCCTTTATCTCTGAGGACGTTTCCCTGAATTTATATACCCTTTTATGTGTCATTGTAACTCCTTTGTGATTTAAAGCACTGCCACAATGCAACTTTATATTCTAGTTAAATGAGCAAATTAATAGAATTCATTACCTGCTGAAGACTGTAAACCTGTCTATGAATAGGTCAGACATAAGCAGATGCTCCCAGAGGACTTTAGAAAACAAATGCAAAGGTTATCACAAATAAGAAAACTTCTGATCCACAATAGTTGAATTCTATTTCAGATTCAGTTTTTCTCTATTTTTAAGCAGCATATACTGTGTCTCAGCAGGTTGAATTCGAAGTGGGCTTTTACAGTCATTGACCCATTGATCTGACTTAAATCAGAATTCTATTAAAGCTAGAATCAACCTTTTCTTTTTAGGCAATTGCTTCTCCTTAGCCTGTTGCTATTGAAACTTCCTTTCTAAACCCTCAAATCTAGGGATTAGTATTAAAGCACACCTTCTAGAGACACAATTTTATCTCTGCTTTTATCTTATTTTCAGTCAAAATTGCAGATCATGTAAGGATTGTTCCAAATGTCAGAAATGAAGCCCTTTTAAAGGAGATTAAAAAAATCATTTTTAAAGGCAACAGGGTTAGTTCCAAGACTGTGTGTTATGATATGCCAAGTTTCTGTTTTCTTTAAACCTCCTAGTTTTTAAGGCCAGCTCACTGATTAATTGAGCATCTATTGAACATCAACTTTGCCCAGCTGATGCCCATTGCATTCTGCCCTGATTAGTAGTCAGAAAATTTGATTAATTGCCCTGAGATTCTCAGGGTTAGCACTCCTCAACTCAGTGCATTTATGATTGGAAGGGTTCAGACTGGACCACGGATTGCTGTGGCCCAAGGATACAAACATACGGAGACTGGGGAGTAAGAAGATCAAAAGACACAGCAGGGTAAACTAACCACCCAGCTGCGTGCACTCCGCGACCTTGAGCTTCAGCCTTTCTGAGTGAATAGGTTCATATCTGTTACTTAAAAGTGTAACTTACTCTTTTTCATGGAATAATTTCAAATTAGCCTAGTATACCTTATTCCATGGTAAACCCAGAATAAATATTTATTGAAAGACTGAATGAAGGTTTTTAAGCATTTTAAAAGCACTCTCTAGTCTAATCCACAAAATGTGTTCTTCATTCAGAGGCTCAAGATGTGTTGCTCGGTTTGAATATATTGGAGAGCAGAAGGATGAGTTGAGTTTCTCAGAGGGAGAAATTATTATTCTTAAAGAGTATGTGAATGAGGAATGGGCCAGAGGAGAAGTTCGAGGCAGAACTGGGATTTTCCCCCTGAACTTTGTGGAGCCTGTTGAGGATTATCCCACCTCTGGTGCAAATGTTTTAAGTGAGTATAGAGAATTTTTTTTATTATGTTATGTCCTAATTCAAATAAACCAAATAATATCATTATACTTAAGCTGTATAATAATCCATATTGCCATATTTTTACGGTAGAAGGAAAACTGATTTTAAAATGGGAATTTGTGTGGGATAGACATTATTTGTGGGCATCTCTCAAAGAGCTGGTTTTGGTATTTTAGGTAATTAGCAATAGCTTCATATAAGAAATGGCAAAGAGGCTGGGTATGATGGCTCAGACCTGTAATTCCAACACTTTGAGAGGCCACGGTGGGCGGATTGCCTGAGACCAGGAGTTCAAGGCTGCAGTGAGCTATGATTGTACCACTGCACTCCAGCCTGGGCAACAGAGCCAGACTCTGTATCTAATAAATAAATAGCAAAGACTTTTAAACAGAAATGAACTATAGACTGTTACTAATGTATATAGACTATAAATAGTTGTGTTTACAATTAACTAAACAAGCTCAGTGAAGTTAGTACAGGTTAACGCAACATAGACAATACATGAAGAGACCGGAGTGGAATCCCAGAGTCTTCACTCCCACCTCCCACCTCAACCATTTGTTTTTAATACTATGTGGCCTTCACATCTAATGTTCTGACTTCTTGTGTTTGTTTGTTTTTTTAATGTAGGCACAAAGGTACCACTGAAAACCAAAAAAGAAGATTCTGGCTCAAACTCTCAGGTAGGCTGCTTGAACAGATGACTATAGTGACAGCCAGGTTCAGACTCTGGGAGGAATATTAAAATCATAATTTTCAAGAGAATATAGTATGAATTAATTTTTCAATTCATACAACAAATGTTTGTAATAAATTCTTAGATGGTTAATATATTTTATATAGAGAGCTCATACAAAAACATGTAAACCCTGATAGAAAATGAAAACAGAGACTGGGCAGAGTGGCTCATGCCTGTAATCCCAACACTTTGGGAAGCCAAGGCAGGTGGATTACCTGAGGTTAGGAGTTCGAGACCAGCCTGGCCAACATGGTGAAACCCTGTCTCTACTAAAAATACAAAAATTAACCAGGCATGGTGGCGTGCACCTGTAGTCCCAGCTACTTGGAAGGCTGAAGCAGGAAAATAGCTTGAACCTGGCGGTGGAGGTTGCAGTGAGCCAAGATAGCACCACTGCATTCCAGCCTGGGTGGCAGTGCGAGACTCTATCTCAAAAAAGAAAGAAAGAAAATGATAAAAGAGACATGATTAGAGAATTCATAAAAGAGGCTGTGCGCGGTGGCTCATGCCTGTAATCCCAGCACTTTGGGAAGCCGAGGCGGGCGGATCATGAGGTCAGGGGATCGAGACCACCCTGGCTAACACGGTGAAACCCCGTCTCTACTAAAAATACAAAAAAAATCAGCCGGGTGTGGTGACCAGCGCGCGTATTCCCAGCTACTCAGGAGGCTGAGGCAGGGGAATGGCGTGAACCCGGGGGGCAGAGTTTGCAGTGAGCCAAGATTGCGCCACTGCACTCCCGCCTGGGAGACAGAGCAAGACTCTGCCTCAAAAAAAAAGAAAAAAAGAAAAAAAGAATTCATAAAAGAGATACCATAAGTGGCTAATATTGAAAAAATATTTAACCTTTCTAATAATCAAGAAAATATATAATAAAGCAGCAATAAAATACCATTTAACCTATTCAGTTAACAAAGATTCAGTGCAGCTCAGCACTAAACAAGCAATTATAAGCATGTGAGTGTTAAAAAAAAAAGAGAGAAAGTACACATTCTTATTTGTCACCCTAAGAAAAGGATAAAAAATGAGATAGGGTTTTAGTCACAAAGATGAGCATAGTGCTAATATAATAAGAAAAAATTGGAAACAACCTAAATATGACCATTATTGGGAGAATATTCTAAAGCTATGAAAAACTAGATTTATCAAATAAAATAATGTTTTTAAATGTCATGAGAGGAAACATAGGGAAAGGGGATATAAAATTGAATATATAGCATAAAAAGACTGGAAGGAAATTATTCAAGTTACTAGTATTAAATTGCATCTAGGTAGTGAGATTATATATACGGGTAGGTTTTTTTCCCCCACTTCTTTTTTTTTTTTCTTTTTTTTGAGACGGAGTCTTACTCCGTCGCCCAGGCTGGAGTGCAGTGGCGCAGTCTTGGCTCACTGCAACCTCTGCTGCCGGCTTCAAGTGATTCTCCTGACTCAACCTCCTGAGTAAGCTGGGTTTACAGGTGCCTGCCACTGTGCTTCGCTAATTTTTGTAGTTTTAGCAGAAACGGGGTTTTACCGTCTTGGCCAGGCTGGTCTTGAACTCCTGACCTCGTGATCCACCCACCTCGGCCTCCCTAAGTGCTGGGATTACTGGCATGAGCCACTGCGCCTGGCCTTCTCCATTTCTTTATACGTTTCTCAACTTTCCAAATATTTAGGAACATTTGTTTCATTTGTATAATGAGAAAGAGAAAAATAGTGGGTTAAAATTTTTACACTGTTCAGCATGACCCCAGAAATGCTTAAAGGTACTAGGAATGTGGTGCCTTCTGTTGTTTTTAGTTTTTTGTTGTTTTTGGTTTTATTTTGGTTTTTTTGTTTTGTTTTGTTTTGTTTTTTTGAGACAGGATCTCACTCTGATGCCCAGGCTAAGTGCAGTGTCGAGGTCTCAGCTCACTGCAACCTCTGCTTCCCAGGCTCAAGCAATCCACCTCAGCCTCCTAAGTAGCTGGGATGACAGGCACACACCACCACTCCCAGCTAATTTTTGTATTTTTTGTAGACAGGGTCTCATTTTGTTGCCCAGGCTGGTCTCAAAATCCTGGGCTCAAGCGCTCCACCTGCCTCAGCCTCCCAAGGTACTAGGATTACAGGGGTGATCCACCACATCCGGCCTTCCATTGTTTTTTGTGACAAATTTAGAAGAGTTAAGCCTGATGGGATCATTGTGTTTGTGAAAATGTCACTTGTAATTGGCCTGTGTGTCCCTTAATTCTTTATCCCTACCCACTGATAAAGTGAAACAGGAAGGAAACTGACTACAGTTCTCCAAAAGGAAATGTTCACATGGTTGTTGCCTGCATTTTTGGAGAATGATAAGTTCCATCCTTTAGGGTTGGTTACTCAAGTGCAGGAGCAAGAGGGGGTTAGTGTTGTTTGCTTGCTTTTTGTTTTTGTTTTATAAGCCATCAGTTATTGAGCACTTAAGATGTGCCAGGCACTGGGCTAAATGTTAGACATGCATTGTCTCATTTAATCCTCTTAGTAACCCCAAGATGAAGCTGAGCCTCAGAGAAGAGAAGCGTCTTGCCCAGTGTCACGAAGTTAAGAAGTGGCAGAACTGGGTCTGGAAACCTTGCCTGTGTAGCTCCAAAGCCTTTGTCCCGGCCAGGCGCTGAGGCTCACTCCTGTAATCCCAGCACCTTGGGAGGCCAAGGCAGGTGGATCGCTTCAGGCCAGGAGTTCGAGACCAGCCTGGCCAACATGGTGAAACCCCGTCTCTACTAAAAATACAAAAATTAGCTGGGTGTGGTGGTGTGCACCTGTAGTCCTAGCTAATCGGGAGGCTGAGGCAGGAGAATTGCTTGAACCCGGGAGGCAGAGGTTGCATTGAGCCAAGATTGCATCATTGCCCTTCAGCCTGGGCAACAGAGCGAGACTCCATCTCGAAAGAAAAAAGCCTTTTCATTATCCTCTACTGCCTTCTTGAGCCTCTTGAACATAGGGTTCCCATCCCAAATTGGCAGAGCTGCCTCTTCACAGAGCAAAACCTTTCTCTAATGTGCCTGGGATAAAAGTGTTCTTACACTAGCCCACCACATCTGGGTGTTATCCTGCCAATCTTAGAGTTAACTACAGCTCATAAAATTAAAAGTGTGAATTGATGAAGTTCTGTGCTATGGACTCTAATTGTCTCTGAATCAAGTAAAGACCTGGGAATTCATAGACCAACCCATTCTGATCCTTCCTAATTTAAATAAAGAAGAGCTTCACTGATAATTACATACTTTATCAGAATTTTTTCATAGTGTCAAATACTATGCATAAATATTTTATGCTTTTACCTAATTCTTTAATATAACAATATAATAGGTCATATTAAGAAAAAAGTTTTTTGGCTGAGTGAGGTGGATCATGCCTGTAATCCCAGAAGTTTGGGAGGGTGGGAGGATCACTTGAGCCAAGAGTTCAAGACCAGCCTGGGCAACATAGTGAGACTTCATTTCTGCAAAAATAAAATAAAATTAAATAGCCGAGTGTGGTGGCTGCACCTGTAGTCCCAGCTACTCGGGAGGCTGAGGAGGGAGGATTGCCTGAGCCCAGGAAGTCAAGGCTGCAGTGAGCTATGATTCTGCCACTGTACTCCATCCTGGGTTACTAAGTAAGAACTTGGCTCAGAAAAGAAAATAAAGAAAGTAAAAAAGTGTTTGCTTAAGCTTTGTATATCCCTTAAAAGCAGAAAAGCCACAAATTCTATCACACTTGTCATTTAGAGTTATAATTTAAGAAAAAATTATTGGAAACTTTTACTTCTGAAACTTGATAGCAACATAAAGTATTAGATAATTTAAAGAAGCCTTCAGGCTTTGAAATCTTAAGACCCCTTAGTTTTTTTTTCCCCACTACTTTTTAAGCTTTGTAGAACTCAATTTCAAATAAAATCTTACACTTCTGACCACACCTCTAATTTGATAACAGGTTAACAGTCTTCCGGCAGAATGGTGTGAAGCTCTTCACAGTTTTACAGCAGAGACCAGTGATGACTTATCATTCAAGAGGGGAGACCGGATCCAGATTCTGGAACGTCTGGATTCTGACTGGTGCAGGGGCAGACTGCAGGACAGGGAGGGGATCTTCCCAGCAGTGTTTGTGAGGCCCTGCCCAGGTATGACAACCGCAAGACATGAATGCGACTCCTCACGGGGAGCCTGAAACCTTCAAAACTATATACATTCCTTTCCCCTCTGGCCATGCTCAGTTTGTCTGTCTATATTTGAAAGAGCTGATACATGAAGTTATGCAAACTTCATTCATATGCTTTGTTAGAGTTATAGAAAAAAAAGATAATGTCTTCACTAAATAATGGCTAATTCCATCTAATAAATATAGTTTACGTAATTTTTCCCTGCTAAAAGAACATTGTTCATCTTTTTGAAAGTTAAATAAGTTCAAAATTAATTGAACATGTTTTTAAAAATGTTTTTCTTTGCCTAATATCACTACCTCTGAAGAGAAGATACTGTGTTTTTAGAGCGATAAGCGTTTTTTTTTAAAAAATGTTAGATTTGTGTTTTAGTCCACTGTGTTTCTATATATTTAAATTTTTTATGTCTTCACAGCTGAGGCAAAAAGTATGTTGGCCATAGTACCGAAGGGGAGGAAGGCCAAAGCCTTATATGATTTCCGAGGGGAGAATGAAGATGAACTTTCCTTCAAGGTCAGAATGTGTATCTCTTCATAACTGCATTAAGCACTATAATTTTTTAAATGTTTTCCATTGAAGGATGGAACATTTGGGTGGAATATTAATCATTACTCAAGAATGAAGAGATCTCAGGCCCTGATTCTAGGGGAAGACATTAGAGAAAGTGAACAGTGCAAATAGGCCTGTTAATTTACAGTATCAACCAGGCATTAATGTACTTAGAGAAAACCTTGGCTTTACACCCCCATACATCCCCAAAGTAATCCCTGTTCCTTGGTCTTAGGTCATCAGATCTCAGTAATATTAGGGTTTTTATTAGTAGCCCTGGTAACAGATGACTGTCTACATGGCCCTGCAAGCCTGCCATTGATGTGTCTTTGAAATTGATGGAGAATCAGATAGCACCTGCTACAATTTGCACTAGTAGCATAGTAGCCTCATAAGACACTAAATTCCTTTGGGAGGCCGAGGTGGGGGGATCACGAGGTCAGGAGATCGAGACCATCCTGGCTAACACGGTGAAACCCCGTCTCTACTAAAAAATACAAAAAAATTAGCTGGGCATGGTGGCAGGCGCCTGTAATCCCAGCTACTGAGGAGGCTGAGGCAGGAGAATGGCATGAACCCGGGAGGTGGAGCTTGCAGTGAGCCGAGATTGCACCACTGCACTCTTGTCCACAAAGGCAATGACCAGAGGTTTGGGGAAATAGTCCCAAAAGGTTGAGCTAGTTTGCAAAGGTTTTTTTTTTTTTTTTTTTCACCGAAGAAATGCCTAATTTCTTCTTAAAGTAAAAGTAGATATTTTCTTTTCTTTTTTTTTTTTTTCTTTTTTGAGACAGAGTCTCGCTCTGTCACCCAGGCTGGAGTGCAGTGGGGCGATCTCGGCTCACTGCAAGCTCCACCTCCCGGTTCACGCCATTCTCCTGCCTCAGCCTCCCGAGTAGCTGGGACTACAGGTGCCCGCCACCATGCCCAGCTAATTTTTTTGTATTTTTTTTAGTAGAGACGAGGTTTCACCATGTTAGTGAAGATGGTCTTGATCTCCTGACCTGGTGATCCGCCCACCTCAGCCTCCAAAAGTGCTGGGATTACAGGCGTGAGCCACCGCGCCCGGCCAAAAGTAGATATTTTCATGATTCTATTTCCCTAATCCACAACTGGACCATAGTCAGAGGAAAGCACTTTGGGAACAGTGCTAGAAGAAGGAGGGTGGTTTTAGTAGTCACTGCTGTCAAAATAGCCTGTGTCAGGCAGTGGTAAATTCTCTGTCATTGAAGATATTCAGTCAGAGGAAAGGATGCCATAGAAAGAATTAACATATCAAGGAATGATTGGACAAGGTGTGGTTTAAAACAGTGGACAACCAAACAGGGTTTTCACTTGTCTGCAACAAGATGAGAAAAAGGCCGAGCAACAGTGGCTCACACCTCTAATCCCAACACTTTTGGGAAGTCAAGGCAGGAGGATCGCTTGAGGCCAGGAGTTTAAAACCAGCCTGGTCAACATGGCAAGACCCCATCTCAACAAAGAAAAAGAGGAAAACAAGGCAATACCTGAATCAGGTATGTGCAGCCTTTGTCGGGGTAAGGGGGGATGCCTTGACTGAAATATGTCACCATAAAGTTGCTAACTTCCTATTTTGTGATGGGGTTTTACTTTATTCTGAATAATAAAATGTTATTTCATCTTTTTGTATTAAATGTCATTTCTGTTATAATATATTGTTAGCAAATAATAGATATTTCTTATTCTTCCTTCCTTTCTTTTTTTTTTTTTTTTTTTTTGTTTTTGAGATGGAGTCTCGCTCTGTCGCCCAGGCTGGATTGCAGTGGCATGATCTCGGTCTGCCTCCTGGGTTCAAGCAATTCTTCTGCCTCAGCCTCCCAAGTAGCTGGGACTACAGGCACACACCACCACACCTGACTAATTTTTGTATTTTTAGCAGAGACGGGGTTTCACCATACTGGCCAGGCTGGAATCAAACTCCTGACCTCGTGATCTGCCTGCCTCAGCCTCCAAAAGTGCTGGGGTTACAGGTGTGAGCCACCATGCCCGGCCTCTCTCTCTTTCTTTCTTTCCTTTCTTTCCCTTCTTTCCTTTCCTTCCTTTCTTTCTTTCTTTCTTTTTTTTTTTTTTTGGTTTTGTTTTGTTTTGTTTTGTTTCTGAGACAGGGTCTCACTCTGTTGCCCAGGCTGAGGTGCAGTGACACAATCTCAGTTCACTGTGCAGCCTCAGCTTCCTGGGCTCAAGCGATTCTCCACCCCTCAGCTCCCTGAGTAGCTGGGACTACAGGTGTGAGCCACCAATGCCTGGCTAATTTTTGGTATTCTTTGTAGAGACTGGGTCTCACCCAGGCTGGTCTCAAACTCATGAGCTCAAGGCGATCCATCCGCCCCAACCTCCCAAAGAGCTGGGTTACAGGCATAAGTCACCACACCCAGCCATAAATGATAGGTATTTCTTATGCTGTAAGCTATGCAAAATTAAAAACTCGTAACCTTCTATCAGTTCCCTTTTTTTCCTTTAACATCTTGGTCTTTAAAACAAAATTTAAAAAAGAAAGAAAGAAAGAAAGAAAACTGTTGCCTTAGTCCTTGAGAGTCAGTGGCTCAAAATGTATCCCGTTTATCTTTACATAAACTTACTGCAAGTGAAGAATCTGAATTCAAACTTCTTGGATGTTATTTTGGTCTTCATTTAAACTATGTGAGTATAAATAACAGAATGCACAGTATCCTCCAGAAAACAGGTTATCTTCATTTCATTTTACAAATGGTTGTCCATAAGATAGTTCTAGAATTGTTAGAATTGTTGTTGTTATTGTTGTTGTTAAGGGATTCTGCACTGCTTTCAGTTTTATTAAATATCCACAGAATGTTAATAGATAAAACTAATTTTTTTTTTTTTAGAGAAGGAGTCTTGTTCTGCTGCCCAGGCTGGAGTGCAGTCAGCGGCGCGATCTCGGCTCACTGCAACCTCCGCCTCCTGGATTCCAGCAATTCTCCCGCCTCAGCCTCCTGAGTAGCTGGGACTACAGGTGCATGCCACCATGCCCAGCTAATTTTTTGTATTTTAGTAGAGACAGGGTTTCACTGTGTTGCCGGGCTGGTCTTGAACTCCTGAGCTCAGAAAATCCACCTGCCTTGGCCTCCCAAAGTGTTAGGATTACAGGAGTGAGCCACTGCACCCGGCCAAAACTAATTTTTGAAAATAGCCCTAGCCTGGCTGGGTGCAGTGGCTCACGGCTGTAATCCCAGCACTTTGGGAGGCCAAGGTGAGTGGATCACCTGAGGTCGGGAGTTCAAGACCAGCCTGACCAACATGGAGAAACCCTGTCTCTGCTAAAAAATACAAAATTAGCCAGGTGTGGTGGTGCATACCTGTAGTCCCAGCTACTCAGGAGGCTGAGGCAGGAGAATCTCTTGAACCTGGGAGGCGGAGGTTGCAGTGAGCCGAGATCTTGCCATTGCACTCCAGCCGGGGCAACAAGAGCAAAACTCCATCTAAAAAAAAAAAATAGTCCTAGCCCTCAGGAAACTGACATGGTATGTAGGTTTGGACCAGACCTAAATAAAATAGCTTCAGTTAACTATTAAATTATAATTTAGGAACCAGAAGGAACTTATTTATAACAAAAACTTTGAATTGCCAGAATTTTTACAGATTTTAGCAGAGCAGAGTAAATTAATAACATCTGATTGCATGTTTCCTTTTCATTTTCCATAAAGAAAAGCCTTAAATCAAGCCATTTTTTTTTCCAGAGGGTAATGTACTAGGGCTACAAATAAATTCATTTAGCCCAATAAAGGTAGTCTTAACAGTAGCCAGAGTCATCTGGGACCATTGTAGCATCTTAAACACAGATTCTAAGAAATGTTTAGAAACTATAAAGAACAAAATAGTTATGTCTTCATCTGCTGAAGGAATTCTAATTTGCACATGAATAAGACACACAGCCCCTTTGACTAACCTGATGAAGATAAAACAGTGTCCTGAGTCAAGGTGAAGCTCTTTAAGATGGGAAAAAAATGCAAATTTGATATTGAGGCCATGGCAGGAGAATCACTTGAACCTGGGAGGCAGAGGTTGCAGTGAGCCGAGATCGTGCCACTGCACTCCAGCCTGGGCCACAGAGCGAGACTTTGTCTCAAAAACAAAAGATACTGGGGCCATAGGAGGAATGTGATAAACCAGATGGTAGAGGAGAAATGCCATTATGTGCAAGAATAAATGTAGAGTGCAAAATGCTCTGGGTGTTGATAAAAGGCAATTACAGTAAAAGCCTTTCTAAGTAAAAAGGTCCATTGTAAAATCTGGCGGCCACATAGCCTAGTGGTTAGGAATATAAGCCCAGGAATTGCACTAGATTTGAATCCTGGTTCTACCACTAACTAGACATGCGACACTGGCAAGTTATGTAGTCTATCTGAGTTTTGGTTTCTTTTTCACTAAAATAAGGAAATCTATAAAAATATATCTCAGCCAGGGGCAGTGGCTCACGCCTGTAACCCCAACACTTTGTGAGGCCAAGGTGGGCGGATCACAAGGTCAGGAGTTTGAGACCAGCCTGGCCAACATGGTGAAACCCTGTCTCTACTAAAAATACAAAAAATAGCTGGACGTGGTGGCAGGCACCTGTAACCCCAGCTGCTCGGGAGGCTAAGGCAGGAGAATTGTTTGAACCCGGGAGGCAGAGGTTGCAGTGAGCCGAGATTGCACCATTGCACTCCAGCCTGGGTGACAGAGCGAGACTCCGTCTCAAAAAAAAAAAAAAAAAAAAAAGTCTCTAAAATGAGGATAACATAGTACTCATCTCTAGGACTTTGGTGGTGTTTACATAAGAGTTAGTTCCTGTGAAGTACACAGAATAAGACAAGGCATACAGGAAGCACATGACTCACTTTCTCATCTCCAAATCTTTGCCTATATGACACCTTCAGTGAGGCCCTCCCTTGATGGCCCTAATGAGTTGGCAATCCCATGCTTTCTGTCCTCTTCTGCCAGTTTATTTGCCTTCCCGTTGTAGAATGAGGGAATATTAATTGTGCTCAGAACAGTGTCTGACACATAGTGGGTACTCAATAAATAATCGTGTGTGTGTGTGTGTGTGTGTGTGTGATAACTGGTATTATTTGTTCAAGAGGGATTTTAGATTAGGAGTGGTGAATTTGAGAGGCACAAAGTATAAGAGGGAAAATCAAAGTGCAGCAAGGGTGGCAGTGGCAAAGGAATGAGATTTAAGGGATAGAGGCTTACAAGCAAATGGCATCATTAGGTATAGATCATTGTTGTCATTTAATTCTCAACAATCAAGATAAATGAGTTATACAGAGAAGATTATTCATGCTGCCCTAGGTAGGCCACTATTTACCATGCTTATTCTCAACAGAAACCAGTAATTCTAACTCCTTTTGTCTTACAGGCTGGAGATATAATAACAGAGCTGGAATCTGTAGATGATGACTGGATGAGTGGAGAACTTATGGGAAAATCTGGAATATTTCCCAAAAACTACATACAGTTTCTACAGATCAGCTAGAGGAGAAGCTTGTCTGTGTTCCTTGGCACAAGAACTCACTTGAACTATCACCTTGACTATCAGATATGTTTTTGCACTATTTTTTTTAACTGAAAAAGAAATATCTAAGCTGTACATGGTACACTAGAATTTTCTGAAAGCAGAAAACGTTCAGATTTTGTAGTTAATTTTCATTACAATAGAAACATGCACATGGAAACCCATGAGCTAGGATTCTACCGAGGAAAACATCTAGTGGGATTAGCAAGGTGAAGGGAAAGCATCTGGTGGCATGGCAGCATGGGGAGGCTCACACACAGAAGTTGCACGTGGACATCTGTTTTAATCAGCACAAGTGAATTAACCATGCTTCTTCATTTTTTTACTTTAGTTAAAAAAGAGGACATTTAATATTCTACATGCTGTAACTATCAGGACATGGTTAGCAATCTCAATTTCATTTTTGATATTCAAATTAATTCTTACAGCTTGAGCATATCAGCCTTATTACCAGAGCAAATCCTTCCTTCAGATGGGATAGTTTACTGACTAGTTGGAGCATTTGTAAGCACATGGTGAAATCAGCCCCTGCCCACCAAAATAATCTTTATGTTACCAAGTGATTCCCATTTGTCTAAGGATTTGAAGGGGGTCTAAATTGGATGTATCTTACTTAGTCTAAAGAACCAAAACCATCCCTGAAATGCCTTGCTAATACAACTAATCCTTCCATATATGTGCCATACTTATTTTTTTCCTCAGTGTATACTTTATGTTAACAGGGTTATTACAAAGCACATTTTCTGAATCTGCAATCATTCCTTTGACAATTACTGGACCCAAAGGAAAATTCATTTTCTTTGCATTATTCCAGTAATATATAAAAACTGTGTCTTGTTATAGTAGTACATTATGAATCACATATAAAATCTTACAATACAGAACAACTGTTAAGATGGAAAACAGTGCCAAACCTCCACAGCTCATTTCTTTGTAATATAATCAGAATGAAAAATAATTTAAGAGGACAGAAGACTGGTACTTTTTTGTTTTATTTTTTCTCTAGCTTATCCCTGCACAATTATTAGAGTGAATGAAAAACCACTTTCCTGCTTTCCATTGTTATAAATTCTAAGCTTAAGATAAAAGTGGTTCTTTACATGACTGAATCAATTACAATTTATGGGCTAGAGCCAAATAGGTTGAAGACAATCATCCAAACAGATCAATGGAATAGAATTTCATTGGAAATGTAAAACACTTTCCCAACAATGGTCATGACTTTCTTCTGTTTTTGAGAAGAGTTTCATATGCTGGACCACATTTTAGCTTTTATTGTTTTTTTTTTCCCATTGTCCAAAAAGTTAAGCAACAAGTGGCCACACTTTTACGTGACTACAACCTGGAGTTCTGCAAAGAAGGTAATATTTACTTGGTCTTTGACTAAAGTTATCTCCCCATTCTATGGTTACATTTTATTTTGGACTATGGGGACTTCTAATACGTTTTGGTAAAGAAGAGAGTATAAAGAAAATTCTTGTCAAATTTCACTCAAAAGTAATTTCATGAGAAATCAATGATTTAAAGCATTATCCAAATTAAATTATCATTTGCAGCAAACTGTACAACAGCAGGAAGGATATGGAATGGAACATGAGGTATATATCTTTGCCTTTATAATTTTAACATCTTATATTGAAGATTCTGAAAACCTATCTTTATTAGAGGAAAATCTCAATCTTCAGTTTTGGCCTTCTGTCAGCAGAATGATAAGTGCAATAGTTGTAAATCTACTTGACACTGTAATAAACTGAACTGAACTTTCAAAGTCCCTTTCTCATACTAGACTGAGTTTTTTGAGAATGGAGGTGGTATCTTTTTTTTTTTTTTTTTTGAGACAGGATTTAATTCCCTTTGACCAGGCTGGAGTGCAATGCAATGTTGGCTCACTGCAGCCTCTGCCTCCTGGGCTCAAGTGATTCTCCTGCCACAGCCTCCTGAGTAGCTGGGACTACAGGCGCACACCACCGTGCCCAGCTAATTTCTGGTATTTTTTTTTCTTTTTGTAGAGACAGGGTTTCGCCATGTTGCCCAGGCTGGTTTCAAACACCTGGGCTCAAGCAGTCTGCCTGCCTCAGCCTCCCAAAGTGCTGGTATTACTGCACCTGGCCTGTGGTACCTTATTTATCTTTGTATCTCTAGTCCTTTGCACCATTCAGCCTCAATAAAGGTTGGTTGGTGGGTTGGGTGAGTTGGTTGGTTGGAATGGATGGATGGATGGATGAATGACTTTCACATACAGCAATACCATCTTGGATTCACTCAATATCTTTCCTCTTTAATTTTTGACATAAATCTATACTAAAAATTCACAGTTTTATGTCATTTCACTCTCATGTTCTATGTTGTGCTTGCCACTTATTACCTACTCAACTGACAGGAAGCAAAAAGGTAACATATGGGCTCTCGTAGATACTTTCTTTTTTTTTTTTTTTTTTTTGAGATGGAGTCTCCCTCTATCGCCCAGGCTGGAGTGCGGAGGCACGATCTTGGCTCACTGCAAGCTCCACCTCCAGGGTTCACGCCATTCTCCTGCCGCAGCCTCCTGAGTAGCTGGGACTACAAGCGCCCACCACCACGCCCGGCTAATTTTTTGTATTTTTAGTAGAGACGGGACTTCATCGTGTTAGCCAGGATGGTCTCGATCTTTTGACCTCGTGATCCACCCACCTCGGCCTCCCAAAGTGCTGGGATTACAGGCGTGAGCCACCGAGCCCGGCCTCATAGGTACTTTCTTATTCTGTATATTGATTGAATTCAAGGCAAGACTGAGCATGTTTAAGGAGAAACATAATTTTTATACTCAGTGAATTTTATGGGAGAGAAATAGGAACACATTCTGTTTCCTTTCAGGAATTTTAGGTTAAAATCTGATCTTGTTCATCTAAACCTCCTCAAACTAGAATCTCTTAATCCTTTTTCTTTGATAAATTAAACCTAGAGGGCTGGGCGCGGTGGCTCACGACTGTAATCCCAGCACTTTGGGAGGCCGAGGCAGGCGGATCACGAGGTCAGGAGATCGAGACCATCCTGGCTGACACGGTGAAACCCTGTCTCTACTAAAAATACAAAAAATTAGCCGGGCGTGGTGGCGGGCACCTGTAGTCCCAGCTACTCGGGAGGCTGAGGCAGGAGAATGGTGTGAAGCCAGGAGGCGGAGCTTGCAGTGAACCGAGATCGCGCCACTGCACTCCAGCCTAAGCGACAGAGTGAGACTCCGTCTCAAAAACAAAAAAAAACCTAGAGAAGCCTTTCCAAGCAAGGCGACTCAGTTGAAAAAAAACCTAGAGAAGCCATTTAATATATTATTCTTATCCTTTGAACACTAAAAGCGTTTTTCTTTAAAAGATGCCCTTGTTTACATGGCTAGAAGGGTAATGGAATATATCTGTCATTGTGCTCATATAAATCACAGGTCTTGAATTCAGTCTGTAATATTCAAAATGAAAGAAAGTGCGTTTATCAGAATTTATTAGTAGAACTTGCATTTGAAAAAAAAATTTTTCTATAAGATTGTAGATCAATACTCCTAACATTCATTTCTTAGTTTTTACTCAGTTTCTTAAGCTTACCTAAATATACCTAGAGAAAATAATGATGACTGTATGGACTAATAATTATAAGGCGATATATTCACTTTGGTATAATCATTAATGGTTTATTTCTTTTAATTAATGTCAAATGCACATGAGCCATATGATTCATGATTCAATGTCATTTTGAATGCCATTGAATGAATTCTTCACAGTGAATTTATTATTTTATTTTATTGTATTGTATTTTAGAGACAGGGTCTCACTTTGTTGCCCAGGTTGGAGTGCAATGGCATGATCTTGGCTCACTGCAGCCTTAGACTCTTGGCCTCAAGTGTTCCTCCCACCTCAGCCTCCCGAGTAACTGGGACTACAGGCATGTGCCACCATATTTGGCTAATTTATTATTTTTTTCATTTTATTTTTTGAGGTGGAGTCTTGCTCTGTTGCCCAGGCTGGAGTGCAATGGCACAATCTGGGCTCACTGCAGCCTCTGCCTCTCAGGTTCAAGTGATTCCCCTGCCTCAGCCTCCTGAGTAGCTAGGATTACGGGCACGCACCACTGTGCCCCGCTAATTTTTTTGTATTTTTAGTAGGGACCAGGTTTCATCATGTTGGCCAGACAGGTCTTGAACTCCTGACCTCAAGTGATCCATCCGCCTCGGCCTCTGAAAGTGCTGGGATTACAGGCGTGAGCCCCGGCATCCAGCCTAATTTTTTATTTTTTGTAAAGACGGGGTTTCACCATGTTACCCAGGCTGGTGTTGAACTCCTGAGCTCAAGCAGTCTTCTCGCCTCGGCCTCTCAAAGTGCTGGGTTTGCAGGCGTGAGCCACCTTGTCCAGCCAACTGAATTTTTTTCAGAACTAACGTGAAGTCATTTTCTAACTTGTGCCTTTTTACTTCACTGTAATTAAAGAAGGAAAAAAAATAGAAAGCCTGACTCAGAACAACACTACCATCTAGGGGCCGCTCTCTTAATTGCGAGCTCATCCTGTTATACCACAGAAGAGAGCCCTTGGAGACCAGAGTTCAACTTGCAGAGGTTAAATGATTTGCCTAAAGTCACAGTTACTTGCAGAGCCTAAAGTAAAACCTATCTCTGCGGATTTCCAATCCAGTTCTTTTTCCGTTTATTATGGCAAAGTGATAACATTTTTTTTAGCAGTTAAACAAGAAGAATTGATCCGTTTCATTGGCCTGTAGTGGTTGTAGCCTCTAATACTTAACGATTAGAAAGAATTACACAGTATGTATTAAAGCCTTGAAGTTTTATCCTTCAGGAAGAAAAGTCCTGTCAGCTTCTTGGTTTTATGTGGACAATTTATATTGATGTTACCTAGAAACTGAAACATGAATGGATCCACTAATGTGGATTCCTTTTTCTCTTTAATAGAAAATATTCAAAAATTTAGAACATCAGATCTTGTACAGCTGTATCTTGTAGGGCTGTGCCCTTGGCAACAGTAGAGCAATCATAAATCTAGATTTTCATTAAAATATAACACAAAACACTGTTATTAGTATTTTGGAGTATAATAGATTAACCAAAGCACTGTTAAGCTGATAGATTTATATTTCAGAGTCTGAGACATATTCTGATTTTTTTAAAGGAATTCTAATTATATGTATACCATGGATTATTTATCTTCAAGTACTGTAAATTAGGCAATAATTAAATGAAATATTTGGTTGTCTATGTTTCACAAAAATTAACTAACAATACCAAAATATTGGCCTCTGGCTGAGCACTATGACTCACGCCTGTAATCTCAGCACTTTGGGAGGCCAAGGCGGGTGGATAACCTGAGGTCAGGAGTTCAAAACCAGCCTGGCCAACATGGTGAAACCCTGTCTCTACTAAAAATACAAAAATTAGCCAGGCTATGGTGGCGTGGGCCTGTAATCCCAGCTACTGGGTGAGGCAGGAGAATTGCGCAAACCTGGGAAATGGAGGTTGCAGTGAGCTGAGATTATGCCACTGCACTGCAGTCTGGGCAACAGAGAGTGACACCATCTCAAAAAAAAAATGTGTGTGTGTGTATATATACATATATGTATATATGTGTATGTGTATATGTATGTGTGTATACATGTATGTGTGTATGAATGTATACGCATATGTATATGTGTGTACACGTGTGTATATATACATATGTATGTGTATGCATAGTATATACATACATGTGTATATATACATATGTATGTATATGCATAGTGTATACATACATATGTATGTATATGCAGTGTATACATACATATGTATACATACGTATGTGTATATGTATATATACGTATACATGTATACATGCATGCATTTATACATATGTATGCACATATATACATATACACATATGTGTATACACATACACACACTTTAAATATATACATACATATACACATACGTATGTATGCGTGTATGTATATACATATACACATACATATATACATATACGTATACACAAATGTATATGTGGTAATATACACATATATACTTACATATACATGCACATATACACATATATATACATACACATATATACGTGTATATACATATATGTATCAAAAAAATAATAATAGGGCCGGGATGGATGTTATACACTTCTAGGAGCTGACACCTGCAATAATTTTTCTGCCTTGACTTCTTTTTTTTTTTTTTTTTCTGAGACGTAGTTTTGCCCTTGCTGCCCAGGCTGGAGTCCAATGGTGCGATCTTGGCTCACTGCAACCTCTGCCCCCAGGTTCCAGCAATTCTCGTGCCTCAGCCTCCGAAGTAGCTAGGATTAGAGGTGCCCGCCACCACGCTTTGCTAGTTTTTTGTATCTGTATTTTTATTTTTGAGATGGAGTTTCGCTCGTCAACCCAGGCTGGAGTGCAATGGTGTGATTTTGGCTCACCGCAACCTCTGCCTCCTGGGTTGAAGCAATTCTCCTGCCTCAGCCTCCCAAGTAGCTGGGATTACAGGTGCCCACCACCATGCCCAGCTAATTTTTATATTTTTAGTAAAGACAGGATTTCACCATGTTGGTCAGGCTGGTCTCAAACTCATGACCTCAGGTGATCCACCCGCCTTGGCCTCCCAAAGTGCTGGGATTATAGGCATGAGCCACCGTGCCCAGCCAATTTTTTGTATTTTTAGTAGACATGGAGTTTCGCCACTTTGGCCAGGCTGGTCTTGAACTCCTGTCCTCAGGTGATCCACCCGCCTCACCCTCCCAAAGTACTGGGATTACAGGTGTGAGCCACCGCACCCAGCCCTACTTTGACTTCTTAAATGATCTTAGCAAATGGAAACTCATTACCCTTCATAGCTGTCACACTTGCATTGCCTATCACAGCGTTACGTCAGAGAATTAATGACTCATTAAATTGGTATGACTGGATATTTAAAGATACTAAAGATTATTACTGAAATTTGGAGCTGTGTTAATAGGATTTTGGTTACATTTCTTTTTAAGAAATCATTTCAGAGATACATGATGAAATATTTACATTTGATAAGTTAAATTTGCTTCAAATAATTGAGGAGGAGAAATTGTCAGGAACTGTGCAGTGTTTGACATTTTACCCAACTTGTAAGCTAAACATTTAGCCTGGCATGGTTTCATGGATGTTAGCAGAAGACATGAGACTTCTGGGACAGGAGCAAAACACTTCATGATAGCAAAAGTGAGAACCAGAGTTTCGTGTTCTTATGTGTCAGTTTCCCATACCCCACCAAATCCCGAGGAGGTGATGCAAAGGGCCCATTATACAGTGAGTTGTGTGACAGGAGAGGAACACTGAGATCCACCACTTTTATAGCAAATGGAAGCAAGCTTGCTTTTTTTCCTGGGGGAGACGTTACCTCATCCTTCAAGGTTGCTCACAAGGGTGCAAACACAGCCCTGAGAAGTGGCCAGGGTAAAGAACAGTCAAGGGATTGTATTCTTGGCATACTCAGCAAGAATGTGCAGAGACACTTAGGGTATACAGCACATTGCCTCTGTCACTATTCACTCCTCAGCCTGACACATTCTTGGCCAAACTTAAATTTTTACACAAGTGTGCTACTCTGACAACCACTTCGATTAAGCTAACCAACAGAAGCCAGAACCAAATCCACTCAGTTTGTCTCACATGACGTTTAATTAAGTCTATTATCAAGACTCAAAGCAGCAGATGAAGCCAACCTGCAGTATTGATCTCAGTCTTACTCTCCAGGGTCCCAGACAGCTTACTGTGAATAATCTCAGGGAGTACCAGTAGGTCTGATTTTAGGCAGCCATGAGGTATTCTAGGGCCAGGGTATTTTATTCATTAAGACCTGTACAGAGTTTAAACTGATCTGTTAATCTCTGGTGTCGCTGCAATAATTAGACAATTGATGGGCCAGAAAGCGACCTCTGTCCTTAATGGGGAGACATCTCATGACCCATTTTTCTCCTACCCATTTTTCCCCTATATACCAAAATATAACCCCAAAGGACACAAGTCACTTTGGTTCAGGACTCGTTGCTAAACCTGATTTGTATCATCACATTGGTTAAGTCACAGGGGCAGTGTCACCAAATAGCTGCAGCTTCGGTTGCCATATACGGTATTACCCAAGACCACTCAGGCGTCAAAAGCATATGATCAGTCAGATTGAATCAAGGTTGTGTTGGTCCTGATGTCTGTATACATTCGAATTTGGGTGCTGTTGTTGATGGTATCAGGCACAGCAGAACAGTGCAGGACTGACCATGTTTATGAGAGATTTTCGTTTTCATAGCACATTTCATGGTGGTCTGGACAAGCCCAGCAGCAGGTCAGACTGTTAGCTGCAGCTGCCACTTGATTCAGGTAGTGGTTTTGAATCAAGGGCAGTGGTTCCAGCTGGGGGCAGTTTTGCCCTCCAGGGGACATTTGGCAATGTCTGAGCCATTTTTATTTGTCACAACTAGAGGGAAGGTGCTACTGGCATCTAGTGGGTAGAGGCCAGTGTAACTGCTAAACAACGAATTATCTGGCCTAAAATATTAATAGTGCCAAGGTTGAGAAACTGACCTAGGGAACAAATTGTGCATTAATTATTTCCCTTCCAGCTAGGCATGGTGGTTCACACCTGTAATCCCAGCACTCTGGGAGGCTGAGGCAGAAGGATCGCTTGAGCCAGGAGTTTTAAGACCAGCCTGGGTCTTAATATGACACATTAGTTTCAAGAGCTGTAATTGTATGGTCAAAGTCAGTTGGTCAGACCGAAACAGCAACGTCATAGCCTAAGAAGGTCTTAACAGCAGTCAGCCCCTCCGCCATGAGTTGCCCTAACAGGAGGTCAAATGGCCAGTGTAGTCAGTCAGTTAGGAGCAAGCGGGCCCATGTCCTGTATAGTATGGCCTTATTTACCTCCAGACAAATGGGATAACTTTAGCAGGGGTCACCAAGACTGGCATGCATGAGAAAGAGTTCTTTACTGGGTGCCTAGTCCGCCATGGTGGATGTGTTGCCATTGTGAGGACAATCCAGGTGATGCTGGCTTCATCAGCAGCTTGATTCCACTAGGTGTTATCAGTCACAGGTGTTATCAGCCCTTAACTGTAGTCATCTACATGAATGACCCAGATGTTCTGGTTGGCAGCCACAATTTATTTTCATAGTTTATAGCCTTAAAAGAGATGTCTTTAGTCTGCCTTTCAACTGGCAGACCAGATGTCTAGGCCATTAGTAACAGCCCAAGTCAGCAAAAACTAGTGTGGTGGCTCACACCTGTAATCTCAACTTTGGGAGGCTGAGGCAGGAGAATCACTTGAGTACAAGAGTTCAAGACCAGCCTGGGCAACATAGCGAGATGCCCATCTCTACAAAAATTTTAAAAAGCAGGTCATGGGGACACACACCTGTAGCCCCAGCTACTCAGGAGATTGAGGTAGGAGGATCCCTGAGTCCAGGAGGTTGAGACTGCAGTGAGCTGTGATCACACCACTGCACTCCAACCTGGGCAACAGCACAAGACCCTAACTCTAAAAATAATAATTTTTAAAATAGGGCAAGGTTAATCAAAAGCAGTATTGGCTATGAGAACTGAGTTCCGCCCACTGAGCAGGGACTTCATTCACTTTAGTTGCATGGCTAGCACTGAGGTTGGATTGCAACAGCAACACAATGGATACTACCAGCTTTCCATTCTGCAGAGCCATCAGTGAATCAGGCCCAATCATTTAGGAGACTTAGGTGAAGTAAGGACCCCATTGACCCAACAGGTGCAAGTACGCTTCACGCAGTGGAGTGCTAGATAAAGTTTTCCAGGAGTTTCTACCACCACTTCATGAAAAACCAAGATGATCCTAAGGCTGCTACATCCCAGAACACACTGTTTTTTATCAGCAAGGCTTGTTTAGTGAGGCATGCGGTCTCCAATACCCAAAGCCCTCCAATAAGCCTAGAAGCAGCAAAAGGTTAAAGAGATAGCAGTTTGTCCTTGACTGCCAGAGGGATTAAGCACTGTGAATCCATCCACACAGTCCCAAGAAACTACTTGGTGAACAGGCTCCTGAATTGTTTTGGAGTTTTATCAAACACTCCTGTTGGTGGAGGTGTGATGAAACCACAGTCAAGGTATGAGATTGAGAATTCTGAGTTGTCAAACAACTGGACAGCATCCTCGCTCTCATGTGAAAACTGTGGCCGTCAGAGTAGAAACACTTGTGTTTAAATACTGACACACACACACACACACACACACACGGCAAATGGCAGAGGAGTTTGTTCCATTAACACTTTTCTAAATACAGCAGTGCCCTGAATGGGAGAACCTCCTCTGAATACATGAAGTGCACAAGCATGTACACATCAGTCTCACATTTAGCAGTGCAAAATAGAACGCTGAATTGGCCCAGAGGGACTCACACACTTAAATATAAAAATATTTTTGCCTGGGCGCGGTGGCTCAAGCCTGTAATCCCAGCACTTTGGGAGGCCGAGGTGGGTGGGTCATCTGAGGTCAGGAGTTCAAGACCAGCCTGACCAACAATGGAGAAACCCTGTCTCCACTAAAAATACAAAATTAGCCAGGCATGGTGGCACATGCCTATAATCCCAGCTACTGGGGAGGCTGAGAAAGGAGAATCACTTGAACCTGGGAGGCAGAAGTTGCGGTGAGCCGAGATTGTGCCATTGCACTCCAGCCTAGGCAACAAGAATGAAACTCCCGTCTCAAATATATATATATATATTTTTATAAATTTAAAAAACCTTTTTCTCCACTGCAAGTTTTGCCCAAACCCTGTCAGTTGAATTTGGATGCTTTATTTCCTTATTTACAGTAGCACTGGCAAACTTTTCTCTGTGAAAAGCCAGATAAATAGTTTTGGCCTTGTGGGCCAAGAAGCAAAAGTGGGATGTAGGCATATAACAAGAGGAAACAAATCTCCACAAAATTATTAATGAAGTTCAAACTATCATGATAATAATTGAGTACTTTTCTGTAATACAGATCTACTAATGAGGAAAAAAATGGAATTTTTTTCTTTTGGGATGGGGAATAACATTTCATTAAATTAGAGCTTAGTGATTCCCATTATAAAAATGAGTTGCAAATTTTCATCTGTGAACAGTGACTTGTAATGAGATTTTATGTATTTCTTTTTTTTTTTTTTTTGAGACGGAGTCTCACTCTGTTGCCCAGGCTGGAGTGCAGTGGCGCAGTCTTGGCTCACTGTAACCTCCACCCACTGCAACCTCTGCCTCCCAGGTTCAAGCGATTCTCCTGCCTCAGCCTCCCAAGTAGCTGGGATTACAGGAGCATGCCATCACGCCTGACTAATTTTTGTATTTTTAGTAGAGACGGGATTTCACCATGTTGGCCAGGCTGGTCTTGAACTTCTGACCTCAAGTGATCCACCTGCCTTGGCCTCCCAAAGTGGTGGGATTACAGGCATGAGCCACAGTGCCTGGCCTGTATTTCATTTTTGAAGATGTCTTTTCACAGGTAAAATGTGTGGCACTCAAAATGTTTGAGCGTGGTATCGCTGCAGTTTGCAGTGTGCACCGCAGTGTGAAGTGATGAGTGCACCACCTCAGTGTGAACTGCACCTGCACCACTGCAGTTGTAGTGTAAAAAGCAGCAAGTGGGCCAGGGGCTGTGGCTCATGCCTGTAATTCAGCACTTTGGGAGGCTGGGGCAATAGGATCCTTTTGAGTCCAGGAGTTTAAGGCCAGCCTGGGCAACATAGTGAGACCCCATCTCTATTTAAAAACAGATTAAAAATGTTTTGAAGCAGAAACACAATATTTAAAGATAAATGAGTATGATCATGTTCCAATACGACTTGATTTGTGGATATTTATGTTTATTTTGAATTTCATATAATTTTTACACGTAGTAAAATATTTTTTCAAATCTATAAAAATAGAAAAAACATTCTCAGCTTGCAGACTATACAAAAATGGAAACTGGCCAGATTTACCATAGGCAGCAATTTGCCAACTCAGCCTGGACTAAGGATTATATCACATGGATGGTTAGCAATTATAACTGCAGCTGCTTTTAAGATCATAGGTGAAGAAGTCCCTGATACAGAAAATCAGAGCAAGGACACAGAATGCTAAAAACTGAAATTTAGGAAAACTTTACCTGCAAAAGATTTTTTTTTTTTTTTTTTGAGACAGATTCTGGCTCTGTCTCCCAGGCTGGAGTGCAGTGGCACAATCTCGGCTCACTGCAAACTCCTCCTCCAGGGTTCAAGTGATTCTCCTGCCTCAGCCTCCCAAGTAGCTGGGATTACAGGCCCACGCCACCAAGCCCGGCTAATTTTTGTAGTTTTAGTAGAGACAGGGTTTTGCCACGTTGACCAGGCTGGTCTGGAACTCCTGACCTCAAGTGATCTGCCCAGCTTGGCCTCCCAAAGTGCTGGGATTACCAGCCTGGCCAACATGGTGAAACCCCATCTCTAATAAAAATAACAAAATTAGTTGGGCATCGCGGCACACGCCTGTAATCCCAGCCTCTCAGGAGGCTGGGGCAGGAGAATCGCTTGAACCTGGGAGGCAGAGGTTGCAGTGGGCTGAGATTGCGCCATTGCGCTCCAGTCTAGGCGACAAGAGCGAAACTCCGTATCAAAAATTAAAAAAAGAATATACTGCCTACGTAACACTACTTAATCAGAAAAAAACCCTAGTAAGACATATTCAAGCAAAATTACTGGATTTTAAAGAAACAGAAGGCTGGGCGCGGTGGCTCACGCCTGTAATCCCAGCACTTTGGGAGGCCAACGTGGGCGGATCATGAGGTCAGGAGATCGAGACCATCCTGGCTAACACGGTGAAACCCCGCCTCTACTAAAAATACAAAAAATTAGCCGGGCGTGGTGGTGGGCACCTGTAGTCCCAGCTACTTGGGAGGCTGAGGCAGGAGAATGGCATGAACCCAGGAGGCAGAGCTTTCAGTGAGCCGAGATCATGCCACTGCACTCCAGCCTGGGCGACAGAGCAAGACTCCGTCTCTTAAAAACAAACAAACAAAAAAAACAGAAAGGCTGGGCACGGTGGCTCACGCCTGTAATCCCAGCCCTTTGGGAGGCCGAAGCAGGCGGATCACAAGGTCAGGAGATCGAGACCATCCTGGCTAACATGGTGAAACTCCGCTTCTACTAAAAATACAAAAAAATTAGCCAGGCATGGTGGTGGGTGCCTGTAGTCCCAGCTACTCAGGAGGCTGAGGCAGGAGAATGGCGTGAACCTGGGAGGCGGAGATTGCAGTGAGCTGAGATCGTGCCACTGCACTCCAGCCTGGGCGACAGAGTGAGACTCCATCTCAAAAAAAAAAAAGAGAAAAAACTGGGGGGCCTCTACCCAAAATCGAAGACTTTTAAAAGAAATTTAATTATCATACTTTTCACTAGCAATGCTTTAAGTTATTTTTAAAAAAATGGGAGTAGCATATTTAAGATGCTTAAAGAGTGAGCCAAGGAGCTAAGGATGCAGCAAAAGTGACTTTGAGATATAAAGTACTCTGACAAATTATACTCACCATGGAAGAATAAGAACTTCCTAAGGAACCTACCAAAGGACATGCTTCAGACAACCAAAATAACTAGAGAGCCATCAATCTAAAGACTGGTGGTGGGCATTAAACATAGTTACTTGTGGCCAGGCGCGGTGGCTCATGCCTGTGATCTCAGCACTTTGGGAGGCCAAGGCGGGTGGATCACCTAAGGTCAGGGGTTCGAGACCACCCTGGCCAACATGGTGAAACCCCGTCTCTACTAAAAATACAAAAAATTAGCCGGGTGTGGAGGCCGGCACCTGTAATCCCAGCTACTTGGGAGGCTAAGGCAGAATGACTTGAACCCGGGAAGCAGAGGTTGCAGTGAGCTGAGATTGTGCCACTGCACTCCAGTCTGGGCGACAGAGCAAGACTCTGTCTCGAAAAAAAAAAAAAAAAAGCATTATTTTTGGAACCTCTTTCAAATGAGCCCTTCTAAAAATAGAATACTATGCCAACCCCTATTCCAAGGTGTAGCAGATTAGAGCTTGATTATGGATTATACTATTACCTTACTAAATGATATCCAGCCTCAGTGCATCAAGAGGAAAACCACCATTTATGTAATAATCAGTCCTCATCCCATGACCTCTTTTTCTACCCTGGGGAGGGAGCCCCTGCCATTTGGGACCCATATCTATGTCTAAACCAGCCTTTAGTAGAAAGTAAGGCATTTGTTTCTTGGCTAAGGGACATTAATAGGGAATATCACTCATTCCTTTATTCAACAAATATTGAACTAGGCAATGATGATCTGACAATTAATCAGTGCCCTACCACCACCAAAAACACTGTCCTCATGGAATTTTTCTCATAGACACGAGTAAACAAAACTGGAAAAAAATCACAAGTGTCAGAGGGCACCACCAGATTCTACGGAGGAGACATTATTAGAACAAACTTCAATTCCTCATTCAGGTTGCTTAAAAATAAACAACAAACAGCAGAGACTTCAAGGAGGTGAAATAAACACTGTGGCCATGTAAAGGAGAATATTTCAAGCACAGGGAAGAGCAAGGGGAATAGGAGTAAGAGACAAGTCAGATGCAAGATCACATGGGATCTTTGAATGAATCGTCTAAAACAGATTTTCAGGGCCTGGTATAGTGGCTCATACCCGTAATCGGGAGGATCACTTGAGGCCAGGAGTTCCAGACCAGCCTTGGAGCCTTGGGAATATAGCAAGACCCCATTTCCACATGAAATATTTTAAAATTAGCCAGCCATGGTGGCACACACCTGTAGCCCCAGCTACTCAGGAGGCTAAGGCAGGAGGATCACTTGAGCCCAGGAATGCAAAGCTGCAGTGAGCTGATTGTCTCACTGCATTCCATTCTGGGCAACAGAGTGAGATCCTGCCTATAAAAAATAAAAGACTTCCACAAGATAGGACATAGACAAGGTAGGCAGGAACAATCCAAGTAGTAATGGTGGCTTGTTTCAAATAGCAGAAGATGGTAATAACTGATTAGACTCCAGATATATATAGTTTGAATCAACTGTGAATGGTCAAGGATGACCACAGAGGATTTTGGCCTAAGCAACCAAAAGGGTGGGTACAATTGAGATAATACCATTTTAGAACACTGTATGTTAAATGCCTGTCTGACATCCAAGTGGGGATATCAAGTAGGCACTTAGACAAACCTGGATGTCCCAAAGAAAGGTATAGGCTAGAAATATAAAAATCTCCATTAATTTAAAACCAAGAACCTAGGGAGAGTATAGAAATGTCTAACGACCAAGCCCTAGGGCCTTCTTTTTTTTTTTTTTTGAGACGGAGTCTCACACTGTCTCCTCAGCTGGAGTGCAATGGCCCAATCTCAGCTCACTACAACCTCTGCCTCCCAGGTTCACGCAATTCTCCTGCCTCAGTCTCCCAAGTAGCTGGGATTACAGGTGCACACCACCACACCCGGCTAACTTTTTGTATTTTTTAGTAGAGACAGGGTTTCACTGTGTTGGCCAGCCTGGTCTGTAACTCCTGACCTCGTGATCCGCCCGCCTCAGCCTCCCAAAGTGCTGGGATTACAGGCGTGAGCCACTGCACCCGACCAGCCCTAGGGCCTTCTAAAACTGATTAAAAGTCTAAAAAATGAACTAGTAAAGGAGTAGCCAATGATGTAGGAGGAAAAGCTTGAGTCGAGGATCTGGAAGACAGTTAAAATCAGGAAGAAATCAACTGTCAAGAGTCACTAACAGGACAAAGTGATAAGCAAGTCACTAACAGAGGTCAAGTAAAAGACCTCTAGTAAAAGAATGGACCACTGAATTTAGCAACAAAATCACTGCTAATCTTGACAATGAAATGTCTTGGAGTGGTGTTGGGAGGAAAGCCTAACTGCAGCAAATTGAAGAAAAATAAAATAAAAACTAAAAAATGTGGCTGGGCACCATGGCTCACACCTATACTCCCAGCACTTTGGAGGCTGAGGCAGGAAGATCCCTTGAGGCCAGGAATTTGAGACCAGTCTGGACATAACAGCCAAGACCCTACAAAGAACTTAAAAACTAGCAGATTAGGCCTGGTGCAGTGGCTCACACCTGTAATCTCAGCAATTTGGGAGGCCAAGGCGGGAGGATCACTTGAGGCCAGGAATTCAAGACAAGCCTTGCCAACATGGCGAAACCCCCATCTCCACTAAAAAATGCAAAAATTAGCCCAGCATGGTGGTGGGTGCCTATAATCCTAGCTACTGGGGAGGCTGAGACACAAGCATCGCTTGAACCTGGGAGATGGAGGTTGCAGTGACCCAAGATCGCACTAACACACTCCAGCCTGGGTGACAGTGAGACTGTCTTTAAAATAAAAAAAGCTGGGTGTGGTGTGGCACAGGCCTGTGTCCCAACTACTCAGGAGGCCTGAGAGGGAGGGCTGCTTGAGCCCAGGACTTTAGGGTTACAGCGAGCTATGATCACACCATTCTACTCCATCCTGGGTGACAGAGTAAGATCATGTCTCTCAAATGTAATTTTTTTTTCAACAGTCTCATTTTGTAGCCCAGACTGGAGTGCAGCTCACTGCAACCTCCACCTCCCAGGTTCAAGTGATTTTCATGCCTCAGCCTCCCGAGAAGCTGGGATTACAGGCACCCCGCCACCACACCTGGCTAATTTTATTTTTTTTAGGTGAGACGGTGTCTCACCATGTTGGCCAGGCTGGTCTTGAACTTCTGACCTCAAGCAATCCACCCACCTCAGCCTCCCAAAGTGCTGGGATTACTGGCATGAGCTACGCACTTGACCTTTAAAATATATTTTATATGTAAAAAAGTTTTAAAAATTAAAAAAAATTAAATGATACCAATATATAAAAAATTCCTTTGAGCTTTGCTATAAAGGGACTTAGTAAGGTGCTCTGGGAGGGTATACTAGTATTTGTATACTAGTATACAAGGGACAGCGAGGAATTGATAAAGGTGTGAATTGCTGAAGCCATGAGGCTGATTGGGCAAAAAAAAAAAAGGCTGTCTTATGTCTTAGCACAATCCATCCAGTGGTATGACAGAAGGTAGTATGATTAACACATGCATAGGTGGCAGAATATAGGTAACAGAAATTTGTGGGGTTCTTTTCTCTGCTTTAAACTTTTTTAGTGATTAAAGGAAGCAAGGTTATCAGCTAAGCAAGAAATGAGAAAACTGAAAAGGCTTGAGAAGAGGTAGAAACTGAATGAATGAGTGACTATAGGTGGATAGCACTAAATGCCCACTTGGTAACAGCTTCTCCGCCCCATTTCAGCTTCACAGTAAAGGTGCATAGTAGTATGTTTATATCCAATTTGTCTGGGTCAGAAAAGTTTACCAGCTGTCAAATTTACTGTCTAATCCACCAAGCTGTCAGATTATTTTTAAAAAAAGAATGTTCAGAAGCAAACCATCACAAATAGCACTTTTTATTTGCCACTATTTGAAGTCTGAACTTTAAACAGATTCTTGGACTGGTGGTTCATATCCATCAGCTCGTTCAACTTTAGCACCTGTCTCGTCCCCAGTGGCTTTTCCAGAACTACTGCCTTCACCATGAAGCTCCATGAGCTTTCCCACTAAAAGGCAAAAAAAAAAAAAAAAAAAAAAACCAAAAAACTGTTAGTATATCTTGAAATAATGGTCATCACTACTATGCAAGCATGACAGGAAGAAAAAGAAGGCCATGATATGGCCCCACACTCCTCCTCCACCCAAAAACAATGTATTTGGCCCTACAGGAATCATGTGATTTCTCACTTACATTCAAACTTGGGCTTCTTCAGCATTTTTACTTTTCTAACGAAGACATCATGGAGAGGATAAATAGATTGGCAAGCCTTTTCTATGTCTTTTCCAATGCTGTCTGGAATCCTGCAAACCAGTAACAGTAAATTTTTTTCTAAAAGTCCTAGTTCTCAGATATAAGCCATTTCCTTTAAAAGTAGAGAAGCCTTGGAATAAACCTACACATAACACCTACCTCATTTAACCTGCATAAATCCTCCTGTTAAGATAAGCCATTATTTACCTTTCACATGTAAAGGATAGATGATCTGAATTACATAGCTAGCTAGTGGCAAAGTTAGTAGAGTCTTCTGAGTCCAAGCCTTATGCTTTTTCCATTACACCCTCTTAGCTAACTGTATATTGCATGGGAACATCAGAAAAATGTTGTTATCACTGGCCATCATCTGGGACCGAAACTTTTTTCATCACTTATTCCCGTGCATCATTAATCATGAAAGGTTTTGTCTATTCAGTGTATTTTTTCTTTGTGTGTGTATATATATATACGTATATTTTTTATTTTTTGGGACAGGGTCTCCCTATATTGCCCAGGCTGGCCTCAAACTCCTGGGCTCAAACAATCCTACCACCTCAGCCTCCTGAGTAGCTGGGACTCCAGGCACATCCCACCCCACTCAACTTATTCAGTGTATTTTCCAAGTAGGGGAAAAACATTTCCTGTCCTTCAACTCCATCTACTGTGAGACAGCTTCATTCAAAATAAATAAACACGAAAAAACTGTTATCATTTAGAGTACTGGCAGATCACCTGAAGTCAGGAGTTCAAGACCAGCCTGGCCAACATGATGAAACCCCATCTCTACTAAAAATTTAAAAAAATTAGCTGGGTATGGTGGCAGTCCCCTGTATTCCCAGATACTCAGGAGGCTGAGGCTCAAGAACTGCTTGAACCCAGGAAGCAGTGGTTACAGTGAGCCAAGGAGGATCACAATACTGCACTCGAGCCTGGGCAACAGAGCAAGACTCTGACTCAAATAATAATAGTAATAATAATCATATTTACTGAGTACTTAACACTCTTTCACTTAAAGAGATATAGCTAGAAGGATTCACAGACAGGATTTCAACAGACCTTTACCTTGTCTCATATGCGTTCTCTCATCTCAGGAATAATCCAATACTCAAGGTTGTGTTGTGTGAGGAAGCAAAGAAACACTTACAATTTATTGACCACTTCTTTCAAGTCATTTGTCTGCACCTCTCGGGTCATGATTTCCATCATCTTCTTCCGGATTTGGCGGACCTGTTGGTGCTGAGCATAAGAGGTCTTCCGTATCTGATTGTTGCGTTTTTTAGTAAAACCAACACAGAACAGACGAAGCAAGTAACCATCGGTAGTCTTGACATCAACGTGAGCTTCAATCATTGTCTGGAGAAAAAAGATACCGTCAGATTTAACAGGTTTTACGTTATCCATTTATCCCTCAAGTTCTAATTTTAAAAAGCTGGATTGTCAAACACTCATTATTAAATATAAAGTATCCTAACATAAGTAACATCTCTTTAAGTTTACAGAATTAACTTCCTTGAACTTACCAAGTTACCCCCAAATTCTTACCCAATTAAATAACCAGGTCCTCTCAACTGCCCTCCCTCCTCCTTTCTACCCTCCATTAACACTACCACTATCTTGACGGCATCCAAACCCACATCCATTGCATATACATATACCCCTTTAAACAGCTCATACCCCCTCAAGTGTAAAACTACACCAGAGGAAAATAGGTCTGAGAGGATCCATGGTATTCTATGGTATGAACACATCTACAGTGATTATGTCATTTTTCAAAAAACTGTGTTGTAAATAGGTGACTGCTATAACTCTAAATGCACACTTTGAAAGACGTCTTTTATGTTCCAAACTAAAGCCATGCTGATGATTAAATACCCAATTTCAGAGCTAAAATATAATTAAAAACCCCTAGTTAGTGGTCATATTATTGCCTAAATTGAAAAAACAAAAAACATCTTGGGTAGTGATGAAAACTGATTTACCTTGTTTGCATTTTGTAAATTTTATACCTTAGTATAAAAAAAAACTAATCAAATACAATTTACAGCTAAGGGACCTTAAAATATTTCTAGAAATGTAAACCATAAAGCCTTAGAGGAATGTCAGGATAAATATAATGGTATAATCAGTATGTATCATTTGGGACTGAAACATTTTGTCATCATTCATTCCCACATACAAAATATTCGAACTGTGCCAGGTGCAGTGGCTCACACCTGTAATCCCAGCACTTTGAGAGGCTGAGGCGGGCAGATCACTTGAAGTCAGGAGTTCGAGACCAGCCTGGCCAATATGGTGAAACCCTGTCTCTACTAAAAATACAAAAATTAGCTGGGCGTGGTGGCGGGTGCCTGTAATCCCAGCTACTTGGGAGGCTGAGGCATGAGAATCCCTTGAACCCAGGAGGAGGAGGTTGCAGTGAGCAGAGATGGCGCCACTGCACTCCAGCCCGGACGATAAGAGACTCAATCTCCCAAAAACAAAAAACTCCCACAAAATATTCCAACTGGATAGTTAGCCAGACACATCTGAAATATTTTCATTTCATCCTCACAATTCAATAAAATGACACTCTTATCTGCACTTTACAAATAAAGAAACCGAGGCTTAGAAAACAAGTTACTTTCCAACGAGAACACAATAGGCAAATGGAGCCCAGATTTTAACCTCACTCCAGAGGCTCTGCCACAATTATGCTCTACTGCCACAGTTAATCAACATTCACTCAATTCTGAGGTCAAAAAACATCCTTAAGACAGGCAAAACCGCCCACCTGCACCTAAACGTTCCTCAAAAAACCACTAATCTATGCAGCAAGAAAATCTGACTTTGATGATACACCACTATTAAATCTTAGATTTAAATAGTAAGTAAAATATGGTGTGGCAACCCCAGAGTTAGCACTCAACAACGGCAAGAAAACAAAAATTTAAAATGAACTTTGTGGACATTTCACTGGTCTCAATAAATAAATAAAATGAACTTGCTCCTTCCAGTCATCAAACCATGCTATCCTTGGTCAAACACCCATAGCACAACCACTCTAAGGAACTTTGGGTCTCACCTGCCATTTTTTGACCATGGAACACATTTTGTCACGGGTAAGATCCATGCCATGGAAGTTAGTCAGGCAGTTTTTACCCTGAACATCTTCAGTAATCAGCTTGAATTTTCTAAATGCAACTTCATCATTCTGCAAATCAGCAAGACTCACTTCAAACACACGACCCTTGAGACCATCAGATGCAATTTCTACAAAAGAAAAAAACAAGTATCTTAACATTTAGGAACCATATAAGCAAAGTCAAGCCTGTAAACTGAGGGTAGAAATTAAGTTAATGGTAAATTATAAAGACCTTAACCTTTGTTATCAAATCTATCCAGACACCAGTGACTTATCAACAGTACTTATTTGAAGCTCAGAACTACCCATGGCACATTTTCTTAATTCAAAAAGCACCATCTTGCTTCTCTCCAAGTGCTGTACTAAAAATGATCACCACAGGTGCCAAGGCTGCAACCAAGAGCTGACATTTCCTTAAAGTCTCCCACCACAGGACCAACAACAGACCAAGATGCCTGCTACAATATACAAGCGCCAACTTAAGGAAAATACAAACCAAGAATAAGCTACTTACTGGTTCCTTGGGTCCTGGTGACGAGCGTCTTTCCAATATTTCTTATATTGAACATAGCAGGTGCTTTCACATCATACCAATCTTTCTTAGAAAATGGATCAACCCTGGATTTTAAGAAGATGCTTAAGTTCCATTGCAGATCAATTCTTACTGTATTTTTCACTGTTAATGGTATTTCCCATTAATATTTTAAAAAGCTAACCGGCAATTTGATACCAAAGTATATCTCACAGTGAGGTGAGGGGAACAAACATAAATCTAGCTCTTCCCACTGTACGTTTCACTGCATGCATCAGACTTTGAAAGGTTATGTCCACTTCCCACCCTCATCGGTCCATCCACTACACAGGCACTTAGAATAACATGCATCGGTCCTTCCACTACACAGGCACGAGTAACATGCAATCTCATTAACTTTGCTGGCACGTAATGGCATGTACTGGTAACTAAGAGACTGCATGGCCCCAAAGCTTAGCAGGAGCTCGCAGATTCCAGCGGGACCAAGCAAAGGCGAGATTGACGGGTCCTGAATGGATAGAAGGGTGCTTTCCTCAACTCCTGCTGTCGCAGTGCCATCAAACACTCGCAGAATTGAGGCAGCTCGTGAGCCCACAAAACTAACATTCCAGCCGAGTCGCGCCGGCAAGCCGGCTCAAACGCGACGCGCGCAAGGACCAGAAGGCCTGGGAAAGGCAGCCGACCTGCCGCTACTCAACACCGACCCTCCAGGCCGCGTTCCTGGGTGCACCAACCCGCCACGGCCCGCACAATCCGACTGGAATCCTCGCCATCCGGCCTACGCCGCGATCTAGGACCAGCCCGCCGATTCCAGCAGACCCCCAAAAAGCAAGACGCCACGACAGTCGCGACTTACACTTTCTTCTTGGCTCCCTTTTTGCCGCCTTTCGTAAGGCGCTTGTTCTTGCCAACCGCCATGGTGCTGGTCAGAGAGCCAAAAGGGCGGAAGTGGGAGTCGCGCGAGAACTTAGGCGTACGGGGGCGGGGCGCGCCGTCTACGTGACCTTTGCCCTGTTATTCTTCCGGCCTCAAGAATTCCGGGACAGTAGAGAGCGCCACTCTTTCTACTGTGGTTGCGACATCGCCATCGTGTGTGGGGAGGCCGCGCGGCATGCCGCGGGCTCACTGGAGGCTGCGCTGTGTAGACCAAGGCGTCGGTGGCCTGACGTGCAGGCGTCTGGTTACCTGTGGTTTCTGTGGCTGTGACGTCGGGAAGTAAGTTTCTGTAAAACGAGACGCCCACTCAACATCGTTCAAAGCTGAACTCACCGTCTAACCCCCAAACCTGCTTTTTGAGAGCATTGGCTTTGGAGTCAGTCAGCGGATCTGATTCAAATGCCGGTTTCAACAGGGCTTTGCTTGAGACCGACCTCTCCACGCTTGTTTCCTCATGCGTAATATGGGGGTGATAAAACGGTCGGCTTCATGAGGTTTCATAGGGCTAAATGAGCATCACTCCAGAGATGCTAGCGACGTTCTGCTTGTTGATGTGGATGCTGGTTCATCTCAGGTGTTGTTGCTTTGTGAACATTCACTAAGCTCTACGCTTATTTGTGTCCTTTTCTATATGTCTGTTATATATTGATTAAAAGGTTTTTTTAAAATAGAGTGAGACCGAACTCGTTGGCTCACACCTGTAATCCCAGCACTTTAAGAGGCTGAGGCAGGGGAATCAACTGAAGCCAGGAATTGGAGACTAGCCTGGGCCACACAGCCAGACCCCGTCTTTACAAGAAAATGATAAAATTAGCAGGGCGTTGGCCGGGCGCGGTGGCTCACGCCTGTAATCCCAGCACTTTGGGAGGCTGAGGCGGGCGGATCGCCTGAGCTCAGGAGTTCGAGACCAGCCTGGCCAACATAGTGAAACCCCGTCTCTACTAAACATACAAAAAATTAGCCGGGTGGGTGCCTGTAATCCCAGCTACTCGGGAGGCTGAGGCACGAGAATCTGAGCTCAGGAGGCGGAAGTTGCAGTGAGCCGAGATCGCGCCATTGCCTGGCCAACAAGAGTGAAACTGCGTCAAAAAAAAAAAAGTGAGATCTCCAAATGTTTCCATTTTTGCAACTAATCCAAACCCGCCTCCCCCATTTTTTTTAACTGTAGGGGTTAACAGAGCACATCCTGGCAAGGTGTGGCTGGCTAGCTCAAGTGTGCAGCCCTCGGAAAGCATCTGGCCCATACAGGCTTGGTACTCAGCCAGTGGTGTGTTGAGTTCCCTTCTCTAACTTCCCCTCTGGCAGAAAACCCTGTGACCAAGCCAAAACCAACCCTTACTTACAAGGCCCCCTGCAAGCTTTTAAACTTACAATCCCTTCCAGTCCTGCTAGCCTCCATCCCCTACCTCCCACTACACCCACCCCCCAAGACAACCTTCCTAAACCTCTAGTAGGGTCCTGAAATCTTTCAGTAATTCCATAAATCTCAGTTGCCTGGAGGATAAATTCAAAGTCTTAGTTTCATAATAGTATGAATGTACTTAACACTACTGAACTCTACACTTAAAAAAGGTTAAGGTAGCCCTGCCAGGTGTCTCAGGCCGCTAGTTCCAGGTATTCGGAAGGCAGAGGCAGGAGGATCACTTGAGGCTAGGAGTAGGACTCCAGCCTGGGCAACATAGTGAGACCCCATCTCTTTTTTAAAAAGATGATTAAGATGGTTAATTTGGCCAGGTGGTGGCTCATGCCTGTAATCTCAGCACTTTAAGAGGCCAAGGCAGGAGGTTTTCTTGAGCTCAGGAGTTTGATACCAGCCTGGGCAACATTACAAGACCTAATCTCAACTAAAAATAAAAAAAAATTAGCCCGGCTTGATAGCTCATGCCTGTAGTCCCAACTACTCGGAAGGCTGAGGTAGGAGGATCCCCAGCACTTTGGGAGGCCAAGGCAGATGGATCACTTGAGGCCAGGAGTTCGAGACCAGCCTGGACAACATGGTGAAACCCCGTCTCTACTAAAAATACAAAAATTAGCTGGGCGTGGTAGTGCACACCTGTAGTCTCAGCTACTCGGGAGGCTGAGGTACGAGAATCGCTTGAACCTGGGAAGTGGAGGCTGCAGTGAGCCGAAATCACACCACTGCACTCCAGCCTGGGCTGGACAGAGTGAAACTCCATCTAAAAAAAAAAAATATATATATATATATATATATGTATGTATATGTATATATTATGGGCCCCCAGTCTGCCTACTCCAGCATAAAAACCAAACTTACCTTCTTCCTGGTCTGATTCCTCTTTCTGCCCAAGAGTGAAAGCCACAGGGAGAGACCTTAATGAAGTCAGCTGCATCTAATTTATTTTAGCAGCACCAGCACCTAAGGGATTTGTCAGAGGTCTGTATTTCAATCCTCAACTTTGTTTTGTAGTAAAAGCTTTAAAAATTTTCTATTAATATTTTTCTGACCCTTTACATTAAATGGTGCAATCAGCAGTTTTAATGTAATTGTGTTGAATAAAAGTTAGGGGGTGTGAAATTAGTTTATTGGGTCTCAACCATCATTTAATATTTTCAGATAGAATAAAATGGAACAGGCCAGGCACGGTGGTTCACGCCTCAGCATTTTGGGAGGCTGAGACGAGTGAATCTTTTGAGCTCAAGAGTTGGAGACCAGCCTGGACAACATGGCAAAAAACGCTGTCTCTACAAAAAATACAAAAATGAGTCAGGTGTGGTGGTGACTTGTGGTCCCAGCTACTTAGGAGGCTAGGTGGGAGGATCGTCTGAGCCCGGGAGGTTGAGGCAGCAGTGAGCCATGATGGTACCACTAAGTGAGACCCTGTCTCTAAAAAAATAATAATAAAATGGAACAGAAAAATGTCAGAATACATCAAACCTAGTAAGGTGTCAATATTGTTTCATTGGCTGGGTGTGGTGGCTCACGCCTGTAATCCCAACACTTTGGGAGGCTGAGATGGGCAGGTCAGCTGAGGTCAGGAGTTGGAGACCAGCCTGGCCAACATGGTGAAACCCTGTCTCTACTAACAATACAAAAATTATCCAGGCATGGCGATGGGCACCTGTAATCCCAGCTATTTGGGAGGCTGAGGCAGGAGAATCACTGGAACCTGGGAGGCGGAGGTTGCAGTGAGCCGAGATTGCGCCACTGTACTCCAGGCTGGGTGACAGAGCGAGATTCCATCTAAAAAAAAAAAAAGTACAGTATTATAATCTTGTGGGATACTGGTATTGACTGGAAGTCATTATGTGGCACATAATTGTAGTAGACATTCAGTAACTTTAACTTTCCTTTTCTCTGTTCCCCAAAATAAATATAAGATTTATTATCTAGCTTTCTCTCCACTGCCCACTGACATTTATATCAACATCTCCCTGTCCTCAACCTTGTGATAACTTTATGTTGAGTGTTGCTCTTGTTGGAGTCATTTCCCATCCCTGTCTCCCCTGCAGAGTTTGTTGTGATTGCCAGATAGGAAGAAAGAACTTGTTCCAGGATATAAAGCAAGAGGATTGAGAACAAAAGCTGAGATTAAATCTGTACATGGTGATATTAGTGTCATTCTAAAAGTACAGAGGTACAACCAAACTGGATTCCTTCATACCATTGCTGTTCCTAAGCGCAGCACACGTCCAGGGCAGGGGCACTCCCTTTGCTTCACTATCCACACTGCCATCGTTGTTGCTGTTTTAACATGGGAATTGAAACCACTGCACTCCAGTGTGGGTGACAGAGAGACTCCTTCTCAGAAAAAACAAAACAAAACAAAACAAAACACTGCTCGTACTGTAAAAGCACAAGTGCTGGAACTTTCCTTCTAGTCAGCAACATTTCACGAAGTGAAAATCCAGGGCTAGAATCTAGTACAATCACTATTTGGTATCATGTAGGTCTAGGTTCAATCCCACCTTATCACATAGTTTTTTTTGTTGTCATTTTTGGTTTTAAACATTTACTTTAGGTTCGGGGTACATGGGCAGGTTTGTTATATTGGTAAACTCATGTCATGGGGGTTTGTTGTATAGATTGTTTTATCTAAGGTGCTAAGCCTAGTACCCACTAGTTATTTTTTCTGATCCTCTCCTTCCTTCCACCCTCCACCCTCCATTCTCAAGTAGTCCCCAGTGTCTGTGTTCTCCTCTTTGTGCCCATGTGTTCTCATTATTTAGCTCCCACTTATACACTTATAAGCGAGAATGTAGTATTTGGTTTTCTGTTCCTGTGTTAGTTTGCTATGGATAATGGCCTCAAGCTCCATTCTTGTTCCTGAAAAAGACATGATCTTGTTCTTTTTTTATGGCTGCGTAGTAGTCCATGGTGTGTATATACTACATTTTCCTTATCCAGTCTGCCATTGATGGGCATTTAGGTTGATTCCATGTCTTTGCTATTATCACGTAGCAGTTTGACTTCAGAAAAATTTTTAATCTTTCTGAACTTGTTTTCTCATTACCATATTAGTTCAGTTCAAGGCTGCCATGTTGGACAATTCCAGGAGAGCCACTCACATAGATTGCACAGGGAGTTACACAACAACTTGGTTCAGAAGCTGTAACAGAGACTTAAATAACAGTGGCATAAACAAAGTAGAAGTTGGCCAGGTGCAGTGGCTCACGCCTGTAATCCCAGCACTTTGGGAGGCCGAGGAGGGCGGATCATGAGGTCAGGAATTTGAGACCAGCCTGGCCAACATGGTGAAACCCCATCTCTACTAAAAATACAAAAATTGCCTGGGTGTGGTGGCAGGCACCTGTAGTCCCAGCTACTCGGGAGGCTGAGGCAAGAGAATCGCTTGAACCCAGGAGGCAGAGGTTGCAGTGAACTGAGATCGCGCTGTTGCACTCCAGCCTGGATGACAGGGCGAGACTCTGTCTCAGAAAAAAAAAAAAAAAACAAGGTAGAAGTTATTTCTCACTTATGTGACAGTCCAAGTGGATGCAGTCCAGGGCTGATGATGTGTATGCCCCATAGTGTTGGTTACCTAGGTGTCAGTGATTTCATCAGTCTTATTACTCTGCTATCCATACTGTGCTGTCATCCATGTGGTCTGGAATGAAAAGTCAACATTTACGCTGGGCGTGCAGTGGCTCATATCTGTAATTCTAGCACTTTGGGAGGCCAAGGCAGGAGGATTGCTTGAGCCCCAGAGTTCAAGGCTGGAGGGAGCTGTGATTGTACCACTGCACTCCAGCCTTGTTGACTTGTCTCTAAAAAATAGAAAGAAAAGTCAACATTTAGTCCAGCAGAGAGAGGGAGAAGCAAAGAGGAGGGCACATTCCTTTCCTTACACAGTACCATCCACAAGTTACACACATCCATTCTGCTCATGTCACTTTCCTGTGTCCCTAGCTACGAGACTGGCTGAGAAATGTAATAATAGAACTTAGCAGAAAAGCCATGTGCCCACCAAATATTCTGTTACTTTCCAAGAAGGGAAGAACAGATATTTAGGAACAATTATTATCTGTCTCCCTTACTTATAAGGTTTTTGTGAAAATTAAATGCATAGCAAAATATCTGGCATAAAGTAGATGCTCAAAAAAAGTTGCTTCCTTTCATTTTTTTTCCCATTCTTCTTACCCTTACCCTTTTACCAAAAAAGACAACTTATTTCCAACATTTGTTGATTAACAATCCATTTACAACAGATCAATAACAATTGTATAGAGTGAATTTTTTTTCTTTTTCTTTTTTATTTTATTTTATTGAGACAGTGTCTCACTCTGTTGCCCAGGGTGGAGTGCAGTGCTTACTGCAAACTCTGCCTACTGCAGCCTCCCACCTGGGTTTAAGTGATTCTCATTCCTCAGGCTCCCAAGTATCTGGGACTACAGGCGTGCGCCACCGTGCCCAGATAAGTTTTTTGTATTTTTAGTAGAGACAGAGTTTCACCATGTTGGCCAGGCTGGTCTTGAACTCCTGACCTCAGGTGATCCACCCATCCCAGCCTCCCAAAGTGCTGGGATTACAGGTGTGAGCCACCATGCCCGACCAATTTTTTTTTCTTAACTGGCTAATCGCAAAGTTCATACATCTGTAAAACTGTGGAATACAATGCGTGAAAGATTCTGAATATAAACCAAAAATAAAATTCTAAGCCCCCAACCAACTGAACGGACTCCTCCTGTCAGCTAAGAGCATTCCAAAGTAAACCTAAAACACTAGTTCAGGCCATGATGGGTCAGACATACCTCATTATACCCTCCTCCCCTTGGAATTCAGGTGCAACTGACCAGCATTAACATTGACAGAGACCTTAAGACTGACAAAGCCAACTCTTGTGGCAAGAAGATACCAACATGACAGATAGTGGGCCCTGAAAGAAATAAAATATTCTATCCCAAAATATATATTTTGGGGGATATGCTGGGGATTGGGAGGGGAGACAGGGTCCCACTCTATTGCCCAGGCTGGGGTGCAGTGACGTGATCTCGGCTCACTGCAGCCTCAATCGTCCTGGCTGAAGCAATCTTCCTACCTCAGCTTCTCAAGTAGCTGGGACTACAGGCATGTGCCATCATGCCTGGCTAATTTTTTCGTATTTTTTCTAGAGACAGGGTTTCGCCATGTTGCCCAGGCTGGTCTTGAATTCCTGGGCTCAAGCAATTTGTCAGCCTCGGCCTCCCAAAGTTCTTGGGATTACTGACATGAGCCACTGCGCCTGACCCCAAAATATATTTCTTTGACATATTTTTAAATGACCTTGCAAAACTGTCTCTTGTGGAGAAAAATCTACATTTTGTAGAGAATCCCCTTCCCTTTCCAGGTCTTTTTCCTCATCCAGGAGCGAATTAAGTCTGGCACCTTAATTAAGTCTGGCACCTTTTCATGTCTCATAAGAAACATTTACAATCTATTCTCTCTAAGCCTGCTACCTGGAGGCTTCATCTGCATAGTAAGAACTTTGGTCTCCACAACTCCTTATCTTAACGCAGACACTCCCTTCTATTGATTCTAGGTCTTTAGATAAACTCTTTCAACCTACTGCCAATCTGAAAATCTCTGAATCCATCTATGACCTGGAAGCCCCTCCACCAGACCTGACTTCAAATTGTCCTGTCTTTCCTGACCAATGTACATCTTTGTGTATTTTCGCTTTTTGTTTTTTGTGTTTTTTTGAGATGGAGTTTCGCTCTTGTACCCCAGGCTGGAGTGCAATGGCGCGATCTCAGCTCACCGCAACCTCCGCCTCCTGGGTTCAAGCGATTTTCCTGCCTCAGACTCCCGAGTTACTGGAATTACAGGCACCCACCACCACCACCTGGCTAATTTTTGCATTTTTAGTAGAGACAGGGTTTTACCATATTGGCCAGGCTGGTCTACAACTCCTGACCTCAGGTGATCCACCTGCCTTGGCCTCCCAAAGTGCTGGGATTACAGGCGTGAGCCACCGCGCCTGGGCTGTACATCTTACATGTATTGATTGATGTCCTGTGTCCCACTAAAACGTATAAAACCAAGCTGTAACCTGACCACATTGGGCACAGGTTCTCAGGATCTCCAGGGCTGTGTCATGGCCCATGGCCACTCATATTTGGCTCAGAGTAAATCTCTTTAAATATCTTGCAGAGTTTGACTCTTTTCATTGACATGCAGAAATTAAAGGCTTGGAAAATAGAATGAGCAGTAAGAACCTTGAATGTGCTGATTTCGATCAGAAGCTTGGCTTATAAAAACTAAGTAAGATAAATTCCAGCACTTTGGGAGGCCGAGGTGGGCAGATCACGAGGTCAGGAGACCGAGACCAGCCTGGCCAACATGGTGAAACCCCATCTCTACTAAAAATACAAAAATTAGCTGGGTGTGGTGGTGCACGCCTGTAGTCCCAGCTACTCCGGAGGCTGAGGCACGAGAATCTCTTGAAACGAGGTGGCAGAGGTTGCAGTGAGCCAAGATCGTGCCACTGCACTCCAGCCTGGCGACAAAGCAAGACTCTGTCTCAAAAAAAAAAAAAAAAACCCACAAAAATCTGAGTAAGATAATGGAAATGGTAATAAGCAAATATATGTGAGCAGTCCAGAAGACCCCAACATAGTCAGGGGCCAAATGACTGTGAGAGTCACCTTGATCTGTCATTTATCTTCCCCTAGATTAAAGGGAAGAAAGGATCTTGTTTCTGGAGGGAATTCAGTCTGGTCCTGGAGTGGAAATATTTTTGACTGAGGACAGAATAGTGACCCCAAGGGTCAGAAGTAGAGAAAGGTGCTTTTGACAAGATGAGTTGGAGAAGGATAATTTTAAAGAAAATGAGTTCATTCACTCACTCATTTATGTATTCATTCATTAGTGCTAGGTACTGTGATGTGGGTGTGAGAGGGAACAGCCTCTATCCTCAGGGATCTTGTGGTCTGGAATCTAAGGATATTGAGTAATGTGGGTCTCTGTTTACTTACACACTCCCATATCCATATATGGATTGTACTCAGCGATACCTTCACATGGTATACTAAAACAGCGATGTCCTGTACATACTACCATGAAGTCCATGTCAAGTCAAATTACAAAGCTTTCTTTTTTTTTTTTTTTCTTTTTGAGGTGGAGTTTCACTCTTGTTGCCCAGGCTGGAGTGCAATGGCATGATCTCGGCTCACAGTAACCTCTGCCTCCCAGGTCAAGCGATTCTCCTGCCTCAGCCTCCTGAGTAGCTGGGATTACAGGCATGCGCCACCATGCCCGGCTAATTTTGTATTTTTAATAGAGACGGCGGTTTCTGCGTGTTAGTCAGGCTGGTCTCGAACTCCTGACCTCAGGTGATCCACCCGCCTTGGCCTCCCAAAGTTCTGGGATAACAGGCATGAGCCACCGCACCTGGCAAATGACAAAGCTTTCAAAAGATTCACTCATTTTGTTTAAACTTTTTATTTTGTTTTATTTTTTTTGAGACAGGGTCATGGTCTGTCGCCCAGGCTGGAGTGCAGTGGTGCCATCACGGCTCACTGCAGTCTCGACCTCCTGGGCTCACAGGTGATCATCACAGTAACCTCTGCCTCCCGGGTTCAAGCGATCCTCCTTCCTCAGCATCCTGGGTAGCTGGGACTACAGGCATGCACCACCATATGCCTGGCTAATTTTTTGTATTTTTTTGGAGAGATCAGCTTTCACCATGTTGCCCAGGCTGCTAAATTTTGATCGGAATAAATATCCATACATATGCTTCCTACCCTCTGTTCCCAAAATCTGTATTGGAAATAGGGAGCTTCTCTTAAATAGCATGGAGATCCTCTTTGCTTCCTTTCCTATGGAAATAGCATTCATTGTGTATATGCAATGGTATTCACTGTAATAAGATTTTTACTGGCTGGAAGTGGGACTCACACCTGTAATCCCAGCAGTTTGGGAGGCCAAGGTAGGTGGATGACTTGAGGTCAGGAGTTTGAGACCAGCCTCACCAACATAGTGAAAACCCGAGTCTACTAAAAAAAAAAAATACAAAAAATACAAAAATTAGCCAGGTGTGGTGGCGAGTGCCTATATATAGTCCCAGCTACTCAGGAGGCTAAGACATGAGAATTCCTTGAACCTGGGAGGTAGAGGTTGCAGTGAGCGGAGATCACGTCACTGCACACCAGCCTGGGCAATAGAGGAAGACTCCATCTCAACAATAAAAAAATTTTATTTATAAATCGATATTTATTTATTCAATAGTATTATTAACCATTAACTATTGAATAAATATATATCGGATTTATAAGTGCATAGTGACCCTTATCCTCTCAGTATTACCTTTGTTTTGAGATATTCTCAAAAGCTCTGAGACTATGTAATTTGTAATTAATTGACATGACTTCAATTCCAGCTTCCTCATCAAATAGTTTTGTAATCACAGGCAAGTCACTTAATCCCTCTGTGTTTTAGGTCCCTGTAAAATGGAGGTAGTAATGCCTGTCCTACCCACCTCAAAGGATTATTGGCATTCTCTCAGTAAAATAAAAAATACATAGAATGGTGATTTTTTTCAGTTATTTTTATTTTTATTATTATTATTTTTGAGACAGAGTCTCGCTCTGTTGCTTAGGCTGGAGTGCAGTGGTGCAGTCTCAGCTCACTGCAGACTCCACCTCCCAGGCTCAAGTGATTCTCCTGCCTCAGCTTCCCCAGTAGCTGGGACTACAGGTGCACGTCACCACGCCCAGCCAATTTTTTTTTTTTTAAGATGGAGTCTCATTCTGTCGCCAGGCTGGAGTGCAGTGGCATGATCTCAGCTCACTGCAACCTCTGACTCCCTGGTTCAAGGGTTCTTCTGCCTCAGCCTCCCGAGTAGCTGGGATTACAGGCACGTGCCACCACACCCAGCTAATTTTTTATATTTTTAGTAGAGACAGGGTTTCACCATGTTGGCCAGGATGGTCTTGATCTCCAAACCTCGTGATCTGCCCGCCTCGACCTCCCAAAGTGCTGGGATTACAGGCATGAGCTACTGCACCCGGCCTTTTTGTATTTTTATTAGAGACAGGGTTTCACCATGATGGCCAGGCTGGTCTCGAACTCCTGACCTCAGGTGATCTGCCTGCCTCGGCCCCCCCAAAGGGCTGGTATTACAGGCGTGAGCCACCACGCCCAGACTTTTCAGTGATTTTTTTAAAAACTGCTATCATTGCAGGCTTTGAGCATACACCAGCATTCAGGGTGGTATGTCAAATAATTTTTCTGAGTACCTTGAAAAATGATCTCATACTGAATTTCTCTTTTTCTTGGAAATACCATGCAACCTCATTTTTCTATTCCTATTCCTGTTTGTGCATTTTTCCTTCCCAATAATTGCTAAAATGAGTAGTTTAAGTAATTTAAGCCTCTGGTAGTTACAATAAAATAATGAGAAAACAGGTAGAAGCTTTTGTTATATTATGGTGTGATAGGAAAATAAAATAAATCTTGGGACCCCAAAATCACTAAGTCAAAGGGAAAAGTCAAGCTGGGAACTACTTGAAAACCTGATTTTCTTTCTTTTTATTTTCATTTTTTTAAATTTTTGACAGTCTTGCTTTGTCACCCAGGCTGGAGTACAGTGGTGCAATCTCTGCTCATTGCAACCTCCGCCTCCTGGGTTCAAGGGATCCTCCTGCCTCAACCTCCCAAGTAGCTGGGACTACAGGCACATGCCACCACGCCTAGTTAATTTTTGTATCTTTAGTAGGACGAGGTTTCTCCGTGTTGGCCAGGCTGGTCTTGAACTCCTGACCTCAGGTGATCCACTGGCCTCAGCCTCCCAAAGTGTTAGAATTACAGGCATGAGCCACCCCACCCAGCCCCTGCCTTTCATTCTATTCCTTAAAAAAAAAAATAGCTACTAAGATTAAAAAGCTACATACCACCCTCACAGGGAATTTCCTTGTGGACAAAGGACAGACAGAACTCAAAGTCATCCCCTTGCTCACTGAGATAAATGCACATCTGATTGCCTCCTTTGGAAAGGCTAATCAGAAACTCAAAAGAATGCAACCATTTGTCTCTTAACATCTATGACCTGGAAGCGTCCTGCCCACTTTGAGTTGTCCCACCTTTCCAGACGGAATCAATGTCTATCTTACACATATTGATTGATGTCTCATGTCTCCTTAAAATGTATAAAACCAAGCTGTGCCCCAACCACCTTGGGCACATGTCGTCAGGACTTTCTGAGGCTGTGTCAAGGACGCGCGTCCTTAACTTGGACAAAATAAACTTCCTAAATTGACTGAGACCTGCCTCAGATATTTGGGGTTCACAATGGCAATGGGAAAGAAAAGATCGTGGAAATCCTGACCTAGTAGTGTAACTACCCGATGGCTTTCACCTTGACCACTGTCGAGATCTGGATTCATCAAGTCAGGAGAATTGCAATAGAGAAAAAGTAATTCACGCAGAGCCGGCTGTGCGGGAGACTGGGGTTTTATTATTACTCAAATCAGTGTCCCCGAGCATCCGAGCATTCAAGCATTCAGGAAGCAGAGTCTTTAAGGACAACTTGGTGGGTAGGGGGAATCCAGTGAGCCAGGAGTTCTGATTGGTCAGAGGTGAAATCATAGGGAGTCGAAGGTGTCTTCTGTTCCTGGGTGGAGGCCACAAGATCAGATGAGCCAGTTTATCCATCTGGGTAGTGTCAGCTGATCCATCAAGAGCAGGGTCTTCAAAATATCTCAAGCACTGATTTTAGGAGCAGTTTAGGGAGGGTCAGAATCTTGTAGTCTCCGGCTGCATGAATCCTAAACTGTATTTTCTAATCTTGTGGCTAATGTTCGTCCTACAAAGGCAATCCAGGCAAGAAGGAGAAGTGCTTTGGGAAAGGGCCATTACTGTCTTTGTTTGTTTTATTTTGTTTTGTCTCGCTCTGTCGCCCAGGCTGGTTGGAGTGCAGTGGCGCTATCTCAGTTTACCGCAACTTCTGACTCCCTGGTTCAAGCAATTCTCCTGCCCCAGCCTACTGAGTAGCTGGGATTACAGGCACCCGTCACCACACCCAGCTAATTTTTTATTTTTAGTAGAGACCAGGCTTCACCGTGTTGGCCAGGATGGTCTGGATCTACTGACCTCGTAATCCGCCCACCTCAGCCTCCAAAAGTGCTGGGATTGCAGGGGTGAGCCGCCACACCCAGCCTCTGTCTTTGTTTTAAACTGTAAACTAAGTTTCTCCCAAAGTTAGTTCAGCCTACGCCCAGGAATGAACAAAGATAACTTGGAGGTTAGAAGCAAGATGGAGTCAGTTAAGTTAGATCTCTTTCACTGTCTCAGTCATAATTTTGCAAAGGTGGTTTCAGTAGTAGAATTATTTACGTGATCTCATTGAATCTCTTTTAGTCCTCACGACATTGCTGCAGGGTAGGATTAGTGTGGAGCTAGAATTCAAACCCAAATTTGACCTCAAAGATTAACTTTTTTTTTTTTTTTTTTGAGATGGAGTCTCACTTTGTTGCCCAGGCTGGAGTGCAATGGTGCGATCTCGGCTCGCTGCAACCTCCTCCTGGTTTCAAGTGATTCTCCTGCCTCAGCCTCCTGAGTAGCTGGGATTACAGGCACCCACCACCATGCTCAGCTAATTTTTGTATTTTTAGTAGAGACCAGGGTTTCGCCATGTTGGCCAGGATGGTCTTGAACTCCTGACCTCAGGTGATCTGCCCGCCTTGGCCTCCCAAAGTGCTGGGATTACAGGAGTCAGCCACCGTGCCCGACCAAAGATTAACCTTTTCATCTAACAAATTCTCAGGTGGTACCTATGCTGCTAGTCTGGGGTCCCCATTATGTGAACCACTGGGCAAAAACTCTGCGGTATTTATCCTCCAGTACCTGTGTTCCGTGTTATTTTATGTGATTATGAGTCAGGTGTGGCCACAAGAGGAGATAAAGGAGATGCACAGGAAAATAGATAATTATACTTACAGGTCCTGAAGAGGGGGTCACTGCATACCATGCAGGGTCACAGGGGAAGCACCAGGTTTGGGTCAGGTGGCAGAAGCTAGAATTGGGTTTGAATTCTAGCTTGGGAAACCAAGGCTAGAGCCTTTATTGGGATTTTGTAGAACGACAGGGCAGAGTAAATGGTTAAGGCCTGGTGCATGGGTATAGATAGAGGCCATGGGGCTCTGGATTGGTTAGTTTGCATATAGAAAGCATGCTCTCAGCTGAGTTCTTTGCTATCTTTAACTGGCACCAGCCTGGGCAACATGGCAAAACACCGTCTCTACAAAACCATAAAAATTGCCTGAGCTTGGTGTCTCATGCCTGTAATCCTAGCACTTTGGGAGGCTGAGGCAAGCGAATCACCTAAGGTCAAGAGTTCGAGACTAACTTGGCCAATATGGCAAAACACCCTCTCTACTAAAAATGCAAAAATTAGCCAGGTGTGGTGGTGCATACCTGTAATTCCAGCTACTTAGGAGTCTGAGGCAGGAGAATCTCCTGAACCCCTGGGGGCAGAGGTCGCAGTGAGCTGAGATAGCGCCACTGCACTCTAGCATGGGCGACAGAGTGAAACTCCGTCTCAAAGATTTAAAAAAAAAAAATTAGCCTTGGTGATGTGCACCTGTAGTTCTTGCTACTTGGGAGGCTGAGGTGGGAGGATAGCTTGAGCCTGGGAGTTTGAGGCTGCAGTGAGCCATGATCACACGACTGCACTCCAGCCTGGGTAACTTGGTGAGCTTGTCTCAAAAAAGTAAAATAAAATAAATAATTGGGATTGAACACAGTAGGGCATGCCTATAATCCCAGCACTTTGGGAGGCTGAGGTAGGCAGATCACTTGAAGTCAGGAGTTTGAGACCAGCCTAGCCAACATGGTGAGACCCTGACTCTACTGAAAATACAAAAATTAGCCAGTCCCGGTCCCATGCACCTGTAATCCCAGCTACTCGGGAGGCTGAAGCACGAGAATCAGTTGAATCTGGGAGGTGGTGGTTACAGGTGGGAGCCAAGATGGCACCATTGCACTCCAGCCAGGGCCACAGTGAGACTTTGTCTTAAAAAAAAAAAAAAAAAAAGCCGGGCACAGTGGTGGCTCACGCCTGTAATCCCAGCACTATGGGAGGCTAAGGCAGGTGGATCACCTGACATCAGGAGTTCAAGACCAGCCTGGCCAAGATGGTGAAACCCCATCTCTACTAAAAATACAAAAAACTAGCCGGGCGTGGTGGTGGGCGCCTGTAATCCCAGCTACTCAAGAGGCTGAGGCAGGAAAACCCCTTTAAAAACTCGGGAGGCGGAGGTTGCAGTGAGCCTAGATTGCGCCATTGTACTCTAGCCTGGGCAACAAGAGTGAAATGCTGTCTCAAAAAAAAAAAAGAATTGGCTAGCCCTGGCATGGGCAATCACCCTAGACAGAAAAGTTTTTTCAGATTTCAAAACATCATTATATACAGAAAATAAAAAATGGCCAGGCGCGGGGCCGCACACCTGTAATCCTAGCACTTTGCAAGGCCAAGACGGGCAGATCACCTGAGGTCAGGAGTTCAAGACCAGCCTGGCCAACTGGTGAAACCCTGTTTCTACAAAAATACAAAAATTAGCCGGGCAAGATGGTGCGTGCCTGTAATCCCAGCTACTCAGGAGGCTATAATAGTGGGCCGGAGGTGGTGGCTCACACCTGTAATCTCAGCACTTTGGGAGGCCGAGGTGGGCGGATCACCTGAGGTCAGGAGTTCGAGACCAGCTTGGCCAACACAATGAAACCCCATCTCTACTAAAAATACAGAAATTAGCTGGGCGTGGTGGTGGGCACCTGTAATACCAGCTACTCGGGAGGCTGAGGCAGGTGAATCGCTTGAACCCGGGAGGCAGAGGTTGCAGTGAGCTGAGATTGTGCCACTGCACTCCAGCCTGGGCAACAGAGCTAGACTCTGTCTCAAAAAAAAAAAAAAAAAAAAAGTAAGAGCACTGAAAGGTAAGAGTTACAGACCAAGACCCTGACAATACCAAAAAAAAAAAAATTTTTTTGCCAGGCCTAGTGGTGCATGACTATATAGTCCCAGCTACTAGGGAGGCTGAGGTAGGAAGATTATTTGAACCCAGTTCAAGGCTAGCGTGGGCAACATAGCAATACCCCTTCTCTTTAAAATAAATATATAGGCCAGTCGTGGTGGCTTATGCCTGTAATCCCAGCACTTTGGAAGGCCGAGGTGAGCGTCGCCTGAGGTCAGGAGTTCGAGACCAGCCAGCCTGGCCAATGTGGCAAAACCCAGTCTCTACTAAAAATACAAAAATTAACCAGGCGTGGTGGTGCGTGCCTGTAATCCCAGCTACTCGGGAGGCTGAGACAGGACAGCAACTATGACTAAGTTGGATCTATCCTAAGAATATGAAGTTGGTTTAATATCTGAAAATCAGTAAGTGTAATACATCATATCAAATGCATTGACAAAACTCAACATTCTTTCATATAAAAACCCCTAAACTGGGAATAGAAGAGAACTTCCCTAATCTAATAAAAAGCATCTATGAAAAACCCACACCTAACAGTATACTTCATGGTAAAAAATGGGATGACTTTTCCCTAAGATCAGAAAAAGGGAAATGGGGAGAAGTTAGTCAAAGAGTACAAACTTTCTTTCTTTCTTTTTTTTTTTTTTGATACAGAGTTTCACTCTTGTTGCCCATGCTGGAGTACAATGGTACAATCTCAGCTCACTGCAACCACCACCTCCCAGGTTCAAGCAATTCTCCTGCCTCAGTCTCCTGAGTAGCTAGATTATAGGCACCCACCACCATGCCCAGCTACATTTTTGTATTTTTAGTAGAGATGGAGTTTCACCAGGTTGGCAAGGCTGGTCTTGAACTCCTAACCTAGGTGATCCACCCGCCCTGCCCCACAGCCTCCCAAAGTGCTGGGATTACAGGCGTGAGCCACCATGCCCAGCCGAGTACAAGCTTTCAATTAGAAAAACAAATAAATCCCGGGGAGCTAATATACAGCATGGTAACTATAGTTAATACTGTATTATATACTTGAAATTTGCTACCAGAGGAAATTTTTTTTTTTTTTTTTTAGACTGAGTGTCACACTGTCACCCAGGCTGGAGTGCAGTGGCACAATCTTGGCTCACTGCAACCTCTGCTTCCCAGGTTCAAGCGATTCTTCTGCCTCAGCCTCCCAAGTAGCTGGGATTACAGGTGCCCGCCACCATGCCCAGCTAATTTTTTGTATTTTTAATAGAGATGGGGTTTCACTATGTTGGCCAGGCTGGTCTCAAAGTCCTGACCTTGTGACCCACCCCCCTTGGCCTCCTAAAGTGCTGGGATTACAGGCATGAGCCACCATGAGCCACCATGCCCGGCCGTATATCTTTTTTTATTTTCTATTTTTTAGTCCTGATCATGGCAAGGACAAGGACAAGAGAGTAAATTTTTTTTTTTTTTTTGAGACAGAGTCTCGCTCCGTCACCAGGCTGCAGTGCAGTGGCGTGATCTCAGCTCACTGCAACCTCCGCTTCCCAGGTTCAAGCAATTCTCCTGCCTCAGCCTCCTGAGTAGCTGGGATTACAGGCGCATGCCACCACGCCAAGCTAATTTTTCTGTTTTTTTTAGTAGAGACGGGGTTTCACCATGTTGGTCAGGCTGGTCTCAATCTCGTGACCTCATGATCCACCCGCCTCAGCCTCCCAAAGTGCTGGGATTACAGGCGTGAGCCACCGTGCCCAGCCAAGAGAGTAAATCTTAAGTGTCCTCACCGCCCCCCAACCCCCCAACACATAGAGCTATGTAAGGTGATGGATGGATGTGTTTATTAACTTGATTGTGGCAATTGTTTCACATATATGTATACTTAAATGATCATGTTGTACACCTTGACAATATATATAATTTTTATTTGTCAATTATACTTCCAACAAGACGATGATGTCTACTCTCACTACTTCCTCAAGATTATATAGGAGGCTCTAGCCAGGGAAATAAGGCAAAAAAAAAAAGGATCCAGATTGGAAATGAAGAAGTACAACTACCTTTATTCACAGTTGACATCATTTTATATACAGAAAGTCAGATCGAGCTCAGTGGCTCATGCCTGTAATACCAGCACTTTGGGAGGCTAAGGTGGGAGGATCACTTAAGGTCAGGAGTTGGAGACCAGTCTGGCCAACATGATGAAACCACAACGCTACTAAAAATACAAAAATTAGCTGGGCGTGGTGGTGTGCGCCTGTAATCCCAGCTACTTAGGAGGCCGAAGCATGAGAATTGCTTGAACCTGAGGAAGCGGAGGTTGCAGTGAGCCGAGATCGCACCACTGCACTCCAGCCTGGGTGACAGAGGCTGAGTGATCCTGTCTCCAAAAAAAAAAAAAAAAAAATAGGAAAATCAAAAATACACAATAAAAACTATTAGAGTTCATAAACCACCACAGCAAGCTTGCAGGACACAAAATCAATATACAAAAATCAACTATTTCTATATACTAGCAATTAACAATCAGAAAATAAAATTAAGAAATAATGGCTGGGCGCGGTGGCTCAGGCTTGTAATCCCAGCACTTTAGGAGGCCGAGATGGGTGGATCACGAGGACAGGAGATCGAGACCATCCTGGCTAACACAGTGAAACCCCATCTCTACTAAAAATACAAAAAATTAGCCGGGCGTGGTGACGGGCACCTGTAGTCCCAGCTACTCGGGAGGCTGAGGCAGGAGAACGGCGTAAACCCGGGAGGCAAAGCTTGCAGTGAGCCGAGATCACATCACTGCACTCCAGCCTAGGCGACAGAGTGAGACTCCGTCTCAAAAAAAAAAAAAAAAAAGAAAGAAATAATTCTATTTACAATAGCATAAAAAAGAATAAGATACTTAGGAATAAGTTTAATAAATGCAGTGCAAAATATGTAGATAAACAGAAATAAACCCATGTGTATGTGATCAACTGATTTTTTTTTTTTTTTTGAGTTGGAGTCTCCCTGTGTCGCCCAGGCTGGAGTGCAGTGGTGCAATCTCGGCTCACTGCAACCTCTACCTCCCAGGTTCAAGCGATTCTCCTGCCTCAGCCTCCTGAGTAGCTGGGATTACAGGTGCGTGCCACCATGCCCGGCTAATTTTTTGTGTTTTTAGTAGAGATGGGTTTTCACCAAGTTGGTCAGGCTGGTCTCGAACTCCTGACCTCATGATCTGCCCTCCTCGACCTCCCAAAGTGTAGGGATTACAGGTGTGAGCCACTGCGCCTGGCCAACTGATTTTTGACAAAGTTGCCACGACAATCTAATGGGGAAAGAATAGCCTTTTTAGCAAATGGTGCTGGGACAAATTGATAGCCACCTGCAGAAGAATGAATTTGGACCCTTACTTCACACCATATACAAAATTAACTCAAAATAGATCAAAGACTTTTTTTTTTCAGGTGGCGTTTTGCTCTTGTTGTCTAGGCTGGAGTGCAGTGAATGGCGGATCTCAGCTCACTGCAACCTCCGCCTCCCAGGTTCAAGTGATTCTCCTGCTTCAGTCTCCCAAGTAGCTGGGATTACAGGTGACCACCATCACACCCGGCATATTTTTGTATTTTTGTATTTTTGTTTTTTTTTTTTTTTGAGACGGAGTTTTGCTCTTATTGCCCAGGCTGGAGTGCAATGGCGAGATCTCGGCTCACCGCAACCTCCACCTCCTGGGTTCAAGCAATTCTCCTGTCTCAGCCTCCCAAGTATCTGGGATTACAGGCGCATGCCACCACACCCGGCTAATTTTTGTTTCTTCAGTAGAGACGGGGTTTCACCATGTCGGCCAGGCTGGTCTGGAACTCCTAACCTCAGGTGATCCACCCACCTTGGCCTCCCAAAGTGCTAGGATTATAGGCGTGAGCCACCGCCCCTGGCCCAATTTTTGTATTTTTAATAGAGATGGGGTTTCACCACGTTGGCCAGGCTTGTCTCAAACTCCTGACCTCAGGTGATCCACCCCCCTTGGCCCCCTAAAGTGCTGGGATTACAGGCATGAGGCAGCGCACCCGGCCGGATCAAAGACTTAAGTGTAAGAGCTAAAATTATAAAACACTTTAGAAAAAAAAAGGTAGCCGGGCACAGTGGCTCATGCTTGTAATCCCAGCACTTTGGGAGGCTGAGGTGGGTAGATCACCTGAGGTCAGGAGTTTGAGATCAGCCTGGCCAATATGGTGAAACCCCGTCTCTACTAAAAATACAAAAATTAGCTGGGCGTGGTGGTGGGTGCCTGTAATCCCAAGTACTAGGGAGGCTGAGGCAGGAGAATCACTTTCACCTGGGAGGCGGAGGTTGCAGTGAGCTGAAATTGTACCATGGCACTCCAGCCTGGGCAACAAGTGCAAAACTCCATCAAAAAAAAAAGAGAGAGAGAGAGAGAAGAAAGGAAGGAAGGAAGGAAGGAAGGAAGGAAGGAAGGAAGGAAGGACGGAAGGAAGGACGGACGGAAGGACGGACGGAAGGAAGGAAGGAGGGAAGAAAATATTCTTGTTCTCAAAATGTGGTAATAGGGCCGGGTGCGGTGGCTCACACCTGTAATCCCAGCACTTTGGGAAGCTGAGGCTGGTGGATCACTTGAAGCCAGGAGTTCGACACCAGCCTGGCCAACAGGGCAAAACCTTGTCTCTACCAAAAAATACAAAAATTAGCTGGGTGTGGTGGCAGGCACCTGTAGTACCAGCTACCTGAGGCAGGAGAATCGCTTGAACCAGGGAGGTGGAGGTTGCAGTGAGCCAAGATTGCGCCGCTGCACTCCAGCCTCGGTGACAGAGGGAGACTCCGTTTCAAAAAAAAAAAAAAAAGAAAAGAAAAAAAATGACAATAGATTCTTTCTTAGATGTGATGTCAAATGCACAAACAACAAAAGAGAAAACTAGGTAAATTAGACTTCTTCATAATTAAAAGTTTTTCTGCTTCAGATTATACTATGAACAAAGGGAAAAGACAACCCACAGGATGGGAGAAAATATTTGCAATAATATATCTGATAAGGGACTTATATCTAGAATACATTAAAAAACTCTATCAACTCAATAATAAAAGAGAGAAAATCCAATTTTAAAATGGGCAAAGGCTCTGAGTAGACATTTCTCCAAACAAGATATACAAATGGGACTGGGCACGGTAGCTCATGCCTGTAATCCCAGCAATTTGGGAGGCGAAGGTAGGAGTATCACTAAATCCCAGGAGTTAGGTACCAGCAAGGCAACATAGGGAGACCCTGTCTCTATGAAAAATACAAAAATTAGCCAGGTATGATGGCTCGTGCCTGTAGTCCCAGCTACTTGGGGGAGGCTGAGATGGGAGGATTGCTTGAGCCTGGGAGGTTGAGGCTGAGTGAGCCATGATCACACCACTGCACTGCAGCCTGGGTGACAGAGCCAGACCATGTCTCAAAAAAATAAAAATAAAAAAAGGTATATAAATGATGAATATGCAGAGGTAAAACTAAGCCCTGATAGTCATCAGGGAAATGCAAATCACATTTCACCCATGTTACGTTTTATCCACTAGAATGGCTGTAACAAAAAAGTCAGATAATAAATGCTGGTAAGAATATGGAGAAATCAGAACACTTATACACTGCTGTTGGGAATGTAAAATGGTGCAGCCATTTTGTTTATTTTAATTAATTTATTTTTATTATAGAGGCAGGGTTTCACCATGTTGGCAAGGCTGGTCTCAAACTTCTGACCTCAAGTGATCCACCCACCTCAGCCCATGGTGTAGCCACTTTGCAAAACAGACTGATGGTTTCCCAAAATGTTAAACATAAAATTTCCATATGACCTAGCAATTCCACTCCTGGACATATGTACCCTAAAGAACTGAAAAAAAGGCCAGGTGCAGTGGCTTATGCCTGTAATCTCAGCACATTGGGAGGCCAAGGCAGAGGGATCACTTGAGCCCAGGAGTTCAAGACCAGCCTGGGCAGCATGGTGAAATCGTGTCTCTACAAAAAGTACAAAAATTAGCTGGGCATGGTGGCACATGCCTGTAGTCCCAGCTACTTGGGAGGTTGAGGTGGGAGGATCACCTGAGTCAGGGGAAGTCAAGGCTACAGTGAGCTATGATCTCACCACCGCACTCCAGCCTGGGCAACACAATGAGTAAGAGCCTGTCTCAAAGAAAAAAAAGAAAGAAAAATGAAAAAAAGAAAATAAGCATTCATACAAAAACTTGTTCACAAATATTCATAGCAGCACTATGTGAAATAGGCAAAAGATGAAAATAACTAAAATGTCCATCTTGGTATGAATATTATTCAGGTATATAAAGAATGCAATGCTGATATATGCTACAACATAGATGAAACTTGTGAACATTTTGCTAAGTGAAAGAATTCAGACAGGCTGGGCATGGTGGCTCATGCCTGTAATCCCAGCACTTTGGGAGGCCAAGGGGGGCAGATCACTTGAGGTCAGGAATTCAAGACCAGCTTGGTCATCACGGAAAACCCCACCTCTACTAGAAATACAAAAATTACTCCAGTGTGGAGGTGCACACCTATAATCCCAACTACTCAGGAGGCTGAGGCATGAGAATCGCTTGAACCCGGGAGGCAGAGGTTGCAGTGAGCCGAGATGGTGCCACTGCACTCCAGCCTGGGCGACACATCGAGACTCTGTCTCAAAAAAATAAAATCAAGAAAGAATCCACACAAAAGGCCACATATTATATGATTCTGCTTATTGAAATATCCAGAGTTGGCAAATCCTTAAATACAGAAAGCAGATTAGTTCCCTGAGGCTAGAGATGAAGGAGAAATGGCGAGTGACAGTTTAATGGGTACAGGGTCCTTTTGGGGTGATGAAAATATTCAAGAAGTAGATAGTGATGTTTGTGCAATATTGTAAATACACTAAATGTCAGTAGTGGTGAATTTTATGTTATGTGTCTTACCACAATGTAAAATACAAACAAACCATGTACCTACCATTCAGTTTAAGAAAAAACACTTTCTGCAGCCATAAAAAGAATGAGTTCATGTCCTTTGCAGGGACATGGATGAAGCTGGTTTGAAACCATCCTCCTCAGCAAACTAACACAGGAACAGAAAACCAAACATTGCATATTCTCAGTCATAAGTGGGAGCTGAACAATGAGAACACATGGACACAGGGAGGGGAACATCACACACCGGGGCCTGTCAGTGGGTGGGAGGAAAGGGGAGGGAGAGCATTAGGACAAATACCTAATGCATGCGAGGCTTAAAACCTAGATGACAGCTTGATAGGTGCAGCAAACCGCTATGGCACATGTATACCTATGTAACAAACGTGCACGTTCAGCATATGTATCCCAGAACTTAAAGTAAAATACATTTAAAAAAAAAAAAGATAAAAAGGGCCGGGCACGGTGGCTCACGCCTGTAATCCCAGCACTTTGGGAGGCCGAGATGGGCGAATCACGAGGTCAGGAGATTAAGACCATCCTGGCTAACATGGTGAAACCCCATCTCTACTAACAATAAAAAAAAAAATTAGCCAGGTGTGGTGGTGGGCACCTGTAGTCCCAGCTACTCAGGAGGCTGAGGCAGGATAATGGTGTGAACCCAGGAGGCGGAGCTTGCAGTGAGCCAAGATCGTGCCACTGCACTCCAACCTTGGCGACAGAGCAAGACTCCGTCTCAAAAAAAAAAAAAAGATAAAAAGAAATAACACTTTTCAAATACAGAATAAAGGTAAACTCTCTTCAGCAATAAAAATGGGCTGGGTACGGTGGCTCACACCTGTAATCCCAGCACTTTGGGAGGTTGAGGCAGGCGGATCTCCTGAGATCCGGAGTTTGAGACCAGCCTGGCCAACGTGGGGAAACCTTGTCTCTACTAAAAATACAAAAATTAGCCAGGCATTGTGATGGGTGCCTCTAAACCTAGCTACTCCGGAGGCTGGGGCAGGAAAATCGCTTGAACCCTGGAGGCAGAGGTTGCAGTGAGCCGAGATTGCGCCACTGCACTCCAGCCTGGGTGACAGAGCAAGACTCCGTCTAGAAAAAAAGATAAAAATAATAAAACTAAAATAAAGAAGCACGTGGGAGCCTTTTACTGCATATGGTACATCAAATACCAAAATATACAGTTCAGATTTCCTTTGTAGGCTATGAGGAGTCTTCCTAGTTTATTGAGAAGTGAAGTGACAGATTCCAAACTGTGCTTTAGGAAAACCAACTGGCATCACAGGCTTGATTGGTGGGAGATGGACTGGAGTTTGCCCTTTTGTCTTCATTGATGCCCATTTCTCCTATAATCAGGTTTTCATTGTAACTGGAGTTGGCCGACCACAAGATCTGTAGCAGTGCTGGGCATAGTGGCTCATGACTGTAATCCCAGAATTTTGGATGGCTGAGAAGGGAGGATCACTTGACCTCAGGAGTTTGAAACCAGCCTGGGCAACATAGTGAGATCCCATCTCTATTTAAAAAAAAAATCTGTAGCACTGTCCTTCCGGATACAGGTATATCTAGAGCTTCCCCAAAGGGAGATACCAGACCAGACTGAGTGCAGTGGCTTACACTTCAAATCTCAACACTTTGGCATTTGGCAGCCTGAGGTAGGAGGATTGCTTGAGCCCATGAATTCGAGACCAGGCAGGGCAGCATAGGGACACCAAGTCTCTATAAAAAAAATTTTTTTTTTTTGAGACAGAGTCTTGCTCTGTCGCCCATGCTGGAGTGCAGTGGCACGATCTCGGCTCACTGCAAGCTCCGCCTCCCGGGTTCACACCATTCTCCTGCCTCAGCCTCCCGAGTAGCTGGGACTACAGGCGCCCACCAACAGGCCCGGCTAATTTTTTGTATTTTTAGTAGAGACGGGGTTTCACCGTGTTAGCCAGGATGGTTTCGATCTCCTGACCTCTTGTTCCGCCCGTCTCAGCCTCCCAAAGTGCTGGGATTACAGGCGTGAGCCACTGCGCCTGGCCAAAAAATTTTTTTTGAATTAGCTGGATGTGGTGGCCCATGCCTATAGTCCCAACTACTCAGGAGGCTGAGGCAGGAAGATCACTTTAGTCTAAGAGGCTGCAATGAGCTATGATCACGCCACTGCACTCCAGCCTGGGAAAAAGAACCAGACCCTGTTTCCAAAAAAAAAAGATATCAGACCAGGAAATATTGGGTAGTCTAAAACTGTTTTGTTTTTTTTTTTTTTGGTTTGAGACAGGCTGGAGTGCAGTGGCACAATCAGGGCCCACTGCAGCCTTAACCTCCCTGGGCTCAAGTGATCCTCCCATCTCAGCCTTCCAAGCAGCTGGGACTACAGGTGTGCACCACCACACCCAGATAATTTTTGTATTTCTTGTAGAGACAGGAGTCTCATTATGGTGCCCAGGCTTGCCTTGAACTCCTGGGCTCAAGTGATCCACCTGCCTCAGCCTCCCAAAGTGCTAGTATTACAGGTGTGAGCCACCATGGCCAGCCTTAAAACATTTTTTTGTTAAGGAAGGCATTTACAATGTTTGCTTTCTTAGCATGTATTCATCTGACCTAAGATAAACAGCAGCTGTCATTTATTGATCATTTGCTAAGTGAATTATATGTACTATGTATATATAGCTCACAATCATTTTTACAACCCTGTAAAGTATTGCTTCTGTCCATCTTACAGATGAGTAAGCTGAGGTTCAGAACAATTAAGAAACTTGCTCTTAAGCTTAAGGGGAGTTGAACTTTGCTCCTGACTCCAAAGCTTGTGTGCTCTTAAGAAGAAAATAGAAAAGAAAGTTGGAATTGAGAAGTATGGTGTTTATGCTGCTCTAATCATACCTCTAAGCCATCTGAACTTATCATGGTCTTCTTTGTGATAATCTGAACCTACCTTAAAGTTTAAAAGTAAAACACAGGACACCAAAGATAGGGGTTAAGCAGCTCAGTCACTTCTCACGATTGCCCATATAGACAATCTCCTTCCCTCCTCTTCCTGCTATGGAAGAGCAGGATTTGTATTAATGGAGCCAGGCATTTGGCAGGCTCCATTTAACCTAGAATAATGTTTTTCAAATTGCAAGTCAGACCTATTAGTGGGTCATGAAATCAAGTTAGTGGATGTGAATCAGTACTTATTTTTTGTTTGTTTGTTTTTGAGACAGAGTCTTGCCAGGCTGAATTGTAGTAGCTATTCACAAGTACCATTATAGCTTATCGTACACTGTGGCCTCGAGCTTCTGGCCTCAAGTGATCCTCCCATCTTAGCCTCCCAAGTAGCTCATACTACAAGCACGCATCACTCAGCTAGCACTTGTTTTTAAATCAAATAAAATTGAAAACTATTGCATCCTTGGAAAGTGCAATTGTCGTTTTGTTAGCTTCTGTTTCAGTTTTTAAAAACATAACTCTGTGTGTGTGTGCCTGTGTGCGTGTGTGTGTGTGTGTGTGTGTGTGTGTGTGTGTTAAGTCACCATGTAAAATGTATTTCTTATTGTGGTTTATGATCAGAGAGGTTTGGAAACCATTGCTACAGGTATATATCGAATGAAATCAATTAGCTAAAGTCACACTTATCAAGGGAAAAAAATTGGGTCCTCATATTTTATTTATTTATTTATTTATTTATTTATTGAGATAGAGTTTTGCTCTTGTTGCCCAGGCTGGAGTGCAATGGTGCTATCTTGGCTCACTGCAACGTCTGCCTCCTGGGTTCAAGCGATTCTCCTGCCTCAGCTTCCCAAGTAGCTGGGACTACAGGTGCATGCCACCACACCCAGCTAATTTTGTATTTTTAGTAGAGACGGGATTTCTCCATGTTGGTCAGGCTGGTCTCAAACTTCTGACCTCAGGTGATCTGCCCACCTCGGCCTCCCAAAGTGTTGAGATTACAGGCATGAGCCACCACGCCTGGCCAGGTCTTTATATTTCATTTTATTTTATTTTTTCAGAGACACAGTCTTGCTCTGTCACCCAGACTAGAATGCAGTGGCGTGACCTTGGCTCACTGCAATCTCCACCTCCCAGGTTCAAGCAATTCTCCTGCCTCAGTCTCCTGAGTAGCTGGGACTATAGGCGTGCGCCACCACACCTGGCTAATTTTTGTATTTTTAGTAGAGACGGGGTTTCACCATGTTAGCCTGGCTGATCTTGAACTCCTGACCTCAGACAATCAGCCTGCCTTGGCCTCCTAAAGGGCTGGGATTACAGGTGCAAGTCACCGTGCCCGGTGGGTCCTTATATTTTATTGTTTCTTTCACTTTAGAATTTGTACTCAGAGTTTGTGAAAAAATAAACTCCCTTACACAATTATTTTTGGTGCTTTCATTCAGGAATTTTGCACCGTTTAATAGTTCATAGCTCTGTCAACACTTTAGCATGGCCTTTGGCTTGGCCTGCCCAAGTAAAGACACAAATCCGCTAGTGAGTTTAGGTGCCTGGAAATAGTGATCTCTTGTGGGACTCAAACGTCTTTAACCTCTTGACTTCCTTCCAGAGTGATAGGTAGGCATGCCAATGGATGTACACTGTGACTTCATCCGAAAGATACCATTTGTAATCTCTCAATGAACGACTACTCATCACCCCTTAATTTCTTGGTTCTGTAGTCTTTTTATTATTATATATACATATTTTTTTTTTGAGATGGAGTCTCACTCTATCGCCCAGGCTGGAGTGCAATGGTGCGATCTTGGCTCACTGCAACATCCGCCTCCCAGGTTCAATAGATTCTCCTGCCTCAGCCTCCCGAGTAGCTGGGATTACAGGCACTTGCCACCACGCCTGGCTAACTTTTGTATTTTTAGTAGAGACAGGGTTTCACCCTGTTGGTAGGCTGGTCTCGAACTCCTGACCTCAGGTGATCTACCCTCCTCAGCCTCCCAAAGTGCTGGGACTATAGGTGTGAGCCACCATGCTGGGCTGGTCCTGTTTGTAGTCTTTATTATAAATTCAAATGTCATAATTTAACTACAACTTTAAAAGATTAACTTTGCAAATTTAACAGTGTAAATTTTTTTTACAAATTTAACTTTGTCACAATGCCCCCTCTGACACCCTCTGCCCCTTGAGTACAAGTAAGTATTTAAATAATTAAATAATTAATTCTGAATCTTAATCATACCAAATTACATGTGACTTTCTTCTGTGTATGCCATAGTTCATGTTCATTCATTTATCTCCCAGATAGTTTTTATCACTTTATAAATTTGGTTTACAAGCCAAGGACTCAGAAATCCATTTCCTTCTAGGTTATAGACAGTAGCATCTTAGGACTTCAGAGCTTGGAGAGGAAAAAAATAGAGTTAGAGACAGGTCTCACTCTGTTGCCCAGACTGGAGTGCAGTGGAGGGAACACATCTCACTGCAACCTTGACTTCTTGGGCTCAAGTGATTCCTCCTACCTCAGCCTCCTGAGCAGCTTGGACTACATGCCACCATGCTCAGCTAATTTTATTTTTCTTTTTTTGGTAGAGGAGGAGTCTCATCATGTTGCCTAGGCCGGTCTCAAACTCCTGGGCTCACTTGATCCTTCCGCTTTGGCCTCCCAAAGTGTGGGATTGTAGGCGTGAGCCACCATGCCTGGCCAAGAGTAGAGTTCTTTACCAAGACAGATGAGCAAAGAATATTAACTGACATCTCTAGTAATATCAGTCAGTAATTAATAAGTTACAGACAATTTAAGGGAAATTTAAGGAAACCCCAACAGAAGTAAAATTCAATTTTTTTTTTTTTTTTTGAGATGGAGTCTTGCTTTGTCACCCAGGTTGGAGTGCAGTGGCGTGATCTTGGCTCACTGCAACCTCCATCTCCTGGGTTCATGCAGTTCTCCTGCCTCAGCCTCCCGAGTAGCTGGGATTACAGGCATGTGCCACCATGCCTGGCTAATTTTTGTATTTTTAGTAGAGACAGGGTTTCACCATATTGGTCAGTATGGTCTGAACTCCTGACCTCAAGTGATGCACCCACCTCAGCCTCCCAAAGTGCTGGGATTACAGGCATGAGCCATCACACCTGGCCGATTTTATTGAGTATAAGTAGTTGACTCCCTGTCATTTATTCCACCTCAGATAACTAGTCTAATCCAATTCTGGTTATTCTACCATCTCCTTGGCAGTAATTCGTTTTAGAGTAGGAGTGTGGCCAACTGTGCAGGGTTCTTAGAAATACTTTCTTGTGGTCGGGTGCAGTGGCTCACACCTGTAATCCCAGCACTATAGGAAGCCGAGGTGGGTGGATCACTTGAGGTCAGGAGTTTGAGACCAGCCTGACCAACATGGAGAAACCCCGTCTCTACTAAAAATACAAAATTAGCCGGGCATGGTGGCACATGCCTGTAATTCCAGCTACTTGGGAGGCTGAGGCAGGAGAATTGCTTGAACCCAGGAGATGGAGGTTACGGTGAGCCAAGATTGTGCCATTGCACTCCAGCCTGGGCAACAAGAAGAAAACTCTGTCTCAAAAAAAAAAAAAAAAAGAAAAAAGAAGAAATTCTTTCTCACTCCTAAGAGTGCTCTTCTTCCTCTGCATATTGGCATGGCTGAGTTAAAAGAATTTCTGCAGTTATCTTGCTACTGCCTGAGGATAAAGCTGTTACCAAGAATGGGATAGGGTAAAGGGATGGATGAACCCTGGATCCTTCATGACATTGTAATACAACTGCATCAATCAACCCTGTCCTATCTCTGAGCTTCCTTGTTGTATGACATAGTAAATTTCCTCATTTGATTATTATTCATAGTGTGAGTGGGTTTTATTATTTACAACCAAACCATTCGAACTGATCTGCTGAACGTTAGTACCACTTGGTAACACTGATTTTCCCTAGATTCCGGTAAAATGCTTTCTTCAACTCATCCTGTATTTTCCACTATAGTTAGAGAACCCTCTGAAGAATACACATGGCTCCAAAATTTTAGAAACTCTACCAGGTACCCAGTCCTCAACATCTTGTCAGGATTAGTTTACATCAGAAGCTGCGACTCTCTTCCTTTCAGCCAGATACTCCACTGACCTCCATGGTAAACTCAGGCCAGGTTGGAGAATTCAGTTCTTTCCTTAAGCATGTAAAAATTCCCAGGTGTGAAGATCCTGCTTACTGCTGGTGCCTTATATCTTCTACTTAACTCTGCTTGAATTCCAAATTCTTTTGGCTAGACTTCTTAAATAGGTTCCTCACCCACATATTGCCCTTCTTGCCTGTGCTGCTGACCCAAGCTGATGAGACTGCTTCCAAACTTACCTTCAAGAGCTCCCCTGTTGTTTCAACCTCACCTGCCTACGAGAATTCCTGATCCATTCCTTCTCCAACTTTCAGTATCTTCATATTTATTTAAAGCACAGTAGAACGTATTTACAGGAAGGAAATAAATAGCCCAAAGTACACTGGAGAAATATTTTAGCAGGAGTGACCACAATAGTGGTTCATGTTTTTTTATGTCTGTTTTCTTTCTTAAGGTAAGGAGAATTTATAAGCTGTTAACTTTGTATGCTCTACATGAACTGTTGTAAAAGTTTCAGATGCAATTGAATGTAGTTTTTTTAACTACTAAAGATTCCAAAGAGAGAGGATAAGTTAATAAAAAAGTTTTATCTCAAGAGCAATTTTTATTAATTAAAATATAACTAGCAGAGTTCATTATATAAAGTTAATAACTTCTTTAATATAGCCATTTGTCATTTATAGACATCAACCCCTTAACTTGAGTAATCAACTCTGGTTTCCTTTCAGTCCCATTTAGTCAGGTTTAGGGGTAAGTATGGATTTTTCTCTGGCTTTTGTTTTGTGTAATAACCTCTTGCAATCTGCTTTATGTGCATTTACACACATGAAAAAAGTCCAAATATATTACCAAGCCTTTATTCTTATATATTAACTATGTGAAATTTAATTTCCTACCCATTAAAATATTTTTCCTTTCAATTAATTATCAATTAGTTCCTCTTGTTCTTCTTGTAATACACTCCTGAATTACTTTCCTACTTGCTATAAAATTCTATGAAACTATTCAGTTGTGTTAGGGACACCCTATCCTCTATCCAGATTTCCAAAGGTATTTTTAAAAAGCAATTTATCATCAACATTTAAAAAACTTTTTTTTTTTTTTTGAGACAGAGTCTCGCTACGATGCCCAGGCTGGAGTGCTATGGTGTGATCTCAGCTCACTGCAACCTCCGCCTCCCGGGTTCCAGTGATTCTCCTGCCTCAGCCTCTTTAGTAGCTAGAGCTACAGGTGTGCGCCACCAGGCCTGGCTAATTTTTTTTGTATTTTTAGTAGAGACGGGGTTTCACCATATTGGCCAGGCTGGTCTCGAACTCCTGACCTCAGGTGATCTGCCCGCCTTGGCCTCCCAAAGTGCTGGGATTACAGGCTTGAGCCACCATGCCTGGCCCTCACAGTGGCTCAAGCCTGTAATCCCAGCACTTTGGGAGGCCAAGGCGGGCAGATCAAGAGGCCAGCAGATCGAGACCATCATGGCTAACACAGTGAAACCCTGTCTCTACTAAAAATACAAAAAAATTAGCCAGGTGTGGTGGCGGGCACCTGTGGTCCCAGCTACTCAGGAGGCTGAGGCGGGAGAATGGCGTGAACCCAGTAGGCGAAGCTTTCAGTGAGCAGAGATCGCGCCACTGCGCTCCAGCCTGGGCAACAGAGCGAGACTCAGTCTCAAAAAACAAACAAACAATCAAAAAACTTTTATGCTTCCAATCATACTGTCAAGAAAATGAAAGTCTGGGCATGGTGGCTCATGCCTATAATCCCTGAACTTTAGGAGGTCAAGGCAGGTAAATCACTTGAGGTCAGGAGTTTGAGACCAGCCTGGCCAACATGGTGAAAGCCCATCTCCATTGAAAAATACAAAAATTAGCCAGGCCTTGCGGCGCACACCTGTAATCCCAGCTACTCAGGAGGCTGAGGCATGAGAATTGCTTGAACTCAGAAGGCAGAAGTTGCAGTGAGCAGAGATCACACAACTGCACTCCAGCCTGGGCAACAGAGTGAGACTGTCTCAAAAAAAAACCCAAAAAACAAAAAACAAAACACCAGAAAACCAATGTACATCTATTAGGTATCAATTAAAAAAAAAAAACCCAAAACAACCCAATTTAAAATTGAGCCAAGGAACTGAATAGACATTTCTCCAAAGAAGATATACAAATGTCCAATAAGGACATGAAAAGATGCTCAATATTATTAGTAACTGGGAAATGAAAATCAAAACCACAGTGAGATACCACTTCACACTCACTAGAATGGATGGTGATAATTAAAAAAGACAGGCAATAACAATTATCGAGAATTTGGAGAAATTGGAACCCTCATACATTGCTGGTGAGATTGTGAAGTTATGCAGCCACTGGGAAAATCAGACTGGCAGTTCCTCAAGTGATTAAGTAAAGAGTTATTATATAACTTAGCAGTTCTACTCCTGGGTATACATCCAAGAGAATTGAAAACATATGTCCACGTAAAAACTTGTACACAGATGTTCATAGCAGCATTATTCACAAAAGCCAAAAAGTAGAAACAACCAAATGTCCGTCAACTGATGAATGGATAAATACCAGTGGTATATATTACACAAACAGTGGAATACTTTTCTGTCATATAAAGGAATGAAGTGCTGATATATGCTATACGTGGATGAAACTTGAAAGCATGCTAAGTGAAAAAAGGCAGACACAAAAGGCTACATATTGTATGATTCCATTTATATGAAATGTCCAGAATTGGCAAATCTATAGTTTGAAAATAGATTAGTGTTGCCAGGAGTTTAGGGGGAGAAGGAGGCATGATGAGTGACGTAATGGGTATAGGATTATTTTTAGGGTGATGAAAATGTTCTAAAACTAGATAACAGTGATGGTTATCTGAATGACTAAATGTTTAACTCTGAATATGTTAAAAACCAGTGAACTGTATACCTTAAAATTATGAATTAACCAGGGATGGTGGCACATGCCTATAGTCCCAGCTACTTGGGAGGCTAGGGCCAGAGGGTCGCTTGAGCCCAGCAACTCAAGGCTGCAGTGTGCAATGATTGTTCCTGTGAATAGCCACAGCACTCCAGCCTGGGCAACATAATGAGATCCCATCTCTTTAAAAAAAAAAAAAAGCTTAAATTAAATTTATATCTATTCAGCTTCTGTTTTATGTCTATTTGGGTTCTGTTACAGTAACAAAACTTTAATTCTAGAAATATATTCAGAATTGAGATAAGAAGTATATGGAAAAAAAAGTCAACAACAATGAATCATGTACAAATTCACATTTTACTCTCTCAAGTATTTTCCCCTGATTGATAATCACATGTGTTTTCCCTGAAGTACTTACTGTTCTCTGCATTGAAATAACAAGGTAACTATCCCTGGAGATCTCTCTAAATGTTCTAGAGGAGATAAAGGGTACAATTAGAGTAATAGACCATTTATTGCCACTAAGGGTGAAGTCAAAATTAACACTCATCTTTATCTGCTCCATCCAATTTGTTTCCAAACCTTTAGAGATTTTTAAAAGGTGTCTCTAGGTTATCTACAGAATGCAATATTTTTCTCTTTTAAGAAGTACAGCTTTTAAAAAGAAATATTTTAGGAACTTTAGAGTCAATTTAAACTTGCCATTTATTACATTTGCCACCATTCCTTAATAAATATAATGAGAATCCCATAGATGATGAATACTCATAGGAGTATAAGTGAATCTCTGAAAAGATGCTAAACTTCACTGAAAATTAAGGAAGTGCACCTTAATATGCCTTTTTTCTTTTTTTTTCTTATATTTCTTTTTTTTCTTTTCTTTTTTCTTTTAGAGACAGGGTCTTGCTCTCTCATCAAGGTTGGAGTGCAACAGTGCAATCATAGCTCACTGAAACCATGAACTCCTAGGCTCAAGTGATCCTTCTACCACAGCCTGCTGAGTAGCTAGGACTATAGGCACGAGTCACCATGTCCAGCTGTGCACATTAATATAATAACTATAAATTATTTTACCCCTCTCAGATTAGCAAAGATTTAAAAGATTGCTAATATTCAGTGTGGAAGAGAGTGTTTGGAATAAGCACTCTCACTTTACTGGTGATAGGAGAATAAAAATATACCATCATTTTGGGTGGTAATTTGCAATGTTATAATTTTAAATATGTACACTCTTTGACTCAGCATTTCCATTTCAAAAAATGTGTTTTAGAAAACATACATAGATTTTGACAGGGTCTTGCTCTGACACCCAGGCTGGAGTGCAGCAGCATGATCTCAGCTCACTGCAACCTCGGCCTTCCAGACTCAAGCAATTGTCCCACCTCAGCCTCCCAAGTAGCTGAGACTACAGATGTGCACCACTATGCCAGGCTAATTTTTGTATTTTTTATAGAGACAGGGTTTCATCATGTTGCCCAGGTTGTGAATTTTATTTATTTATTTATTTATTTATTTATTTATTTATTTATTTATTGAGACCAAGTCTCACTCTGTCACCCAGGCTGGAGTGCAGTGGCATGATCTCCGCTCACCGCAAACTCCGCCTCTCGAGTTCACGCCATTCTCCCGCCTCAGCCTCCTGAGTAGCTGGGACTACAGGTGCCTGCCACGACGCCTGGCTAATTTTTTTTGTATTTTTAGTGGAGACGGGGTTTCACCATGTTAGCCAGGATGGTCTTGATCTCCTGACCTCGTGATCCACCCGTCTCGACCTCCCAAGGTGCTGGGATTACAGGCGTGAGCCTAACATTAATTTTATTTCAACTGTTTTAGGAAAGTAAGGTTATTTTGTGTCACAAATAAACAGTGATTTTAAGTAATCCAAAGAAATTCAATTAACTACTATTCAGTTCCTACAAAGCTTGGGTACTGAGAAATTGAAAGGGCCCTTAGAGACCAACAGAGATATAATAGTGTACAGTCATCTTCTATTAATTTAATAAAGAATGTTTATTTAGGTTTTTTTTTTTTTTTTTTTTGAGACGGAGTTTCGTTCTATTGCCCAGGCTGGAGTGCAGTGGCGCAGTCTTGGCTCACTGCAAGCTCCACCTCCCGGGTTCACGCCATTCTCCTGCCTCAGCCTCCTGAGTAGCTGGGACTACAGGCGCCTGCCACCATGCCTGGCTAATTTTTTGTATTTTTAGTAGAGATGGGGTTTCACTGTGTTAGCCAGGATGGTCTCGATCTCCTGACCTTGTGATCCACCCGCCTCGGCCTCCCAAAGTGCTGGGATTACAGGTGTGAGCCACCGCACCCGGCCTGTTTATCTAGTTTTATAAGAGACTTTGAAGGCTTAATAAGAATTGCATTTATTCATGATACTACTTTAAACCCCCAACTCTCAGGAAGTATTACAGAAGTTACTGAAAGCAGCCAGGTGTGGTGGCTCACATCTGTAATCCCAGCACTTTGGGAGGCTGAGGTGGGCAGATCACTTGGGCGGGCCAGGAGTCGGAGACCAGCCTGGCCAACATGGTGAAACCTCGTCTCTATTAAAAATACAAAAATTAGCTGGGTGTGGTGGTGCGCGTCTGTAATCCCAGCTACTCAGAGGCCAAGGCAGGAGAATCGCTTGAACCTGGGAGGCGGAGATTACAGTGAGCCAAGATCATGCCACTTCATTCCAGCCTGGGCAATAGAGAAAGACTTTGTCTCAAAAAAAAAAAAAAAAAAAAAACAATTAGAGACAAATTAAATAAAATGTATTAGAGATAATATCCTGCATTAAGCTTAAAAGGATTAATTGCCAAATCAATGGCTCTTTAAAAAACAAGTTAGAAGGCCAGACTGGATGGTACATGTCTGTAATCTCAGCACTTTGGGAGGCAAGGTGGGCAGATTGCTTGAGCCCAGGAGTTCGAGACCAGCCTGGGTAATAAGAGGAAACCCTGCTTCTACAAAAAAATATAAAAATTGTCTGGGCATGGTGGTGCATGTCTGTAATCCCAGTTACTTGAGAGGCTGAGGTGAGAGGATCACTTGAGACCAGGAGGTCGAGGCTACAGTGAGCCGTGATCACACCACTGCACTGCAGCCTGGGTGACAGCATAAGATTCTGTTTCAACATAAATACATAAATAAAACAAGTAGAAACTTTTTGTCTTTTAGTTGACTAGAAGCTCAATATAAACCATTGGCACAAAAATCATTCTGCAATCTTAGGCTGCATGCATAGAAGATGGTATTCAGGACCGAAGCAGGCAGCATCTAAGATGGGTCATTGCCTATATGTAATCCTTTGGACTGGACCTAGTGGCTATTCTAACAAATAGAATATGGCAGATGTGAAGGGATGGGATACTCCTTCTAAGATTATATTATAAGACTGTGATTTCTGTCTTAGATGTCTCTCTCTCATTTTTCCTCCTTCCCTCCCTCTGGGATCCCTTGATCTAGAATTAGCAAGCTGCCATGATGCATGATGGAGAGGCCTATGTGGTGTGGTGAGTAACTGAGGCCCTCAATTTAACCATGAGAAAGTTAAATCTGACAACAACCCATGAGTGAGCTTAAAAGAGGATCCTCAGCCCCAATTGAGTTTTTGTTTTTGTTTTTCTTGAGACAGAGTCCTGCTCTATTGCCCAGGCTGAGAGTGCAGTGGTGCTATCTCAGCTCACTGCAACTTTCCTCTCTCGGGTTCAAGCAATTCTCGTGCCTACACAGTTACCCAGCTCATTTTCTTTTCTTTCTTTCTTTTTTTTTTTTTTTGAGACGGAGTCTCACTCTGTTGCCCAAGCTGGAGTGCAGTGGTGCTATCTCAGCTCACTGCAATCTCTGCCTCCTGGGTTCAAGCTGTTTTCCTGCCTCAGCCTCCCAAGTAGCAGGGGTTACAGGTATGTGCCACCATGCCCAGCTACTTTTTGTATTTTTGGTAGAGACAGGGTTTCGCCATGTTGCCCAGGCTGGTCTTGAACTCCTGGGCTCAAGTGATCCGCCCGCCTTAGCCTCCCAAAGTGCTGAGATTACAGGCATGAGGCCTGGCCCCTAGTTGGGTTTTGAGATGACTACAGCCCTGGCTGATGACTTCAGTGCAACCTCATGAGAAACCTTGAGCTGTTATGCTTCTCCTGAATTCCTGACCCACAGACTTGTGAGAAATAAATGTTTTGTTGTTGTCCTAAATTGTTAATTTTTAAGGTAATTTGTTACTCAGGAATAGATAATGAATGCAAGGATAATGAAGTACAGTCATGCCCAGTATCTGACAGGGATTGGTTCCAGGACTCCCACAGATACCAAAACCTAGGGATGCTCAAGTCCCACAGCTGGCCATGTGGAACCCGTGGATATGGTGGACCAGCTGTACTAGTAACATGGAACTCAATAGGGAGATCACATCTAGAACATGTATTTATTTTATTTAGTTTTGAGTGCTATCTTTAAGCATGTTGACAATTTGGAGAGTATTTTGGGGGGGGCAGTAAGGATTGAGAGGAAGGTAGAAATCACATCACAAAAGGAACCTTTGGCACTAGGGTGGGGAAAAAGTATACTTGGGGGAAACACAATCACTACTTTCTGATATCATAAGATCCTGTTGAAGGGCTATTAGATACATGGAATTTAAGAGCTAGAAGAGGGATCCAATGGTCCAAACCCCTTCATCTTACAGACCAGAAAAGTGAGACTCAGCATGATTATAGTTCTGACCTAATGTCACACAGTTAGTTACTGGCTAACCTGGGAATCGAATTTTGGATGTCTGATAGAAGCAATAGAAAAGCAATAGAAAGGCCAACTTTAGTTGTGAGAAGGAACTTTCTAGCAATTATATCTCTTTAAAAATGAGATGAATGAGGCTGAGCACTGAGGCTCATGCCTGTAATCACAGCACTTTGGGAGACCGAGGAGGGCAGATCATGAGGTCAAGAGATCAAGACCAGCCTGGCGAAAATGGTGAAACCCCGTCTCTACTAAAAATACAAAAACCCCGTCTCTACTAAAAACACAAAAATTAGCGGGGTGTGGTGGTACGCTCCCGTAGTCCCAGCTACTGGGGAGGCTGAGGCAGGAGAATCACTTGAACCCAGGAAGCGGAAGTTGCAGTGAGCCGAGATCGCACCACTGCACTCCAGCCTGGCGACAGAGCGAGACTCTGTCTCAAAAAAAAAAAGAATGGACCGCCATATGGTATAGAGGGCTCCCTAATACTGGCTATGGTTTAAAAAATAAGCTGGGGACAGGCGCAGTGGCTCACATCTGTAATCCCAGCACTTTGGGAGGCCAAGGCATGAGTATCACCTGAGATCAAGAGTTTGAGACTAGTCTTGCCAACATGGCGAAACCCCATCTTTACTAAAAATACAAAAATAAGCTGGGCATGGTGGCACACACCTGTAATCCCCGCTACTCATGAGGCTGAGGCAGGAGAATTGCTTGAACCTGGGAGGCAGAGATTGCAGTGAGCTGCACTCCAGCTTAGGCAAGAGAGAGAGACTCTGTCTAAAAAAAAAAAAAAAGAAAAAAGAAAATGAGCTGGGAAACTGTGTAATTAGACATTAAATTCAATCAGATTATTTTCAAGCTTCTCATCAATTCTAACATGTGTTTCCATATTAATTTTAAGGTTGAAAAGAATATAAAACAGATAAATATTTTTCATGGCATTGAAAACAAAATTCTAGGCGGGCGCAGTGGCTCATGCCTGTAATCCCAGCACTTTGGGAGGCCAAGGTGGATGGATGACTTGAGGTCGGGAGTTTGAGACCAGCCTGACCAACATAGAGAAACCCTCTCTCTACTAAGTATACAAAATTAACCGGGTGTGGTGGCGCATGCCTGTAATCCCAGCTACTCGGGAGGCTGAGGCAGGAGAATCGCTTGAACCTGGGAGGCGGAGGTTGCAGTGAGTCGAGATCACACCATTGCTCTCCAGCTGGGGCAACTGGAGCGAAACTCCGTCTCAAAAAAAAACAAAACAAACAAACAAAAAACTTGGCATGGTGACACATGCCTATTGTCCCAGCTACTTGGGAGGCTGAGGCAGGAGTATCACTTGAGCCCAGGAGTTCAAGGCTGCAGTAAGCCATGATCACACCACTGTACTCCAGCCTGGGTGGCCAAGATCCTGTTGCATTAAAAAAAAAAAAAAAAAGTAAATCTCTGAAAGCAAAGAGTTTTCTTTCTCTCTTTCTTTCTTTCTCTTTGTTTTTTTGAGATGGAGTCTCACTCTGTCGCCCAGGCTGGAGTGCAGTAGCATGATGTCAGCTCACCGCAAACTCCGCCTTCTGGGTTCAAGAGATTCTTCTGCCTCAGCCTTCCAAGTAGCTGGGATTACAGATGTGCACCACCACGCCTAGCTAATTTTTGTATTTTTAGTAGAGACGGGGTTTCACCATGCTGGCCAGGCTGGTCTCAAACTCCTGACCTCAAGTGATCTGCCCACCTTGGCCTCCAAAAATGCTGGGATTACAGGTGTGAGCCACCGCACCCAGCTGCGGCTTAATCCTAGCACTTTGGGAGGCCGAGGGGGCAGATTGCCTGAGGTCAGGAGTTCGAGACCAGTTTGGCTAACATGGTGAAACCCAATCTCTACTAAAAATAAAAAAATTAGGCCAGGCGCGGTGGCTAATGTGTGTAATCCCAGCTACTTTGGAGGCTGAGAATTGCTTGAACCTAGGAGGCAGAGGTTGTGGTGAAATGACATTGCGCCACCGCACTCCAGCCCGGGAGACAGAGGGAGATTCCGTCTCAAAAAAAAAAACAAATACAATTATTAGCCGGGTGTAGTAGTGCATGCCTGTAGTCTCAGCTACTCAGGAGGTTGAGGCAGGAGAATCACCTGAACCCAGGAGGTGGAGGTTGCAGTGAGCCGAGATCACACCACCGTACTCCAGTCTGGGCGACAGAGCAAGACTCTGTCTCTGAAAAGATAAAAAAAAAATAAAAAAGTAAGAAATGAGAAGAGATTAGATCTGATTGGTGGCCTTAAAAGAAAAGAAAAAAAAAGGAAATGAAAAGGGAAGAGAAGAATATATATTTTTAGATTTAGATTATTTGTAGAAATAGAAAGGGATCCTATAGTGAAATATGCCCTTCTGAAATTATCAATAGAGAACATATTCTTGCCCTATTTACATCATAATGAACAAGTTTAAGAATTACCAGTATAGAACAGTGGGTAGTCACTGTAGAAATTCTATGTATAATTCTCTTTAAAGATAATTTAAAGGCTGGGCACGACGGCTCACACCTGTAATCCCAGCACTTTGGGAGGCCGAGGCGGGCAGATCACCTGAGGTCAGGAGTTGGAGACCAGCCTGGCCAACATGGTGAAACTGCGTCTCTACTAAAAATACAAAAATTAGCCTGGTGTGGTGGTGGGCATCCATAATCCCAGCTACTTGGGTGGCCGAGGCTGGAGAATTGCTTGAACCCAGGAGGTGGAGGTGCCAGCCAGTGACTGGAGATTGCACAATTGCCCTCCAGCCTGGGTAACAAGAGCGAAACTCCGTCGCAAAAAAAAAAAAAAAAAAAAAAAAAAGATAATTTAAAAATCAGAAAATGGGCCAAAAGATAATTCCTGCAATTAAAGTGCTATACTGACAGTACCAGCATGTATCACCCCTACTTTATCACCCACAATACAATAAGTCAACAAGGATTTGAGCAGCTCAACTAGAACAAAGATTGCAAATTATACTTAACAATTATATTACAAGTGTTTTTTTTAGAAGAATGATTGTGAATGTTTTCTCATCAGATCCTCAGGAATAAAAAAAGTCACATTCTGATTTAAGTTGTATTGTAGTTAGAAATAATTATCTCTCACTGTAAAGTACTTTGCTCAGTAATGAAACGTTATTTAGAAATAAATTACAACATTTGTAAACCTAGAGGCTCATATTCATCACAGGATGTACCCTTCCCCATCTTAGTAATGGCAACTGAATTCTTCCAGTTGATCAGGCATAAAACTTTAGAATTTTTCTCGACTTTTATCTTTTCCGTACCTAAAACCCATCTTCAAAATATATTCAGAATCTGAACGCTACTCACCACTTCCACTGCTACAACCCTGGTCAAGGCCATAGTCATTTCTCTCTCTTTTTTTTTTTTTTTTGAAACAGAGTCTCGCTCTGTCACCCAGGCTGTGGAGTGCAGGGGTACGATCTCTGCTCACTGCAAGCTCTGCCTCCCGGGTTCACGCCATTCTCCTGCCTCAGCCTCCCTAGTAGCTGGGACTACAGGCGCCTGCCACCACCCCCGGCTAATTTTTTTGTATTTTTAGTAGAGACAGGGTTTCACCGTGTTAGCCAGGATGGTCTCGATCTCCTGACCTCGTGATCTGCCCGCCTTGGCCTCCCAAAGTGTTGGGATTACAGGCGTGAGCCACTGTGCCCAGCCTATTTTTATTTATTTTTTGAGACGGAGTCTGTCACCTCCGCTTCCCAGGTTCAAGCGATTCTCCGTCCTCAGCCTCCTGAGTAACTGGGACTACAGGGGCACACCACCATGCCCGGATAATTTTTGTATTTTTAGTAGAGATGAGGTTTCATTATGTTGGCCATGCTGGTCTCTAAATCCTGACCTCAGGTGACCCACCTGCCTCAGCCTTCCGAAGTGCTGGGATTACAGGCGTGAGGCACTGTACCCGGAGTTTTCTGTTTTCTATATAGCAGCAATATTATATCAATTCCCTTTTGAATGGAATGGTCCAGATATAGGGGTTTTATAAAAACTGAATTTCTTTTTTTTTTCTTTTCTTTTCCTTTTTTTTTTTTTTTTTTGAGACAGGGACTCACTCTGTCGCCCAGGCTGGAGTGCAGTGGTGCAATCACGGCTCACTGCAGCCTCGACCTCCCACACTCAGGTGATCCTCCCACCTCATCCTCCCGAGTAGCTAGGACTACAGGCATGCACCACGATGCGTAAGTAATTTTTGGTATTTTTTGTAGAAACGGGTTTCCATCATATTGCCGACCAGTTGCTTGATGGTCTCAAAACTCTAGGACTAAAGCAATCTGCCCACCTCAGCCTCCCAAAAGTACTGGGATTACAGGCGTGAGCCACCATCCCAGCCGTGAATTTTTCTTTTCTTTTCTTTTTTCTTTCTTTCTTTCTTTTTTTTTTTTTTTTTTGAGACAGAATTTCGCTCTTGTGCCCCAGGCTGGAGTGCAATGGCGCGCTCTTGGCTTACTGCAACTTCTGCCTCCTGGATTCAAGAGATTCTCCTGCCTCAGTCCCCCAAGTAGCTGGGATTACAGGCGCCTGCCACCATGCCCAGCTAAAAGTGCTGGGATTACAAGCGTGAGCCACCCCTCTTCCGGCCTCTGAATTTCTTTTTCTTTCTTTCTTTTTTTTTTTTCTTTTTTGAGATGGAGTCTCACCCTGTCGCTCAGTCTGGAGTACAGTGGTGCGATCTCAGCTCACTGCAACCTCCGCCTCCCGGGTTCAAGTGATAACTCGTGACTCGGTCTCCCCAGCAGTTGGGATTACAGGCATGCGCCACCATGCCTGGCTAATTTTGTAGTAGAGACGGGGTTTCACCATGTTGGCCAGGCTGATCTCCAACTCCTGAGCTCAAGTGATCTGCCCGCCTCGGCCTCCCAAAGTGCTGGGATTACAGGCATGAGCCACCGACCGACCCCCCGGCCCTGAATTTCTTTAAGATCTGAAATCAGGCCGGGGGTGGTGGCTCACACCTGTAACCCCAGCACTTTGGGAGGCCAAGGCAGGCAGATCACCTAGAGGTCGGGAGTTCAAGACTTGCCTGACCAACATGGAGAAACCCCGTCTCTACTAAAAATGCAAAATTAGCCAGGCGTGGTGGCGCATGCCTGTAATCCCAGCTGTTTGGGAGGCTGAGGCAGAAGAATCGCTTGAACCCGGGAGGCTGAGATTGCGGTGAGCCGAGATCGTGCTATTGCACTCTAGCCTGGGAAATGAACAAAACTGCATCTCGAAAAAATAAAGAAAAAGATCTGAAATCAAAGTTGGTAATGAAACAGAAGCATATTTTAATAAAACGCAGTTAAATAATTTTAATAAAATGCCTATTTAAATTCTTTTTTTTTTTTTCTGAGACGGAGTTTCATTCTTGTTGTCCCAACTGGAGTGCAATGGTGTCATCTTGGCTCACTGCAACCTCCGCCTCCCAGGTTCAAGCGATTCTCCTGTCTCAGCCTCCCAAGTAGCTGGGAATACAGGCATGCACCACCACGACTGGCTAATTTTTGTATGTTTAGTAGAGACGGGGTTTCTCCATGTTGGTCAGGCTGATCTTGAATTCCCGACCTCAGGTGATCCGCCTGCCTTGGCCTCCCAAAGTGCTGGGATTACAGGCATGAGCCACTGTGCCTGGCCAAGATGTTTCATTCTGAAATGCATCATATATATGGAACAGAGTGTTAAATGTATACATATGGTTTAAATAATCATGATAAATCTATGTAACCATCACCTGGGTGAAGAAGTAGCATTAACAGTCTGGGCGCAGTGGCTCACGCCTGTAATCCCAGCACTTTGGGAGCCAAGGCAGGAGGATCACAAGGTCAGGAGTTCGAGACCAGCCTGGCTAATGTGGTGAAACCCCGTCTTTACTAAAACATACAAAAGTTAGCTGGGACTGGTGGCCCACACCTGTTGTCCCAACTACTCAGGAAGCTGAGGCAGGAGAATCGCTTGAAGTTGAACTTTGGAGATGGAGGTTGCAGTGAGCCAGAATCACGCCACTGCACTCCAGCCTGGGCAACAGAGCAAGACTCCGTCTAAAAAAAAGAAAGAAAAGATACACAGGAAAACATTTTTGAGACCTTGAATGTCTGAAAATATCTTTGTTCAATGCCCATCCTCTTTTTAAAATATTATATTAAATTTATTACAAATCAGCAAACAACATCATGCCTGATGATAAAACACTGAGAGCATACTATGGGCACATAATTGCACATTGATTTAACCGTACTGACTGTCTACAGCTGATATCTGGGTTTTTTTTTTAGAGACAGAGTCTTGCTCTATCGCCCAGGCTGGAGTGCAAGGGCTTGATCTCAGCTCACTGCAACCTTTGCTGCCTGGGATCAAGTTATCCTCCCATGTCAGCCTCCTGAGTAGCTGGGACTACAGGCGCGGGCCACCATGCTCAGCTAATTTTTAAATTTTTTATAGAGATGATGTCTCACTATATTGCCCAGGCTGGTCTTAAACTCCTGCGCTCAAGTGATCCTCCTGCTTCAGCCTCCCAAAGTGCTGGGATTACAGGTGTTGGCCACTGTTCCTGGCCCTGATATCTGCTGTGACTGGTGCCTCTATTCTGACTGGTCAGGGCCCTTTTCTAGTTTTTACATATTTTTAAAATTCCATCCCTGAAAACTATTAATATCAAGAGCAAGACAAAGTGGGTAGCTTTCACCATTTTGTAAATAATAGCCAATTTATTAGACAAGGAAATGAAATAAGAGATATAAATATTAGGAAGAAATCATCATTACTTACAGATGATTTGACTTTCTATCATCTGCTCAGAATTTTTCCATTTCTCTGTGGCCCCAGGAACTATCTCATCCTCATACTTGACCTCTGAGTTGCTGCTGGTGAAAATCTCGGTGCTGTGTATTTGTTTTTGGTTTTCTGTTTGGGGGAGGAGGGGGTGAGTGAAGCCAGTTTGCCTCTATGCTGCCATTTTGGAACTGGAAGTCCTCAATCTCCATTCTTGCTTGATAATTTCTAAGGACAAAATTCTAGGTTGGAGATCATTTTCAGGATTTTGAAGGCATTTCTCTTGCTTCTTGAAAGCCTGTCTTCTTGTTTCCAGTCCTGCTGTTGGGAAGTCCAGAGCTGTTGTGTTTCTTCATTCTTTGTGTATAACCAAACTGTTTCCTTTTTCTTCCCCCTGGAAGTTATTCGAATTTCTTTGTCCAGTTGTTGTGAAGTTTCACAATGGGTGACTTGTTTTGAATCTATCTTCATCTGTTTTCCTCAGCACTTGGTGGGTCCTTTTAATCTGAACCCTCAAGTTCTTAAACTCTGGTGATTTTTCTTAAATTATTTTGATTATTTGCTTTGTTCTACTTTTTCTGTTCCTTTGGTTTTGTTATCTTTTTTCTCCTATTTCCATCTCTGTTTTGTTTTGTTCCACTTTTAGTAATACTTCATCTTCTCCTCTATTAAGAGTTGTCTTTTTGTTTCTGTCATGTCTTTAATTCCCAACGACTCTTTTGTTCTCTGAGAACTCCTGTTCTATAGCATCCTATTCTTGTTTTGTAGATGCTGTATATATTTTTTAATAACTCTAAGGATATTAATGACATTTTGTTTTTCTTTCTAAAGTTTTATTTTCCCTGAATAGTCTTTAATTCCTCCTGATTGCTTTTTTCTTTCTTTCTTTTCTTTTCTTTTCTTTTTTTTTTTTTTTTTAATAGAGATGAAGTCTTTTATGTTGCCCAGGCTGGTCTGGAACTCCTGGCCTCAAGTGATCCTCTTTCTTCGGCCTCCCTAAGTGCTGGGATTACAGACATGAACCACTGCACCCGGCCTAGATTGCTTCTTTCTGTTTGTATTTACCTGTATCTTTCATATTAGAAGACTTTCTCAATGACTTGTAAACCTTTATTATTTTTTTTAGATGGAGTCTCCCTCTGTCGCCCAGGCTGGAGTGCAGTGGCACGATCTCGGCTCACAGCAACCTCCACCTCCCAGGTTCAAGCAATTCTCCTGCCTCAGCCTCCTGAGTAGCTGGGACTACAGGCATGGGTCATCACACCTGGCTAATTTTTGTATTTTTACTAGAGACAAGGTTTCACCATGTTGGCCAGACTAGTCTTGAACTCCTGAACTCAGGTGATCTGCTCACCTCAGTCTCCCAAAGTGCTGGGATTACAGGCGTGTGCTACCATGCCCAGCCGGTAATCCTTGATCACATAATCATATGATTAAAGCATGGCAACTTATCCCCATGATTAAGCATGAGAGAGTAAAAACTCAATGGAAGTGCAAAATATGGGGCTTTTTTTTTTTTTTTAAAGAGACGGAGTGTTGCTATGTTGCCCAAGCTGGCCTCTAGGCCTCTAATTCTTGGGCTCAAGCAATCCTCCCACCTCAGCCTCTAGAATAGTTGAGACTACAGGCTTGTGCCACTGGGCGTGGCTTGCATATGGGGCTTGTTGACTTTACAATTCATTATAGAGTGCCTGGAGTGGGCAAGTTCACTAGGAAGAAACTTCCGATCTCCTGCTAGGTGGACAAATGCCTAGTTGCTAGCATTCTGGATGATAAGTGAGGGGAGAGGGGTGGGGAGGTCTGTGCAATAAACATTCAACATACATAAACACTAAGTCCCCCTGTTTGGGATATAAGACCTATAACTCAACTGGGCAGGAAACTTTCATAGTCTGAAGACCTTTGGTTTTACTTTCATCAGAGAATAAATGGCTGGTCTTATCACTTAGACAGACATGTTTGCATGGTTTGACATTGCTTGCTATATTTCTTTACCTGTTTATTTTATTGTATTTTATTTTTATGATGGAGCCTCGCTCTGTCGCCCAGGCAGGAGTGCAGTGGCGCGATCTCAGCTCACTGCCAGCTCCACCTACCGGGTTCACGCCATTCTCCTGCCTCAGCCTCCTGAGTAGCTGGGACTACAGGCTCCAGCCACCACGCCTGGCTAATTTTTTGTATTTTTAGTAGAGATGGGGTTTCACCATGTTAGCCAGGATGGTCTCGATCTCCTGATCTCGTGATCCACCCCCTTTGTCCTCCCAAAGTGCTGGGATTACAGGCATGAGCCACTGCGCCCGGCTACCTGTTTCTTTTTTTTTTTAGACGGAGTCTCCCTTGGTCTCCCAGGCTGGAATGCAATGGTGCGACCTCAGCTCACTGCATCCTCTGCCTCCCAGGTTCAAGCAATTCTCCTGCCTCAGCCTCCCGAGTAGCTGGGATTACAGGTGCTCACCACCACGCCTGGGTAATTTTTGTATAAAATTTTAGTAGACACAGGGTTTTACCATGTTGGACCAGGCTGGTCTAGAACTTCTGGCCTCAGGTGATCTGCCCTCCCCGGCCTCCCAAAGTGCTGGGATTACAGGCGTAAGCCACCACGCCCCTCCTCTTTACCTGTTTCTTAATTCGAAGTCACTTATTCTTGAGATCAGAACTAGCGGTAGAGAAGGATGGTGAAGCATTCATTCCTATGCTAAGGGCTCTGCTGGGTCCCTCCTTTGGTACATCGAGAAGTGGGCCATTGTCTCTAGCGAACTTTTTCTTCATAAAAACTTACCTGTTATATGTGCCATTTCTTTGGGACCGTGGTGACATGAGTAGTAACAATTTAAATTCATAGGTAAAATTATCAAGAGTGACTTAACACAGCTAAAGTGTTTGTATGCTAAGAAAGCCTTTAATGATTAATCCCATTGTTGACTTTTAAGGTGTGGTAGAACACTGATGGGGATATGATTTTTGTCCCATTTTATCATACCACTTATATGTAGGTTCAGTAGAATAAGATTCAATAAAATGTTGAGATGTGTCAAAGTATCCCCAAATTTCACACACACACACACAAAGCTGAAACTATTTTTCTTTTATTATAGTTTATCCTATCCTATATAATCTAAAAATCATTAGTAAATGTATTTTTTAATCACAAAACATATAAAGAAAAAGTTCCAAATGTTTTTGTCATCCCTCAAGACATGAACACTCATTATTTTTAAAAAATGAAAGTGGTCAATTTCACAAAGCTGGGCTTTTGTGATATGTAAGAAACAGTAACTGAAAGGTTTACTGAAACTACACTCAGAGGCAAAGACAAATGCCTCTGCAAGGTGGCTTCTAAATATACATGGGACACATAGTTATTAGTGACTATCTGACTCAGTTCAGCCGAAGCTAATGAGGGAAAAGGGCGAGGAGCTGTTAAGTGGAAATTTGTACCTTTCACTTTTGGGTTTTATGTGTCTATTTCTGGATCCACCAGGAAGAGAAGCATTTTGAGATAGGATGCTGTTTATACTTAACACATTCTAGACATGGAAAAAGATAACTCCCTTCTTTTTTTTCTTTTTTTTTTGAGACAGAATTTCGCTCTTGTTGCCCAGGCTGGAGTACAATGGCACCATCTTGGCTCACCACAACCTCCGCCTCCCAGGTTCAAGCGATTCTCCTGCCTCAGCCTCCTGAGTAGCTGGGATTACAGGCATATGCCACCACGCCAGGCTAATTTTGTGTTTTTAGTGGAGACGGGGTTTCTTCATGTTGGTCAGGCTGGTCTCAAACTGCCAACCTCAGATAATCCGCCCACCTCTGCCTCCCAAAGTGCTGGGATTATAGGCATGAGCCACCACGCCCGGCCCACTCTTCTTTCTTTGACTTAGTACTTAGTACTTTCTTTGACTTAGTACCATCAAATTTCATCCCCCTCAGAAACAATTTTTTTTCATTTTTAAAATAGTTTTCTTTTGCCTGAAGAAACAATTTAGGCTGGTTGCGGTGGCTCACGCCTGTAATCCTAACACTTTGGTAGGCCAAGGCAGGCGGATCACTTCAGGTCAGGAGTTCAAGACCAGCCTGGCCAACATGGTGAAACCCAGTCTCTACTAAAAATACAGAACATTAGCCGGGTGTGGCACGCCTGTAGTCCCAGCTACTCAGGAGGCTGAGGCTGGAGAATCACTTGAGCCAGAAGGCAGAGGTTGTAGTGAGCCGAGATCCTGCCACTGCACTCCAGCCTGGGTGACAGAGCCAAAACCTGTCTAAAAAAAAAAAAAAAAAAAGGCCAGGCGCGGTGGCTCATACCTGTAATCCCAGCACTTTGGGAGGCCAAGGTGGGTGGATCACGAGGTCAGGAGTTCAAGACAAGCCTGGCCAAGATGGTGAAACCCCATCTCTACTAAAAATACAAAAAATTAGCTGGGCATGGTGGCACGCGCCTGTAATCCCAGCTACTCTGGAGGCTGAGGCAGAGAATTGCTTAAACCTGGGGAGCGGAAGTTGCAGAGCCGAGATCACGCCACTGCACTCCAGCCTGGGAGACAGAGTGAGACTCCGTCTCAAAAAAAAAAAAAAGCCAGATGCGGTGGCTCATGCCTGTAATCCCAGCACTTTGGGAGGCAGAGGCGGGAGGAGTTTGAGACAAGCCTGACCAACATGGTGAAACCCCGTCTCTACTAAAAATACAAAAATTAGCCAGGCATGGTGGCACGTGCCTGAAACCCTAGCTACTTGGGAGGCTGAGGCAAGAGAATGGCTTGAACCCGGGAGGCAGAGGTTGCAGTGAGCTGAGATCGCGCCACTGCACTCCAGCCTGAGTAACACAGTGAGACTGTCTCAAAAAAAAAAAAAGAACAAACAAAAAACCCCTACAGTTTAATAAAGATTTCCACTAAGAGTTTCCCCTAATTATATTTATTTTTGCCACAGTACTTTTTTGAGACAGGGTCTCACTCTGTCACCCATGCTGGAATGCAGTGGTGCAATCTCTCACTGCAGTCTCACTACAGCCTCGACCTGTGTCAGCTTCTGAGTAGCTGGGACTAATAGACTGGTGCCACCATGCCCGGCTAAGTTTTGTATTTTTTGCAGAGATGGGTTTTAGCCATGTTGCCCAGGCTGGTCTCGAACTCCTGAGCTCAAGCGATCCACCTGCCTTGGCCTCCCAAAGTGCTGGGATTATAGGCATGGACCACCGCAGCCAAACCTCAGTTTTTTAATTTTTTTTTCCCCGAGACAGAGTCTTGCTCTGTCGCCATAGCTGAAGTGCAATGGCATGATCTTGGCTCACTGCAGTTATTTCAATGAATATAAAAGTTGAAAGCTGAAAAGAACTGCTGATTATCTGTTAAATTAGGCATATTTAATATTTTTGTACATTATTTTGCTATTCAAAGACATTTATATGGCCAGGTGTGGTGGCTTATGCCTGTAATCCTAGCACTTTGGGAGGCCAAGGTGGGCAGATTGCTTGAGGCCAGGAGTTCAAGACCAGCCTGGGCAATACGGTGAGACCCCATTTCAATTATTTAAAAAAAATAAAATAAAAGAAATATATTTAGAAAAAAAAAAAGAAATATATTCAGGCCGGGCACGGTGGCTCATGCCTGTAATCCCAACACTGGGACGCCAAGGCGGGAGGATCACCTGAAGTCAGGATTTGGAGACCAGCCTGGCCAACATGGTGAAACTCCTTCTCTATTAAAAATACAAAAATTAGCCGGCCGTGGTGGTGCACGCCTGTAACCCCAGCTACTCAGGAGGCTGAGGCAGGAGAGTCGCTTGAATCCGGAGGCGGAGGTTGCAGTGAGCCGAGATTGTGCCATTGCACTCCAGCCTGGGCAACAAGAGCATAACTCTGTCTCAAAAAAAAAGAGAAACATATTCAAAGATATTTATAGAAAACCCTCAATGAAAGAAAATGTGTATCAGATAAACACAAATTAGACTTAGACAAGCAATCAATGAATAAATTGAGAGTACTTTTTATCAGCCAGGCACTATTCTAGGAGCTAGGAATTCAGTAAGATCAAGATGGAGGCCATGACCTCCAGGAGATTCCCTGTGGGTAAGAGAAGGCAAGATTCTTGGGATTCCTCCTTTCCTTAACCAGGAAACCATTTATTGAGCACCTATTGTTAGGCCCCATATGGCCCCTGGGGGTGGCATTGATACGGAAGAGGGGCAGGGAAGTGCTGGGTAGAGAAGGGAGGGGTCCCTGGCTAGGGCTCCACCCCCAGGCCTGTGCCCACGAACCTAGGTGAGGACACGCATTTTTGTTTTCTTGCCTAAATGTTGCATTTCTCAAGACCACTCTGGTCCGCCACGCCCCCATCCCGTGCCTATAAAAGCACCCGAGACCCTAGCAGGCCGGCAGGAGCGGCTCCACTTGGAGAGGAACACACAGGCGTAAGAACACATAGTGGCTGGGCTCTGGCGGAAGAGCACACCTGAAGACTGCGGCAGGCCATCCTCCGGCAGGCCATCCTGCGGCAGGCCATCCTCCGGCAGGCCATCCTCCGGCAGGCCATCCTCCGGCAGACCATCCTCCAGTAGGACCACGGTGAGTTTGGCCAGGGCGGTTGGAGGAGAGCCCAGGCCGCTGAGCAGCCCCACTCCAGGAGAAAACCGCCTTCCCACTCCATCTTCCTTCTGGCTCTCCTATCTGCTGAGAGCTACTTCCACTCAGTAAAACCTTGCACTCATTCTCCAATCCAACCTGTCCTTGATTCTTCCGCTACACCATGGCAAGAAACCCCGGGACACAGAAAGCCCTCTGTCCTTGCAATAAGGCAGGGGTCTAAGTGAGCTAGCACAAGCCGCCTGCGGATGGCTAAACTGAGGATGGCTAAACTGAAACAGCACACGGTAACACACGCCCACTGGGGCCTCAGGAGCTGTAACTCCATCCCGGCGGTAGCAATTTGACATCATGCCTTAGTGGACTGGCAAATTACTGCATTTCCTGGAGTTTCAGGGCGACTTGTGATATTTAAAAGCTCAAATGTTAAATTGTGGGGTGCTGGATCTCTCTGGTAAGCACTATGTTTGGGGTAAAAACAGGCTGTCATGAGAGCACATAGGAAGGACAACCTCCTGGGGGAGGGTTGGGTGCAGAGGCTCCCCAAGCGAGGTCTGAAGGAGTTTGTCTGAGGGTGAAGAAAATAACTGGCATTTAAAGCTTTTAGAACGGGGAGAGCTTCCTCCTCTCCTCACCAAAAATAATAATAAACAAAATAAAGCAGAAGAGGATGGGCGCGGTGGCTCAGGCCTGTAATCCCAGCAATTTGGGAGGCCAAGGCGGGTGGATCACCTGAGGTCAGGAGTTTGAGACCAGCCCGGCCAACATGGCGAATCCCCGTCTCTACTAAAAATACAAAAATTAGCCGGGCGTCCTGGTGAGCGCATGTAATCCCAGCTACCAGGGAGGCTGAGGCAGGAGAATCGCTTGAACCCAGGAGGTGGAGGTTGCAGTGAGCCAAGATCGCACCACTGAACTCCAGCCTGGGCAACAGAGCGAGACTCATCTCAAAACAAACAAACCAAACAAACAACAACAACAACAACAAAAACAAAGCCGAAGAGATTGGGCAAGTAGGGGAAGGTTAGAGAGGGAAGCTTGCTTCTTTAGAGGAGCCACAGGTATTTCAGTAGAACTAGAGCCTGAGAAGGGACTTTGAGCCTTTTGGTGTCAGTCTACTTTGTCCATCTGGTAAAGCCTACGCACTTGCCCCAGAATAATGGCTTTAAATGTATAAAGTAGGAAACTATTATATTGCAGTGCAGTTACCAGACTATTTAAAACACAGGTGCAATATATGTATGTATTTGTCAACCCATTAATAACAAGGTCTAGCAATGGGTATAACTACTATAATTTCACAGTAGCAATGAAGATAAATAATGTTTTAAGATATTTGCAGTAACCAGGTGTGATGGAGTGTACATGTAGTCCCAGATACTCAGGCTGAGGCAGGAGGGTCATTTGCACCCAGGAGCTTGTGGCTGTAGTGTGCTATGATTATGCCTGTGAAAAGCCACTGCATGGCCGGGTGCGGTGGCTCACGCCTGTCATCCCAGCACTTTGGGAGGCTAAGGCGGGCGAATCACTTGAGGTGGGGAGTTGAGACTAGCCTGACCAACATGTAGAAACCCCGTCTCTACTAAAAATACAAAATCAGCCGGGCACGGTGGCACATGCCTATAATCCCAGCTGCTCAGGAGGCTGAGGCAGGAGAATTGCTTGAACCTGGGAGGCAGAGGTTGCAGTGAGCCTAGATCGCGCCATTGCACTCCAGCCTGGGCAACAAGAGCGAAACTCTATTTCAAAAAAAAAAAAAAAAAGTCACTGTACTCCAGCCTGGGCAACCTTGTGAGACCCTGTCTCGAAAAATTAAAAAAAAAAATTTTTTAATATATCTTTGGCCGGGCACAGTGGCTCATGCCTGTAATCCCAGCACTTTGAGAGGCTGAGGCGGGTGGATCACCTAGGTTGGGAGTTCGAGACCAGCTTGATCAACATGGTGAAACGCCATCTCTACTAAAAATACAAAATTAGCCAGGTGTGGTGGCGTGTGCCTATAATCCCAGCTACTCGGGAGGCTGAGGTGGGAAAATTGCTTGAACCTGGGAGGGGGACGTTGCGGTGAGCCGAGATCGTGCTGTTGCACACCAGCCTGGGCAACAAGAGTGAAACTCTATCTCAAAAAAAAAAAAAAAAAAAAAGTCTTCAAGATGGGATGTCTTGTGAAAATGTCTGACTCCTTCTGGTGGTTGTAGAGTCACAGCTGTTGTTAATAATACTAGGATTTATTGCCTATATTCATAATAGGAGGAAATCTTAAATTTCGATTAGAGATTGGTAAAAGAAGATTTATTTTATTTTTTATTTTTTTTTTGCATTCAAGTTCAATCTACCATAGGTCCCAGGTTATGACCCCCTGGTTTTAGGCTATAGTTTCTAAACAGGGCTTCCTGACTTCAGTCAGAGGTACCTCTATTCCAGTTGTCTAGTTTGGGAATGCACAAATCTGATCAAGCCATTCTCCTCTTTAAAGCTCTTTACTGATTCCCCTGGCCTTTAGGATTAAGTCTAAATTCTTCGTTGTGATTTACACATCCCTCCAGTATAAGTCTCTTTCCACTCCCTTACTCCTGCTCTTTTTCCCAGACAAACAGAACTTGTCAAACACAATCCCGTTTTGCCTTCCCACTCGCTGCTTTTTTCTGATTGGAAACCTCTTTGACTCTATCCCTTCTCTGCTGGGTAAACGCCTCAGTCATCACCTGCTTCAGAAATCTGTTCATGGCCTGGCGCAGTGGCCTGTACACCTGTACACACATGTTACATGTGGCCTCACGTCTGTAATCCCAGCACTTTGGGAGGCCAAGGTGGGTGGATCACTTGAGGTCAGGAGTTTGAGACCAGCCTGGCTAATATGGTGAAACCCCATCTCTACTAAAAATACAAAAATCAGCCGGGTGTGGTGGCGGGTTACTCCAGAGGCTGAGGCACAAGAATTGCTTGAACCTGGGAGGTGGAGGTTGCAGTGAGCCAAGATTGTGCCACTGCACTCCAGCCTGGGTGACAGAGCAAGACTCAAAAGAAAAGAAAAGAAATCTGACTTAACATCTACCTGGTTCCTGGCCTCACATTGGGAGAGACAGATAATTTAACATGCTTTTGTAACACAATGTGAGAACTGCCTTATCCATTGTTTTATTTCCAGAGCTTGCACCGTGCCTGAACAGTACCTGCTTAGTGCTTAAATGTTACACAACTCCAGAGGGCGCATTCACACTGTATTCTATGTCAATGGGCCCTATACCCCGACCCTCCCCCAGAGTTCTGTAACTATTAGCCCTGGCCTGACAGTATTTTATTGATGAATAAACAAATGAATAAGTGGCCTCAACTGGGTGTGGAAAAACCCTGCAGGTACCAAATTTGGGCAGGAATCATTCTTGGATTATGTATACAGTCCTGTGTTCTTAATGACCAGGATATGTTCTGAGAAAGGCGTCATTAGGTGATTTTGATGTTGTGGGAACATCACAGAGTGCACTCAAACGAACTTAGATGGTACAGCCTACTGCACACCTAGGCTACATGGTAGAGCCTGTTGCGCCTAGGCTATACACCTATACAGCATGTTACTGTACTGAATACTGTCGACAACTGTACCACATACAAATATGATATAATCTTTAAAATTTTTAATTTAAATTTTTTAAATAAATAAAGATGAGGTCTCACTATGCCACCCAGGCTCGTCTAGAACTGCTTGGTTCAAGCGATCCTCCTGCCTCTGCCTCCTTAAATGCTGAGATTACAGATTTGAGCCACCTCACCTGGCCTGGTATTATAATCTTATAGGACCACCACGGTATATGTGGTCCATCATTGAACAGTTATTATACAGCACATGACTGTACTCAGTTTCTTAAGTTAATCATCGTAATCTTTTTTGTGTGTCTGCATATTATAATTTAGAAGAGTTGAGTATTTCAAGGGCTTAAAAAAAGCCACTTGTTTTTTTGAATATAGAAGTATTACGGGCTGGGCACAGTGGCTCATGCCTGTAATCCCAGCACTTTGGGAGGCCGAGACAGGCAGATTGCTTGAGCCCAGGAGTTCAAGACCAGCCTGGGCAACATAGCAAGACCCCATCTCTACTAAAAATAAAAAATTAACCCAGCATGGTACATACCTTTTGTCCCAGCTACTCAGGAGGCTGAGGTGGGAGGATCACCCAGGAGGCTGAGGCTGCAGTGAGCCACGATTTTGTGATTATGACACTACACTCCAGCCTGGGTGACAGAGTAAGACTCTGTATGGGAAAAAAAAAAAAAAAAAAAGCATTACAAGTGCATTTGTAGGAAACTTGAAAAATATGGTAAAATATACAAAACTAAAATCAGAAGTCACCCCAAAACAATCTTATGACTGAACAGAACTGTCTTGGGGTATTTTATACCAATGACATTTAATTAAAATTATAAACCAGATTGAATATATATTTGCACAGTTTTTTTGTGTGTGTTTTAATTTTTTTTTTTTTGAGACAGAATCTTGCTCTGTTGCCTAGGCTGGAGTGCAGTGGCGTAAAAACGGCTCACTGCAGCCTTGACCTCCTGGGCTCAAGTGATTCTCTTGCCACAGCCTCCCAAGTAGCTGGGACTACAGGCACATGCCACAACACCTGGCCAATTTTTGTATTTTTTTGTAGATACAGGGTCTCACTATGTCGCCCAGGCTGGTCTTGAACTCTTGGCCTCAAACAATCCTCCCGTCTTGGCCTCTGCAAGTGCTGGGATTACAGGCATGAGCCACCATGCCTGGCCTGCACACTGATTTTTTATTCCAAAAATGTTAATTGTGTAAGACATACAGAATATATAGTTATCATGGAGATGTGGTTTTTCTTTTGTTAATTCTTTAACTTTGCAAATATTCCCTGAATGTAAAACACAAGTAAGACACTGGAATGGACATTCTGGGTAAAGTAAAGATAAATTGGACATTGATCCCATTACCCAGGCACTTACAGGCTGTTGGAAAGATCAGACACATTTGGAACCTTAATACAGTCATGCACCGCAGAGCAACCTTTCTGTCAACAACTGACTGCATGGTGGTCCTGTCAGATTATAATGGAGCTGAAAAATTCCTATTGCCTAGTGATATTGTAGCTGTTGTAATGTCATAGTGCAATTACTTACTTTTAAAATATAGTGTAGCCTAAGTGTACAGTGTTTATAAAGTCTACAGTAGTGTGCAGTAATGTCCTAGGCCTTCACATTCACTCACTACTTACTCATTGACTCACCTAGAGCAACTTCCAGTCCTGCAAGCTATATTCATGGTGAGTTTATTTTTTCCTTAGAGATGGTTTTTTCCCTAGAGATGTGGTCTCACTGTGTTGCTCAGTTTGGACTGAAATTCCTGGGCTCAAGTGCTCCTTTTGACTCAGCCTCCTGAATACTTGGTACTACAAGCATGTACAACTACATGTGGCTCATTTTTAAATCTTTCATACCATATTTTTATTCTACTTTTTCTATGTTTAGATACAGAAATACTTACCATGGTGTTACAATTGCTTACAGTATTCAGTACAATGACATACTGTGTAGGTTTGTAGCTGAAGAACATTATTATATTACTACGCCAAACCATATAGCCTAGGTGTGTAGTAGGCTGTACCATCTAAGTTTGTGTAAGGACACTGTATGATGTTCACATCATATAGTTCTTCACCTAAGGATGCATTTCTCAGAACGTATCCCTGTTGTTAAGTGATACATGATTGTACAAGGCAGTAAGAACATATGATATAAGAAAGCCGCAGTCAGCCAGAGTGAACTTTTTTTTTTTTTTTGAGATGGAGTCTTGCTCTGTCGCCCAGGCTGGAGTACAGTGGTGCAATCTCGGCTCACTGCAACCTCTGCCTCCTGGGTTCAAATGATTCTCCTGCCTCAGCCTCCCAAATAGCTGGGATGACAGGTGTGTGCCATCACACCCAGCTAATTTTTGTATTTTTAATGGAGACAGGGTTTCACCTTGTTGGCTATACTGATCTTGAACTCCTGAGCTCAAGTGATCCACCCAACTGGGCCTCCCAAAGTGCTGGGATTACAGGTGTGAGCCACCGTGCCCAACCTCTCTACTTAAAACTTTCAATGTGTTCTTGTTGAATTTATTTTTATTTTAATTAACAACTTTTTATTGAAATACAACTCACATACCATAAAATTTTTTTTTTTTGAGACACAGTCTTGCTTTGTCACCCAGGCTACAGTGCAGTGGCACAATCTCGGCTCACTGTAACCTCCCCTTCTTAAGTTCAAGCAATTCTCCTACCTTAGCCTCCCAAGTAGCCGGGACTACAGGTGGGCACCACCACGCCTGGCTAACATTTGTATTTTTAGTAGAGAGGAGGTTTCACCGTGTTGGCAGGGCTGGTCTCAAACTCCTGACCTCAAGTTAGCTGCCCGCCTTGGCCTCCCTAAGTGCTGGGACTACAGGCGTGAGCCACCATGTCCTGCCAAAATTCACTTTTTTTTTCTTTTCTTTCTTTTTTTTTTGAGACAGTCTCACTCTGTCACCCAGCCTGGAGTGCAGTGGTGCAATCTCAGCTCACTGCAACCTCCACTTCTCGGGTTCAAGTGATTTTCCTGCCTCAGCCTCCCCAGTAGCTAGGATTACAGGCATGCACCACCACGCCAGGATTATTTTTATATTTTTAGTAGAGACGGGGTTTGACTCTGTTGGTCAGGCCGGCCTCAAACTCCTGACCTCCACCCACCTCGGCCTCCC